>NW_025791770.1:0-301310 GCF_000001405.40 Homo sapiens | reverse complement strand
AATTCAATCCCTTTTATAACAACTGAAAAAAAAAAAAAAAAAAAACCCAAAAACAATACCCTAGGAGTGTACTTAATCAAGGGAGGTGAAAGATCTCTACAAGGAAAACTACAAAACATGCTGAAAGAAATCATAGATGACACACAAAAAAATGGAAACATATGCCATGTTCATGGATGGGAAGGTAATATTGTGAAAATGACCATACTACCCAAAGCAAACTACAGATTTTATGCTATTCCTAACAAAATATCATCATCATTTCTCACAGAACTAGAAAAACAACCCTAAAGTTCGCATGAAACCAAAGAAGAGCCTGCATAGCCAAAGCAATCCTAAGCAAAAAGAACAAATGTGGAGGCATCACATTACTGGACTTCAAATTATACTACAAGACTGTAGACTACAGTACTGTAGTACCAGTACTACTGGGACTAGTATAAAAATAGGCACTTAGACCAATGGAACAGAATAGAGAACCCAGAAATAAAACCAAATACTTACAGCCAATTGATCTTCAACAAACCATACAAAAACATAAATTGGAGAAAGGATACCCTATTCAATAAATGGTGCTGGAAGGCCAGGCATGGTGAGTCATGCCTGTAACCCCAGCACTTTGATTACAGGCCGAGGTGGGCAGATCACAAGGTCAGGAGTTTGAGACCAGCCTAGCCAACATGGTGAAACCCCATCTCTACTAAAAACACAAAACTTAGCCAGGTATGGTGGTGGGCACCTGTAATCCCAGCTACTTGGGAGGCTGAGGCAGGAGAATTGCTTGAACCCGGGAGGCAGAGGTTGCAGTGAACCGAGATCGCGCCACTGCACTCTAGCCTGGGTGACAGAGCAAGACTCCATCTCTAAAATAAATAAATAAATAAATAAATAAATAAATAAATAAATAATGGTGCTGGGAAAACTGACAAGCCACATATAAAAGACTGAAACTGGAGGCCAGGCGCAGTGGCTCACACCTGTAATCCTAGCACTTTGGGAGGCTGAGGTGGGTGGATCGTGAGGTCAGGAGTTCAAGACCAGCCTGGCCAAGATGGTGAAATCCCAGCTCTACTAAAAAAATACAAAAAATCAGCTGGGCCCAGTGGCAGGTGCTTGTAATCTCAGTTATTTGGGACGCTGAGGCAGGAAAATCGCTTGAACTTGGAGGGTGGAGGTTGCAGTGAGCTGAGATCGTGCCACTGCACTCCAGCCTGGGCAACAGAGTGAGACTCCATCTCAAAAAAAAAAAAAAAAAAAGAGTGAAACTGGATCTCCATCTCTCGCCCTATACAAAAATCAACTCAAGATGTATAAAGACTTAAATCTAAGACCTGAAACCATAAAAATTCTGGAATATAACATTGGAAAACTTTTCTGGACATTGGCCTAGGCAAAGAATTCATGACTAACACCCCAAAAGCAAATGTGACAAAACCAAAAATAAATAAATGGGACCTATATTAATCCGTTTTCACACTGCTGATAAAGACATACCTAAGATAGAGCAATTTACAAAAGAAAGAGGTTTAATTGGACTTACAGTTCCACATGGCTGGGGAAGCCTAACAATTATGGCTGAAGGCAAGGAGGAGCAAGTCACGTCTTACATGAATGACAGCAGGCAAAAAGAGAGAGCTTGTGCAGGGGAACTCCTCTTTTTAAAACCATGAGATCTCATGACACTTATTCACTGTCATGAGAACAGCACAGGAAAGACTTGCCACCATGATTCAATTATCTCCCACAGGAATTCAAGATGAGATTTGGGTGGGGACACAGCCAAACCATATCATCCTGCCCCTGGCCCCTCCCAAATCTCATCTCCTCACATTTCAAAACCAATCGTGCCTTCCCAATAGTCCCCCAAATCTTAACTCATTTCAGCATTAACTCAACAATCCACAGTCCAAAGTCTCATCCGAGACAAGGCAAGTCTCTTCCACCTATGAGCTTGTAAAATCAAAAGCAGGTTAGTTACTTCCTAGATACAGTCAAGGTACAGACATTGGGTAAATACAGCCATTCCAAATGGGAGAAGTTGGGCAAAACAAAGGGGCTACAGGTCCCATGCAAGTCCAAAATCCAGTGGGGCAGTCAAATCTTAAATCTCCAAAATGATCTCCCTTGTCACCACGTCTCACATCCAGGTCATGCTGATGCAAGATGTGGGTTCCCATGGTCTTCAGCAGCTCCGCCCCTGTGACTCTGCGGGGTACAGACTGTCTCCCAGCTGCTTTCCTGGGTTGGCATTGAGTGTCTGTGGCTTTTCCAGGCGCATGGTGCAAGCTGTCAGTGGATCTACCATTCTGGGGTCTTGAGGACCCTGGGGACTGGTGGCCCTCTTCTCACAGCTCCACTAGGTGGTACCCCAGTAGGGATTCTGTGTGGGGACTCTGACCCCACATTTCCCTTCCACACTGCCCTAGCAGAGGTTCTCCATGAGAGGCCCACCCCTGCAGCAAACTTCTGCGTGGACATACAGGCATTTCCATACATTTTCTGAAATCTAGGCAGAGGTTCCCAAACCTCAGTTCTTGACTTCTGTGCACTCAACACCACATGGAGGTTGCCAAGGGTGGGGCTTATACCCTCTAAAGCCATGGCCTGAGATCCACATTGGCCCCTTTCAGCCACAGCTGGAATGGCTGGGACATAGGGCACCAAGTCCCTAGGCTGCACACAGCACAGGGACCTTAGGCCCAGCCCACAAAACCATCCTTTCCTCCTAGGCCTCTGGGCCTCTGATGGGAGGGACTGCCATGAAGACCTCTGACATGCCCTGGAGACATTTTCCCCATTGTCTTGGGGATTAACATTTGGTTCCTCGTTACTTATGCAAATTTATGCAGCCTTGAGTTTCTTCGCAGTATATGGGATTTTCTTTTCTATCGGATTGTCAGACTGCAAATTTTCTGAACTTTTATGCTCTGTTTCCCTTATAAAACTGAATGCCTTTAATAGCACCCAAGTCACCTCTTGTATGCCTTGCTGCTTAGAAATTTCTTCTGCCAGATACCCTCAATAATCTCTCTCAAGTTCAAAGTTCCACAAATCTCTAGGGCAGAGGCAAAATATTGCCAGTCTCTTTGCTAAAACATAACAAGAGTCACCTTTGCTCCAGTTCCCAAAATTTCCTCATCTCCATCTGAGACCACCTTAGCCTGGATTTCATTGTCCACATCATTATCAGCATTTTGGTCAAAGTCATTCAACAAGTCTTTAGGGAGTTGCAAACATTCCTACATTTTCCTCTCTTCTGAGTCCTCCAAACTGTTCCAATCTCTGCCTGTTACCCAGTTCCAAAGTCATTTCCACATTTTTGGGTATCTACTCAGCAACACCCCACTCTACTGGTACCAATTTACTGTATTAGTCTATTAGTACAGGCTGCTGATAAAGACATACCTGAGACAGGGCAATTTACAAAAGAAAGAGGTGGCCGGGCGCAGTGGCTCACGCCTGTGATCCCAGGACTTTGGGAGGCCGAGGTGGGTGGATCACGAGGTCAGGAGATTGAGACCATCCTGGCTAACATGGTGAAACCCTGTCTCCACTAAAAATACAAAAAAAAAAAAAAAAAAAAATCAGCCAGGCATGCTGGTTGGTGCCTGTAGTCCCAGCTACTTGGGAGGCTGAGGCAGGAGAATGGCATGAACCCAGGAGGCGGAGCTTGCAGTGAGCCTAGATTGCGCCACTGCACTCCAGCCTGGATGACACAGTGAGACTCCATCTTAAAAAGAAAAAAAAAAAGAAAGAGGTTTAATTGGACTTATAGTTCCACATGGCTGGGGAAGCCTCACAATCATGACAGAAGGCAAGGAGGAGCAAGTCATGTCTTATGTGGATGGTAGCAGGGATAAGAGAGAGATCAGATCTCGCCGTATGCAGTGGCTCACACCTGTAGTCCCAGCACTTTGGGAGGCCGAGGCGAACAGCCTCCCAAAGGTCAAGAGATCGAGACAATACTGGCCAACATGGTGAAACCCCATCTCTACTAAAAATACAAAAATTAGCTGGTGGGGGTGGTGTGCGCCTGAAGTTCCAGCTACTCTGGAGGCTGAGGCAGGAGAATCGCTTGAAACCAGGAGGCAGAGGTTGCAGTGAGCTGAGATCGTGCCACTGTACTCCAGCCTGGCAACAGAGTGAGACTCTGTCTTAAAAAAAAAAAAAAAAAAAAAAAAAAAGTCAGATCTCATGAGACTTATTCACTATCCTGAGAACAGCATGGGAAAGACTTGCCCCCCATGATTCAATTATCTCCCACTGGGTCCCTCCTACAACATGTGGGAATTCAAGATGAGATTTGGGTGGGAACATAGCCAAACCATATCAGGACCTAACTAAACTAAAGAGCTTCTACACAACAAAAGAAATAATTAACAGAGTAAACAGACAACCCACAGAGTGGTAGAAAATATTTGCAAACTATGTATCTGACAAAGGATTCGTATCCAGAATCTACAAGGAACTCAAACAAATCAACAAGGAAAAAAACAAATAATCCCATCAAAAAGTGGGCAAAGGCCATGAACAGTCATTTCTCAAAAGAAGATATACAGCCAACAAACATATGAAAAAATGCTCAACATCACTAATCATTAGGGAAATGCAAATTAAAACCGTAATGAGATACCACCTTACTCCTACAAGAATGGCCATAATTAAAAGTCAAAAAACAATAGATGTTGGCATGGAGGTGGTGAAGAGGGAACACATTTACACTGCTAGTAAGAATATAAATTAATACGACCTCAAAGGAAAATAGTATGGAGATTCCTTTAAAAAACTAAAAGCAGGATCTACCATTTGATCCAGCAATTCCAGTACTGGGGATCTACCCAAAGGAAAAAAAGTCATTCTATGAGAAAGACACACGCAGACACACATTTATAGTGGCACAATTTGCAAATGCAAAGATAACCAACATAAGTGCCCATCAACTAAAGAGGGGATAAAGAAAATGTGGTATGTATACACCATGGAATACTACTCAGCCACAAAACGGAATAAAATAATGTCTTGTGAGCCAACTTGGATGGAGCTGGAGGCCGTTATTCTAAGTGAAGCAACTCAGGAATGAAAAACCAAATACCGTATGTTCTGGCTTATAAGTAAGAGCTAGGCTATGAGGACGCAAAGAGATAGAGTGATATAATGGAGTTTGGGGACTTGGGGTGGGGAGGTTGGGAGGAGGGTGAGGGATAAAATACTACATATCAGGTATCATGTACACTGTTTGGGTGATGGGTGCCCTAAAATCTCAGAATTCGCCATTGTAGAATTCATCCATGTAACCAAAAACCATTTGTACCCCAAAAGTTATTGAAATAAACCAAAAACCATTTGTACCCCAAAAGTTATTGAAATAAACCAAAAACCATTTGTACCCCAAAAGTTATTGAAATAAAAATAAATAAATAATAAATAACAATACAACAATAAAAATAATACAAATAAAAACAATTCGGTATAACAACTATTAAAATAGCACTTGCACTGTATTAGGTAAAATAAGTAATCTAGAGATGACTTATGCATATTGGAGGATGTGCATAGGTTATATACAGATACTAACCATTTTATGTAAGGAACCTGAGCCTCCTCGAATTTTGGTAACAAGGGGGGGTCCTGGAACTAATCCCCTACTGGATACTGAGGGACCATACTGTATGCAGAAGTGCTCTAGCCCAAAATGACTTCTTATTTTGTCATCCAGATTACTAAGAACAGCAATAACCTTGGTATAGCAATTCTGTCATTTTATTAAGCTGAAAAAATTTAAATGTTCTACCAACTGGAATTACTATTAAATTAAAGCATTTGGCCAGGTGTGGTGGCTCATGCCTGTAATCCCAGCACTTTGGGAGGTCCAAGATGGGTGGACCACTTGAGATCAGGGGTTCGAGACCAACCTGGCCAACATAGTGAAATCCCATCTCTACTAAAAATACAAAAATTACCTGGGTGTGGTGGCACATGCCTGTAATCCCAGCTACTCAGGAGGCTGAGGTATGAGAATCACTTGAACCTGGGAGGTGGAGGTTTCAGTGAGCCAAGATCACACCACTGCACTCCAGCCTGGGCAACTGAGCAAGAATCCATCTCAAAAAAAAAAAGGAAAAATAAATATTAAAGCATTTACCCAAAAAATCGTGTATAGAGCTTAATAAAGCCCATCTTTTTTATTTTTTATTTTCTTTACTGAGGGTCCCACTGTCCCCCAGTCTAGAGTGCAGTGCTGCGATCACAGCTCACTACAGCCTTGACCTCCTGGGCTCAAGTGATCCTCTCACCTCAGCCTACCAAAGTGCTGGGATTACAGGCGTGAGCCACCACATCTGGCATCTTTTTTTTTTTCTTTCGAGACAGAGTTTCACTCTTGTTGCCCAGGCTGGATTGCAATGGCGCCATCTCGGCTCACCGCAACCTCCGCCTCCAGGTTTCAAGTGATTCTCCTGCCTTAGCCTCCTGAGTAGCTGGGATTACAGGCATGTGCCACTACGCCCGGCTAATTTTGTATTTTAGTAGAGACGGGGTTTCTCCATGTTGGTCAGGCTGGTCTCGAACTCCCGACCTCAGGTGATCCGCCTGCCTCAGCCTCCCAAAGTGCTGGGATTACAGGCGTGAGACACCGCGCCCGGCCAGGTATCTTTTTAAAATGTTACTGTTCTGTCTTTTTTTCCCCCTCTTTCCTTATTAAATATCAGTGCACTGAGGAAGAGCTTAACAAAGAAAAAATTCTTATCTATTAGAATTCAGCATCTTTATAGTCTTAAGGATTCTCAGTTAATGCATTTTTTCTACTTAAAAAAAAGCGTTTTGAATTTTATTTATGAAACATCAAGGCTTAGTGATGAATACCACAAATGATCCTGGAAGGTATGAGATGCAAGAATGAAGCAAAATGTTAGTAAATATGTGAGTATTTCTAAATTAAAACTAAATAAAATGAATATATTGTATTACTTGGAAAGTACATAAACATGAGGTAGAATTAAATATTGTTCAATAATAAAATGCAGAACAAACAGAAGACTGATCAGAACTAAAGGGTTCCACATTAAAGTCTTATGACTTTAAGTTTTGTAGGTTAAAGTTTAAGAAAAAACTCTAAAAAGATAGAACATGATTTTTTAAATAGAAGAAAAAAATCACAGAGAATCAAACTATTAACTGAAAAGTAGTTCTCACTACCTAAAATACTGAAATCCTGTTTTACTTATCTGTCTCACACATTAGGATTTAAATCCTATGAATGCAAAGATTTTTGCTTGTTTGTTAACTATCCCTAGCAGCTAAAGCAATGTCCCACACCTGGGAAGAGCTCAAAATTATTTGCTAAATGAATATCTTGCACAAATTAGCTTATATGAAATAAGAGCCTGGGCACGGTGGTTCATGCCTGTAATCACAGCACTTTGGGAGGCTAAGATGGGTGGATTACCTGAGGTCAGGAGTTTGAGACCAGCCTGACCAACATAGTGAAACCCCGTCTCTACTAAAAATACAAAATTAGCTGGGCATGGTGGCACATACCTGTATCCCAGCTACTTGAGTGGCTGGGCAGGAGAATTGCTTGAATCTGGGAGGCAGAGGTTGCAGTGACCTGAGATTGCCCCCATTGCACTCCAGCCTGGGCAACAAGAGCAAAACTCAGTTTAAAAAAAAAACAAAACAAGAAAAATGTTAGCGTCATGTGTGTGAAAGGTATGTAAGAAAATACAGTTCCTCAGGTAGGAAATGCAATTAGTAATAAATGATAATGAAATAAAGCTCAATCTTTCTAACAAACAATAAAATGCGAAACAAAATCTGAGATACTTTTTTACTTCATCATATTCACAAATACTTTAAAAGAGAATGAAAACCACAAAGATGATATATATCAAGAGTCAAGAAATGTGCAGCCATAAAAAGGAACGAGATCATGTCCTTCGTAGGAACATGGATGGAGCCATTATCCTCAACAAACTAACATGGGAACAGAAAACCAAACACCACATGTTCTCATTATAAGTGGGAGCTGGACGATGAGAACACCTGGACACATTGTGGGGAACAGCACACACTGGGACCTGTCAGGGTGGGGAGCGGGAGGGAGAGCAGCAGGAAGAATAGCTAATGGATGCTGGGCTTAATACTTAGATGATAGGTTGATCTGTGCAGCAAACCACCATGGCACACCTTACCTATGTAACAAACCTGCACATCCTGCACATGTACCCCAGAACTTAAAAGTTGAAGGAAAAAGTCTGGGTGCGGTGTCTCACGCCTGTAATCCCAGCACTTTGGGAGGCTGAGGTGGGCAGATCACAAGGTCAGGAGTTAGAGACCAGCCTGGCCAACATAGTGAAACCCTGTCTCTACTAAAAGTACAAAAATTAGCCAGGCACAGTGGTGCGCACCTGTAGTTCCAGCTACTCGGGAGGCCGAGGCAGGAGAATCGCTTGAACCTGGGAGGTGGAGGTTGTGATGAGCAGAGATCACGCCATTGCACTTCAGCCTGGGCAACAGAGTGAGACTCCGTCTCAAAAAAAAAAAAAAAAAGAGTCAAGAAATAATTGGGCAATCCAACATGCGCTTTGTCTTCCTAGCAACACAAAAACCTTTATATGTAAAGGTGATCACTGGATAATATAAGTGTAATGCTGAAAGAATAACAAATGCAATTCCACAATATGAGAACAGCTAAGCAAACCAAGGAACAGACACCATATGAACCATTTACATTGTCACAAAAATTATGTGTATGAAGACTATGAAGTGGTAAATGAAAATGGTTGAATATCAAATGTAACAAAGCATGGCCAACCTCTACTATATGATCACAACCATATACATTAAGCTAAAGCAGCCAGGTTGAATGAATTTTCATGTAGGAGGATTGTTCATAGCTCAAATTCCCAGGAGGAAATCTCTTGGTCAAAGGATGTGAACAGTTTAAATTTGAAATATATATTGTCAAATTGCCCTGCTAAAATATTGTTTCAGTTTATTTTCCAAAACAGAACTTTTCTGTGGCTACATGAAATTCATTCAATTATTTGACAAGATTTCCTGAACATCTCCTACATATCCAACACCCTACTGGATGATGGGATTTTAAGGTGAATATAAGGTGTCTAGATTCTCAGGGCACCAATTCATAGTCCAGGGAAGGACATAAAGATGTGAGGAATTTAATAATAAGAGAGTGTAAAATGTAAAATAAAAGTTGAACAGAATTCTACAGTAAAATGAGATAATTTTAATTAAGTGTAATATTGAATAAGTGAGATTTGACCACAATTCTATAAAATAACAGAAATCACACCTATTTCTGTTTGTTGGAACGAAGAAAGGCTTCTGAGGACAGCTGCTGTTTGCCAGCCATATTTGCCAGATGAAGAAAGAATCAAGTAAGGACTGATGCCAAGGCAAATGGAACGGTGAGGTCAGAGGCAAGGAGTGGAGAAAGATTAGGCAACTTGTCTGAGGATAGTAAATTCAATGTAGTCAACCAGGGTGAGATACTAATGGTAATTGAAATTAGACCTGAAGTCATCATTGGCATCAGCATTCCTCGAAACAAGAAAAACTTATGTGTAATGCTGAAAGAATAACAAATCTCATCACTCTTCTTTTTTCACATTGAATGTTAGTGCTATGTCCCAACACTGTAATGCAAAAGAGCCTAAGATTTCATCTAGTAGGTAGCCCTTTAGTGAGGTCAACTCCCATGTCCCTATTTTATTTTATTTTATTTTATTTATTTATTTATTTATTATTTTTTGAGACGGAGTCTCGCTCTGTCACCCAGGCTGGAGTGCAGTGGCATGATCTCGGCTCACTGCAAGCTCCGCCTCCCAGGTTCACACCATTCTCCTGCCTCAGCCTCCCCAGCAGCTGGGACTACAGGCACATGCCGCCACACCAGCTTTTTTTTTTTTTTTTTTTTGTATTTTTAGTAGAGACAGGGTTTCACTGTGTAGGCAGGATGGTCTCGATCTCCTGACCTCGTGATCCCCCCCGCCTCAGCCTCCCAAAGTGCTGGGATTACAGGTGTGAGCCACCGCGCCCGGCCCCCATGTCCCTATTTTCTTTTGAGCCCCTGATGGCTTTTTTCTGCCACAAAGGCCAGTCTTCCTTTCCCTCCAAGCACACCAACATCGGCTTAGCCAGTCTGCAGCACTCTTTCTTGGAGCTTAATCCCAACAATTCCTCCTAATCAGGTGACAACAGGGGACACCACTTAATTTCTTCTATGCATCCAAGGAATAAAAGTTAACATACAAGTATTTTTTTCAAAGTCTGAAGGATGAAATATGCATTATTTTTGTATTATGAAAAATATACCATTGTGAGATCAAGAGGAGGCCAAAGTGTTCACTGAAGGGCAAATTCAGTTACTGCAATGGGATGGATACTTGGTTAATCATCTTAATCCTTCTGGCCACATCCCTTCAACCTCAGGAGAGACCCAACCCCGACAGCCTCATCCTACCCAGGCTGTCCCCATATTACAGTTAGAGAATCACTGGTGGGAGGAAATGGCCCAGGTCTCTGGCCAGGTGGGGATTTCTGTGCCCTGAGGCAGATTATTTTCAGGGATGAATCCTGTTCACCCCACAGCCCACCCCTCAATGTACCCCCCAGTAATCTGGGACACGTGTGGCCTGGCCCTCCTACTGACACCAACATGTCTGGACCCCAACCTCCACCACCTCCACCACGTGTATCCTGTATCCACCAGGATACAACACGGCGGCCGGCAGTTAGTGGCCGGAAGGCTTCTCCAGCCTTTGCTCATGAGGGAGCAGCGGGGGGCATGTCTGAGTGGCACATGGAGGTGCAGTCTGTCAGAGCCCAGCTAATATATATGTCTATATTTTGTAGAGGTATCTTACTATGTTGCCCAGGCTGGTCTCCAACTCCTGGCCTCAAGCAATCCTCCTGCCTCAGCCTCCTAAAGTGCTGGGTTTGCACTTTGGTTTTTTGTTTGTTTTATAAGGAAACTAAAGAAGCCAAGGATTCTGGTTGAGTCCTAGATAACTGAGCTTTTCCTGGTGTTTGTTTGTTTGTTTGTTTTCTGAGACAGGGACCTGCTCTGTCACCCAGGCTGGAGTGCAGTGGTGTGATCTTGGCTCACTGTAGTCTCGAACGCTTGGGCTCAGGTGATCCTCCCACCTTAGCCTCCTGAGTAGCTCAAGTACAGGTATGCATCACCACACCCAGCTAATTTTTATATTTTTGTAGAGATAGGGTTTTGCCATGTTGGCCAGGCTAGTCTCAAACTTCTGAGTTCAAGCAAGCCTCCCGCCTCAGCCTCCCAAAGTACTGGGATTACAGGTGTGAGCCACCACATCCCACCCAATCCCAAAATGGTTACACTTTGAACTACTGTGCCTGGCCAATAGTGTCCTTTAATGCACAAAAATTTTAAACTTTAAGGAAGTCCAAATTATCTAATTTATCTTTTGTTGTCTCAGCTTTTGATGTCATATTTAAGAAAACATGGTCAAATACAAGGCCTGACCCCAATTTTAACCCATAGCTTTATGTGGGTCTGAGCTCCCTATTAGTAGAATCCACGGCCGGGCGCGATGGCTCACACCTGTAATCCCAGCACTTTGGGAAGCCAAGGTGGGTGGATCACCTGAGGTCAGGCGTTCAAAGCCAGCCTGACCAATATAGTGAAACCCCATCTCTACTAAAAATACGAAAATTAGCCAGGCGTGGTGGAGGGCGCCTGTAATCCCAGCTACTCTGGAGGCTGAGGCAGGAGGATTGCTTGAACCTGGTAGGCGGAGGTTGCAGTGAGCCGAGATTGTGCCACTGCACTCCAGCCTGGATGACAGAGCGAGAGTCTGTCTCAAAAATAAATAAATAAATAAAATAGAATCCAATGGTTCCTCATCAGAAGTCACTGGGAGCATTTTATTCAGAGGTCACTCTTTGTCATGGCAGGTATACTTTGACTGTTTTCCATGGGGGATCCCTGCGACTACTTGGGTCTGAACCACCTCATCCCTAGTAGATGGATGGCTTCAGGCATCTGGGATCCCTATCTCATGGATCCTGAATTTGTTTCAGGGAAAAATGAGCTGTTTTCCTCTAGGCCTACAGAAGTAGACACTGTCCTGGCCGCAAACATTCTGACTCCCACTAGCCAGAGACACCAGGGCTACTTGCATAATTCAGATACACTTTACCCATATAAGTGAAACTCTTCTGGGATGAGCCTGGAACCAAAATCTGGGGCAAGTCTGAGGGTGGAAAGAAATATGGTGCAGTTCTTGGTCCTCTTCCCATGCTTGGTCCTCTTGCCTCCGGGACCATGCAGAAGACTTGCTGACTCAGGGACACTTAAATCTAATCTAGGACACTCAAAACAGGGAAACGTGCTACTGAGTAACACATGAGAGCAGCCCCAGTTTCCAGGAACCTTTTTGATTTGGGGCAACTGGTCTTCAAAGAATGGGGATAACAAAACGCAGAACTCTGGAACTTTGTCTCAGGTGGGAACTGGGTGGATGGAATTGGGAATTGATAGATTGGACGGAGGAATGAGTAGATGGCAGATAGAGAGATAGATGATAGATAATAGATATAGATAGATAGATAGATAGATGATAGATAGATAGAAGATAGGTAGATAGATAGGTGATAGATAGATCAATCTGATCTACCATAGAAGCACTTTCTGCCTTTCTTTCTTGCCTCTTTTCTTTTGCACATCACAATGCAAAAAAAAAAGAAAAAATGAAGAGATTTGAGTATTTCTCCTTTGAATCATTTATTTAAAATAATTAAATTTAATTTGAATGAACAAATGAATACATTTGAGTGAAGTTATGAAATATAAAAAAGGAAATTTGAAGTTGAAATAAATAAGTAAATGAAATTTGAGTAAATGGAGGCAGAAAATTAGAATGAATGAGTACGCAACATCACTTGAATGCCTAATGACAAATAATTGCTGATGATACATTAAGGTAGAAGAAATGGGAATATGAAAGAATGCTAACAAGAATACAGTTCTTACTGCCCAAAGACGTAAGTTCAAGAATAAATGATATGAATGAATCTATCAATCAATTAAGCAGTTAATGCTAAATGAATATATGAATGTGCCTCTCCCCAGAAGCACACTGTTGCCTCTGGCACTAGGACAGGCCTGCAGTGAGGGAAAGCACTACCTGGACCCTCATCTTTCCTGTGCTTCCTGGCAGGACCTATACCTACTTCTGTTCCCAGCAGCCCCTTCAGCAGGAGAGCTCCGCATCCCACTGCCCTTGCTATTGTTAAGAAGAGTATGGAAGCGGTATATGGTTGATACGACTAAGAAGAGCACTGATCTCTTCCTCAAATTCTCCAAATAAAGATTGCCAGCTGGGCGCGGTGGCTCATGACTGTAATCCCAGCACTTTGAAAGGCTGAGGCAGGCGGATCACAAGGTCAGGAGTTTGAGACCAGCCTGACCAACATGATGAAACCCCATCTCTACTAAAAATACAAATATTAGCTGGGCATGGTGGTGCATGCCTGTAATCCCAGCTACTCAGGAGGCTTAGGCAGGAGAATCGCTTGAACCTGGGAGGCGGAGGTTGCAGTGAGCCGAGATCACGACACTGCACTCCAGCCTGGGCGACAGAGCAAGACTCTGTCTCAAAAAAAAAAAAAAAGATTACCAAGATTAGGAAATTAGAGCTGGGCTAGGGAAACACTCCTGCCTCTTAATCTTTGCTGTACCTATTCAGGAGAAACATATGTAGCTATTTGATTTATGAGTCTATTTGTTGAACCATTCCTCAATTCTGGCTGCCAATCTCAGTGACTTTGTTCCAGAAATGAAGCTCCCAAATATTGTCCTGCTCCCCAGACTATAGCCCCATTGGTGAAAATGCAGTAGTTTGACCCTGGGTACCATCATTTTAAAATAACTATTGAAGACTGTTGGTGAGCAGCAGAGTCTCCATGAAACAGTGCCTAGAGTCCAAAGAAAAGTGGTCCCTTCCATGTTACTAGATACCAATATACTCCATTACCCAAGAGTTATTATTTTTCGGGGCACGATCTCGGCACAAGCCCCTCCTCCCTGGCCCCAAAGGGCTACCACCCAACATACATTCAAACCTCCAAATCCTGTCTCTGGAATAACCAATTTTCTCCAACCCTGACTTTCTACTTTTCAGTCAGCCTGGCTAAGATTCTTCTTCCTTTCTTTTTTTTTTCTTTTCTTTCTTTTTTTTTTTTTTTGAGACGGAGTTTTTCTCTTGTTGCCCAGGCTGGAGTGCAATGGTGGGATCTCGGCTCACTGCAACCTCTGCCTCCTGGCTTCAAGTGATTCTCCAACCTTGGGCTCCCCAGTACCTGGGATTACAGGCATGTGCCACCATGCCTGGCTAATTTGTGTTTTTAGTAGATATGGGGTTTCGCCATGTTGGTCAGCCTGGTCTCGAACTCCCAGCTCAGGTGATCTGCCCGCTTTGGCTTCCCAAATTGATGGGATTACAGGAGTGAGCCACTGCATCTGCCCGCTTCTTCCTTTCTTAAGGCAAGGGTCTGTCCTTTCCTTATTATACAAGTGGAAGCACAAAATATACAAATACAGATTTGCATATTTAAAGAATATATTTTTATTTTACCATGTAAATAACTTTGAAAATTGACAGTACATTCAGTATAAGGAATTTTAATACTGCCATTTTATACATAAGAGAGGCAATAAAGGAAAGACTATCACAGGAAATTTTACTACAGGAAAATAGTTACCCCAGACTTCAAGAAGCTGACATGAGGAACCACGACCAGGAAGGGAGCTGGAAAGAAATCTTACTCCTGCAACTTTGAGAATCCTTGAGTGGGATCTGTGGAAGTAGGAGGTGGCTGTAGCCACTAGCAGACAGACTGCAGAGGTGCGATGATCTGTTGCTGCCATCTTGCTTTTGGTCTAGGGTAAAAATGATAGCAACAGGAGACAGATAAATTTTTAGGCAGACAGAGATGGGTCCCTGGTGAAACCCAACCTTCAAGCCAAAGACAGTTTAAAGCCTGAAACCAAGGTACCAGTTCCAGATAGAGTCCATGACCAGAGTGAGAACTTGTATCCTCATCTTACCCTCTCTCTTGATTGGTTCCTCCTGGACGATTCCTTTTTATTTTTTTGAGACAGTTTCACTCTTGTTGCTCAGGCTAGAGTGCAATGGTGCGATCTCGGCTCACTGCAACCTCCACCTCCCAGGTTCAATCAATTCTCCTGCCTCAGCCTCCCAGGTAGCTGGGATTAGAGGCATGTGCCACCACGCCTGGCAATTTTGTATTTTTAGTAGAGATGGGGTTTCTCCATGTTGGTCAGGCTGGTCTCGAACTCCCAACCTCAGGTGATCCACCTGCCTTGGCCTCCCAAAGTACTGGGATTACAGGCATGAGCCACTGTGCCTGGCCTGGATGATGCCTTTTAACCAATCAAATGGTGCTTTTTCCAAGCCCACTCATGGACCAATCAGCATGCACTTTCCCATTCTAAGCCCATAAAAACCCCAGACTCAGCCTCAAAGACAGCAACCTGCTTTGAGGGTCCCCTCTTGCAGTTGAGAGTTTTCCTTCTGTTACTCAATAAAATTCTTCTCTGTCTTACTTTCTGGTGTCTGTGCACTTTATTACTCTTGGTCGAGAGACAAGAACCTGGAACTCACCAAGCTGCAAGTGGCAGAAATGAAACAGCTGTAGCACCCTGCTCACTGGACTATGAGAGAAAGAGAACTGTAACATGCTTCCAGTTGCCAAGCTACAGGGGTGAAGAGCTGCGACTTTTCTGGGGGCTCAGACCTCAGGACTCCCCTAGCAAGAGCTGTAACATCCCTTTGGGCTCCGCACTTGCTAGCATCTCTGAGTTTTCATGCACCACCACATTCCCCTCATCGAGACACTGCCGCTGTGAGTTCATCCCTCACCTTGGCCTCCTGCACCTGCAATAGAACCAGTCTTCCAACGTTTCACTCATCCCAGCCCCCTTATAAACAAAACAAAACCCCATAAAACAAAACCACCAAAATGAGCTCCAGGGCCCCTTCCCTTCTCTTAGAACCCGTTTGTCTTTGCAGGACTCTGGTCCCAAATGAACTGGGTTCCTCCTCACCCACACCTCCCCCATGTAATGAGCTCATCCCACTTCTTCCAGAATCTCTCCCAATCCAGAGCCATTTTTCCTTTGCAACCCCAACCCTGGGTCTGGAGAATTGGAGTCTTAGGCCTGGATTTTCTCTGCCTTTGCTTAGCTGTGGTAATTTATCTTGAAAGGTAATGAGAAATTTATATGAAAGTAACTTTTCATGCAAAAAATTAGCCAGGCATGGTGGCGGGCACCTGTAGTCCCAACTACTCGGGAGGCTGAGGCAGGAGAATGGCGTGAACCCGGGAGGCAGAGCTTGCAGTGAGCCGAGATTGCGCCACTGCACTCCAGCCTGGGCGACAGAGCAAGACTATGTCTCAAAAAAAAAAGAAAGTAACTTTTTCTTCTTCTTTTTTTTTTTTTTTTTTTTTTGAGACAGGGTCTTGCTCTGTCACCCAGGCTGGAGTGCAGTGGTGCAATCACAGGTCATTGCAGACTCCCTCCTCCCTCCTGGGCTCAAGTGATCCTCCCCACCCAGCCTCTCGAACGCTGGGACTACAAGGGTGTGCCACCATGACCAGCCAATTAAAAAAAATTTTTTTTTGTAGAGATGGGGTCTCATTATGTTGCCCAAGCTAGTATCAAACTCCTGGGTTCAAATTATCCCAGCCTCAGCCTCCCAACGTGCTGGGATTACAGGTGTGAGTTACGGCATCTGGCCTCTCCTTCTTTTCTTATGTCACTACTTCCTTAAAGTGTTTTTCTGGGAACACTTCCTGATAAAAACACTTTTAAGGCCGGGCGCGGTGGCTCACGCCTGTAATCCCAGCACTTTGGGAGGCCAAAAGGGGTGGATCACGAGGTCAGGAGTTCGAGACCAGCCTGGCCAACATGGTGAAACTCTGTCTCTACTAAAAATACAAGAAAATTATCTGGGCATGGTGGCGGGTGCCTGTAATCTCAGCTACTCAGGAGGCTGAGGCAGGAAAATCTCTTGACCCCAGGAGGCAGAGGTTGCAGTGAGCTGAGATGGCGCCATTGAACTCCAGCCTGGGCAATAAGAGCAAAACTCTGTCTCAAAAAATAAATAAATAAATACATAAAATTTAAAAATAAAATAAATAAATAAAAGCATAATTCGTTAAATTTGTATTGCTTACTAAATTACAAATATCTTACATAGATTTGTTCATTTATTCTTCAAATATGTATCGAGCGTTTATTCCATACTGGACACTGTTTTAGGCAATGTGAATACAGCAGTGAATGAGCTCAATGAGGAAGAGGTAAAAAACGATAAGCCAGGCGAGGTGGCTCACACCTGTAACCCCAGGTTACAGGGAGGCCGAGGTGTGTGGATCACTAGAGGTCAGGAGTTCAAGACCAGCCTGGCCAACATGGTGAAACCCTGTCTCTACTAAAAATAAAAAATTAGCCAGGCGTGGCAGCAAGTGTCTGTAATCCCAGCTACTCGGGAGGCTGAGGCAGGAGAATTGCTTGAACCCGGGAGGCAGAGGTTGCAGTGAGCAGAGATTGTACCACTGCACTCCAGCCTGGGCAGAGTGAGACTCTGTCTCAAAAAAAAAAAAAAAGATAAATCAATAAACAAGATAATTCAAGCTAGTGATAACTGCTAATAAAAATGAGAAAGAGGCCGGGCACAGTGGCTCATGCCTGTTATCCCTGCACTTTGGGAGGCCAAGGTGGGCGAATCACCTGAGGTCGGGAGTTTGAGACCAGCCTGACCAAAACGGAGAAAACCCGTCTTGACTAAAAATACAAAATTAGCTGGGCATGGTGGCACATGCCTATAATCCCAGCTACTCAGGAGGCTGAGGCAGGAGAATTGCTTGAACTGGGGAGGTGGAGGCTGGGGTGAGCCGAGATCCCGTCATTGTACTCCAGCCTGGGCAACAGAGTGAAACTCTGTCTCAAAAAAAAAAAAAAAAGAGAAAGAAAAAGAAATGTTCTCTGGGCGAGGTCACCCATGCCTGTAATCCCAGCACTTTGGGAGGCCAAGGCAGGCAGATCATGAGGTCAGGAGTTCGAGACCAGCCTGGCCAATACGGTGAAACCCCGTCTCTACTAAAAATACAAAAGCTAGCCAGGCATGGTGGCACATGCCTGTAGTTCTAGCTACTTGGGAGGCTGAAGCAGAAGAATTGCTTGAACCCAGGAGGCAGAGGTTGCAGTGAGCTGAGATCGTGCCACCGCACTCCAGCCGGGGTGATAGCGCAAGATTCTGTCTCAAAAAAAAAAAAAAAAAAGAAATGTTCAATAAGTATTTGAATATGTATTTGAATATCGAATGAACTAATGAATAAGTAAAGGAGCATTGCCAAAGCCTCTAGTCTGAGAGTGAAACAGTGGAGGAAGCCCTCCCTGGAAGGAATGAAGAGGTGGCAAAGGGAAGCCAGTGGTAGGAAGAGAGGAGATCGGTTCAGTTTGACAGCATGTTGAATTTGGTAGTGGCAGAAGTTTCCTGGAGAACTGACAAATATAAAAATGACCTTTTAGGTGCAAACACACATGCCTGTCTGGCACGATCAAGAATAAAAATACTTAAAGCAGAAAAGAACCCAGATGAGTAAGGAGTGGCTCTTCAAATACCAAGGGTGGTTAATTGGCCTGTTTCTCAACTGGGCAAATTGCCCCACTCACAAGAGGCACACACCGGGGTATTGCTCTGTCTCCAGCATGCGTTCTCATTCCTCAGAAGTGGACTTCTGCCTGCGTCTTGGCCTTGCTTTTGGAACAATGTCCTGGAGGGAGATGTTTTCAGGAGACATGTTGTGTGGAAGATGTAGCAATAATGGGTGGTGCTGGAATCACGACAGAGCTTGTCTCTCAGAGAATCTGCCAGAATTGGCTGGGAACCTTGACATGCTGGCACCTGCCCAGCCCTTCTTTGCATGAGGGACGTGGAACACTGTATTCTGGGTGGGTCCCTCACCCCTTCTCTTCTCATTCCCATCACAAACCTTAAAGTTGTGGGCACATTCCTAAACCGAGTTGCCAAACCTCAAAAGGAGATTGCTGAGTCCAGATTAGAGGCCGTGTTTCAGTCTCCACCCCACTCTACCCCATTCTCACTAAGTACTCATCCCAGTGCCAGCCCCACACAGATAACCAGTGCCTCATCTGGCAAAAGGTGGTCCATGCTGCTGTTGAAATCTCCCTGTACAATAGGTTCTCCCTCTGGCTAGGACATAGTGTAAAAAGTTAAAATTTTCAGATTAGTGCCAGTTAATTCAGTCCAAAGAAAATACTGTCTTTAGCCTTTTTTTTTTTTTTTTTTTTTGAGATGGAGTCTCACTCTGTCACCCAGGCTGGAGTCCAGTGGCGCCATCTAGGCTCACTGCAACCTCTGCCTTCCAGGTTCAAGCGATTCTCCTGCCTCAGCCTCCTGAGTAGCGGTGATTACAGGCACGTGCCACCACGCCTAGCTAATTTTTGTATTTTTAGTAGAGATGGGGTTTCGTCATGTTGGCCAGGCTGGTCTTGAACTCCTGCCTCGGCCTCCCAAAGGGCTGGGATTACAGGCATGAGCCACTGCGCCTGGCCTGTCTTTAGACTTCTGTAGCAAGAATAGCACTTACTACCAGAAACAGAAACTGGATCTTGTATATGAAAGCCATTTCTTTTTCTTTTTCTTTTCTTTTTTTTTTTTTTCCGAGACGGAGTTTTGCTCTTGTTGCCCAGGCTGGAGTGCAGTGGCGTGATCTCGGCTCACTGCAACCTCTACTTCCTGGGTTCAAGCAATTCTCCTGCCTCAGCCTCCCGAGTAGCTGGGATTACAGGCATTTGCCACCACGCCTGGCTAATTTTGTATTTTTAGTAGAGATGGGGTTTCTCCATGTTGGTCAGGCTGGTCTCAAACTCCTGACCTCAGGTGTTCCACCCGCCTCGGCCTCCCACAGTGCTAGGATTACAGGCATGAGCCACCGTGCCTGGCCTCATTTTTTTTAATTTAAAAATTGTTTTGGCCAGTCACGGTGGCTCACGCCTGTAATCACAGCACTTTGGGAGGCCGAGAGGTCAGGAGTTTGAGACCAGCCTGGCCAATATGGTGAAACCCGTCTCTACTAAAAGTACAAAAAGTAGATGGGCCTGTAGCCCCAGCTACTCGGGCAGCTGACACAGGAGAATTGCTTGAACCCGGGAGGCAGAGGTTGCAGTGAGCCAAGATCGCGCCACTGCACTCCAGACTGGGCACAGAGCAAGACTCCATCTCAAAAAAAAATTGTTTTTAAATTTTTTGTAAGCAAGGTCTCACTCTGTCACCCAGCTGGAGTACAGTAGCACTATCACAGCCCACTGTATCCTGGACTTCCTGGCACAGGCAATCTTCCCATCTCAGCCCCCTGAGTAGCTAGAACTAGAGGCTTGTTCCACCACACCCAGCTAATTTTTTCATTTTTTTGAAGAGATGGGGTCTTGCTATGTTACCCATGCTGGTCTCAAAATCCTGGCCTCAAGTGATGCTCCCGCCTCAGCCTCCCAAAGTGCTGAGATTACATGCATGAGCCACCACACCTTGCCTGAAACCCATTTTAAAACATATTGAGAATGCCTGACCATAAAAGTTGTCAAGATTGGCCTCCATCACTAAAATAAAAGTTGACAACTTTTGAGAAAAACACCAGGAAATTACTCCACCCAAGAAAACAAAGTTGTTTTTGAGTCACCTGTTTTAGCAGGCCTCAAGGGGTTGGTTCAGCAGAAAACACATTCACGTCACAAAACTCAACAGGCAAAAGCATGTGACTACCCAGCCAAACCATGTGTCTGTATGACTTTTGACTAAAAAGGTCTTATTCACATTTGTCAATATTGCAGAAAGTATCAGGTTCCAAACCCAGCCCAAACTCCACTCCATATGTCTTCTTCCTCCCTACAAAAGAGTTCCTTTCCCAACCTCCTCACTTCTTCCAGGACAGCCTTCATTCTGCCACTAGGCTAAGAATAGAGAATCAAGAATAAATATAAGCCATAACCCTGCTTTCAAAAAACAAAACTGCTGGAAATGTGGCTCATGCCTGTGATTTCAGCACTTTGGGAGGCTGAGGCAGGAGGGTTACTTGAGGCCAAAGTTCAAGACCAGCCTGGGCAACATAGCAAGACCCTGTATCTAGAAAAACTTAAAAAAGAGTGCTCACCTTGGCAGCACATATACAAAAATTAAAAAAAGAAATTATTTGGGCATAATGGCACATGCCTGTAGTCCCATCTACTTGGGAGGCTGAGGCGGGAGGATTGCTTGAGCTCAGGAGGCCGAGGCTGCAGTGAGCCATGATTGTGCCACTGCACTCCAGCCTGGGCAACCGAGTGAGACCCTGTGTCAAAAAAAAAAAAAAAAAGAAAAAGAAAAAAAGAAAAGAAAAGAAAAGAAAAAGGGCTGGGTGTGGTGGGTCACACTTGTAATCTCAGCACTTTGGGAGGCTGAGGTAGGAAAATTGCTTGAGGCCAAGAGTTTGAGACCAGCCTGGGCAATATAGCAAGACCCTGTCTCATTCTTTTTTAAGGTATAAAAATGTTAACAACAACAACAAAAAACCACAGTCTTGTTGAGAGAAAAAAGAAAGATCAACACTGGAAATGGTAAGTTAACTGAGAAGACAGTAATTTGTTTTAAATTGTCAGAAAGAGACTTAGCAAAATGGACTCTAGTGAACTTTTTTCCGATCTTCCATTACTGGAAAATCTAATGATCAGAATGTCCTAGATAATGCCCAAACTAACTTACCACTCTTCACAAATATGAAGATTTAGAAGGAATGAGCGAACACACCACAAATCATTTTGCAAGTAGGAACATGGCCCCAGCTTGTGTGTGAAACTGCTAGAGGTCAGCCACAAGTTCAGTCTCCAAATGGACCATCTGGCTTTGCTTATGTCTATGAATGCAGTTTACCTCCCACACCATCTAATATTCACCCTTCACCCTGAATGCAAGAAACATTTGTTATTGAGAGGGCACTAAGAAATCATGTCAAATCATATCAAATGATATCAAATCATATCAAATCAAATCATATCAAATGAAATAATGAGAAAATTAAGCCCACAGATTTATATGAAAAAGGACAATAGCATCAAAGGCAGAACTACTGAGGAGACTCCTCAGTGAGAGTGGTCCAGAAAAGAGCTCTGGGAAACAATATCCCAATGAACAGACAAAAATAAGCTTCAAGAAATAAATTTTATTAAACACTTTTTTTTTTTTAAGATGGAGTTTCGCTCTTGTTGCCCAGGCTGGAGTGCAATGGCGTGATCTTGGCTCACTGCAACCTCCACCTCCCAGGTTCAAGCTTCAGCCTCCCAATTAGCTGGGATTACAGGCATGCGCCACCACGCCCGGCCATATTAGCCACAGTCAATAGCCTATGCTCCTGGAATGGAGGGCAGGTGCTTGGTGCATGCAGAGTTCATGCTACCTGCACTGGATGTCCAGGGGCTCATGTAGACCTCTCTTTGTTTCTTTATCATGAACTTTAAATTTTTTTCTCTCCTTTCTTTTCCCCCTAGTGGAACAACTGACAATCTTCTTAGAACAACTAAAAAAGCTGAAAAAATACTGAAAACATCCCACTGAAGGCCTCAGTGAGTTAACTAACTACTGAAGAATTATTAGAACTTAGAAAAAACAGGAATCCAGAAGTTTAACTCAGCTCTTTGGGAGCTTTGTCAATTATTCAAGAGGTAGCCAAGAGGCTTTTTGCTCTTTTGACTACCTGTACGGCTAAAAGGACAAAAGTCAGAGTCCGGGGCCTCTAGAGGAAGGTATGCCTGGTAAACACCCTTAACTTTGAGTTTGCACTCTGAAGAGCTGCCCTGTAGCATTAAAGTAGACCAGGTCTCACGGATCTGAAGCCAGCTCCAAATCATCTCAAGCCCCAAAAACTGGTGATCCCCACTGTTAGTGCCCAAGGTGTCTGGTGAGACTTTCTGACTCTCTAGCCTAGTCTAGAGAAAGATGACACTATTTTATGATTCAAACAATGCCTCCAAACAGGTTTTGAAATACAATATCTAACACAAAGTGACCAAGCACACAAAGAAATAGGGCCGGCGCAGTGGCTCACACCTGTGATCCCAGCACTTTGGGAGGCCGAGGCGGGTGGATTACTTGAGGTCAGAAGTTCAAGACCAGCCTGGCTAACATGGAGAAACCTGGTCTCTACTAAAAATACAAAAATTAACCGGGCATGGTGGTGCACACCTGTAGTCCCAGCTACTTGGGAGGCTGAGGCACAAGAATGGCTTGAACCAAGTAGGCAGAGGTTGCAGTGAGCCAAGATTGCGCCTCTGGGGAACTCCAGCCTGAGTGACAGAGTGAAACTGTGTCTCAAAAAAAAAAAAAGTGACCATGCACACAAAGAAATAGGCAAGAAAGAACACTTCAGCATCACCAACAATAACAACAACAATTATCGGGCCGGGCACGATGGCTCAGGCCTGTAATCTCAGCACTTTGGGAGGCTGAGGCGGGCAGATCACGAGGTCAGAAGTTCGAGACCAGCCTGGCCAACATGGTGAAACCCCGTCTCTACTAAAAATACAAAAATTAGCCAGTCATGGTGGCACTACATGGTGCCTGTAGTCCCAACTACTCTGGAGGCTGAGGCAGAAGAATCGCTTGAACCCGCGAGGCAGACGTGCAGTGAGCCGAGAATGCACCAGCTTTGGCAACACAGCAAGACTCCGTCTCAAAAACAAACAAACAAACAAAGAAACAAACAAAAATTATCAAACACTTTTACATAACTACACCTAATACATTTAAAGAGATCAGAGACACAATTTAGAATTTCAGAGAACTTGAACCTGTAAGAGGATATAACAGATTAAACTTCCTTTTTTATTTATTTTTAATTTTTTTATTCTTTTCTTTGCAACAAAAGCCACATTCAGTAGACTAAACTTTCAATAACTGAAAAATATAAAAATCAAAATTAAAAACCAAAGGGATGGGTTTAACAGCAGATTAGACACAAATGAAGAGAGATTTTTGTGAACTAGAACATAGGTTTAAAAAATCCAATAATTGGCTGGGTGTGGTGGCTCACACCTGTAATCCCAGAACTTTGGGAGGCCGAGGCGGGCAGATTGCAAGGTCAGGAGATCAAGACCATCCTGGCTAACACGGTGAAACCCCGTTTCTACTAAAAAATACAAAAAATTAGCCGGGCATGGTGGCAGGCGCCTATAGTCCCAGCTACTCGGGAGGTTGAGGCAAGAGAATGGCGTGAACCCGGGAGGTGGAGCTTGCAGTGAGCAGAGATTGCGCCACTGCACTCCAGCCTAGGCAATGGAACGAGACTCCATCTAAAAAAAAAAAAAAAAAAAAAAAAACCCAAGAAGTGGCCAGGTGTGGTGGCTCACACCTGTAATCCCAGCACTCTGGGAGGCCAAGGCAGGTAGATCACTTGAGGCCAAGAGTTTGAGACCAGCCTGGGCAACATGGCAAAACCTCTTCTCCACAAAAAAAGACAATAATTACCTGGGCATGGTGGCACAAACCTGTAGTCCCAGCTACTTGGGAGGCTGAAAGGTGGGAGGATCACTTGAGCCTGGGAGGTTGAGCAATGATTGTGACCCTGCAGTCCAGCCTGGGCAATAGGGTGAGGTCTTGTCTCGAAGAAAAAAAAAAATCCAAGAATAAAGCTCAGAAAAATAAAAAATGTGGAAAATTCAAAAGTACATTTTGGGCTGGGCATGGTAGCTCAAGCCTGTAATTCCAGCACTTTGGGAGGCTGAGGTGGGAGGAATCCCTTGAGCCCAGGAGTTCAACACCAGCCTGGAAAATATGGCAAGACCCCATCTCTACCAACAAATTAAAAAATTAGTAGGGCATGGTGGCATGTGCATATAGTCCCAGCTATTCTGGGGAGGCTGAGGCAGAGTATTGCTTGAGCTCAGAAGGTTGAGGCTGGAGTGAGCTGTGATCATGCCACTGCATTCCAGGCTGGATGATGGAGCAAGACTGACTCAAAAAAAGTAAATTTTGGAAAAGATGGAAAATTCAGTGAGACAAAAATGATTATGAGAAGTGAAAATAGGAGGCCAGGCGCGGTGGCTCACGTCTGTAATCCCAGCACTTTGGAAGGCCGAGGTGGGCAGATCACCTGAGGTTAGGAGTTCGAGACCAGCCTGGCCAACATGGTGAAACCCCCATCTCTACTAAAAATACAAAAATTAGCCGGGTGTGGTGGCGGGCACCTGTAATCCCAGCTACTCGGGAGGCTGAGGCAGGATAATCGTTTGAACCCGGGAGTTGGAGGTTGCAGTGAGCCAAGATCGGGCGACTGCACTCCAGCCTGGGTGACACAGTGAGACTCCATCTCAAAAAACAAAAACAAAATAAGATAGAAGAAACATTTGAAAAGAAACTGACCAAAACTTTCCAAAACTGATGAAATATGTCAAGCCAAATTAAACAATACTAAGAATCCAAAGCAGGATAAATAAAAAGAAATCAACAAGTAAGCCCATCTGAAAACCAAAGAAGATCATAAGGCTCGTCGTGGTGGCTCATGCCTGTAATCCCAGCACTTTGGGAGGCTGAGGCCAGAGGATCACCTGAGTTCAGGAGTTCGAGACCAGCCTCGCCAGGCTGGCCAACATGGTGAAACCCCATCTTTACTAAAAATATAAAAAATTTAGCAGGGTATGGTGGCAGGTGCCTGTTATCCCAGCTACTTGGAAGGCTGAGGCAGGAGAATCGCTTGAACCTGGGAGGTGGAGGTTGCAGTGAGCCAAGATCACGCCACTGCACTCCAGCCTGAGCAACAAGAGCGAAACTCTGTCTCCAAAACAAAAACAAAAAGATCATAAAAGGAACAGAGCCTATTACAAAAAGACAAATTACGCTCAAAGGGGCCATACTGAAGTTGACAACAGACTTCTCGACAGAAACAACAGGAGCCTGAAGAAAACCTGTTTTCAAAACGCTGAAAGATTGTGGCAATGGTTGCACAACATTGCAAATCTGCTTAATGTCACTAAATTGTACATGTTAAAATGCCTAAAATGGTAAGTTTATTATATATATATATATATATATATATATATATATATATATATATATATATATATAAAATTATTTTTTTTGAGATGGAATCTCGCTTTTCTTGCCCAGGCTGGAGTGCAATGGCACCAACTCAGCTCACCACAACCTCCACCTCCCAGGTTCAGGCGATTCTCCTGCCTCAGCCTCATGAGTAGCTGGGATTACAGGCCTGCGCCACCATGCCTGGCTAATGTTGTAGTTTTAGTAGAGATGGGGTTTCTCCATATTGGTCAGACTGGTCTCCAACTCCCGACCTCAGGTGATCCGCCTGCCTCAGCCTCCCAAAGTGCTGGGATTACAGGCGTGAGCCACCACACCCAGCCTATTATGTATATTTTACCACAATAAAAATTTAATTTTTTTTTTTTGAGATGGAGTCTCACTCTGTTGCACAGGCTGGAGTACACTGGTGCGATCTCAGCTCACTGCAACCTCTGCCTCCCTGGTTCAAGCGATTCTCCTATCTCAGCTTCCCGATTAGCTGGGATCACAGGAGCACAGCACTACACCCGGCTAAGTTTTGTATTGTTAGTAGAGATGGGGTTTCGCCATGTTGGCCAGGCTGGTCTCAAACTCCTGACCTCAGGTGATCCACCCGCCTTGGCCTCCTAAAGTGTTGGGATTACAGGCATTAGCCACCAAGCCCAACCGAAAATTTAATTTTAAAAAAGGCTGAAAGAAAATAAATTTCAACCTAGAATTATATGTCCAGCTAAAATGTCTACAAGATTAAAGGTGAAATACAGGCATTTTCAGACATGGAAAAATGAGAAGATTCATCATCAATGGAGCTTGCTAAAGAAAATAACTGAAGAGTATTCTTCAGGCAGAAAGAAATGATCCCAAAAGGCAGCTCAAAGTTGCAGGAAGGCATGAAGAAAAAAGAATGGGGTAAATATGTGGGTTGACCTAAATGGATATTGACTGTATAAAACAATTGTAATGTTATGTGGGTTCTAAAAACATAGAGAATATTAAAATACACTCAACAAAGATATCTAAGTCAAAGAAGGCTGATTAATGGTGTTAGTGTTCTAAGGAACTGGCACTGATGAGTATATAAGTACCAGTTAGGGCCAGGCGTGGTGGCTCACATCTGTAATCCCAGCACTTTGGGAGGTTGAGGCAGGTGGATCACCTGAGGTCAGTTCGAGACCAGCCTGGTCAACATGGTGAAAACCTGTCTCTACTAAAAAAGGAAATTAGAAAAATTAGCCAGGCGTGGTGGCGGGCGCTTGTAATCCCAGCTACTCGGGAGGCTGCGGCAGGAGAATGGCTTCAACCCAGGAGGCAGAGGTTGCAGTGAGCCAAGATCACGCTACTACACTCCAGCCTGGAAAACAAGAGTGAAACTCCATCTCAAAAAAACAAACAAACAAAAAAGCACACACAAAAAAACAGAAAAACGTTTTTTTAAAAGTACTAGTTAGCATTAAATTTTCTTTTTAAA
The DNA here is from genome assembly GCF_000001405.40 of Homo sapiens. NCBI lineage: Eukaryota > Metazoa > Chordata > Mammalia > Primates > Hominidae > Homo > Homo sapiens. Next base: position 273,695 of record NW_025791770.1, on the reverse strand, counting down.
AAAGGTTTATTAGGCCGGGCTGGTGGCTCACGCCTGTAATCCCAGCACTTTGGGAGGCCGAGGCAGTGGATAACGAGGTCAGGACTTTGAGACCAGCCTGGCCAACATCGTGATCTTGTCTCTACTAAATATACAAAAATTAGCTGGGCATGGTGGTGGGCACCTTTAATCCCAGCTACTTGGGAGGCTGAGGGAGGAGAATCACTTGAACCCGGGAGGCGGAGGTTGCAGTGAGCAGAGATCACACCACTGCACTCCAGCCTGAGCAACAGAGCAAGACTGCGTCTCAAGAAAAAAAAAAAAAAAAGGTTAATTTTAAAATAATTTAAAAATTATAGAAGAGTTGCAGAAATAGTATAAAGGATTTCAATATCCCACTTATCCCGATTTACCAGTTTTTAACATTTTGCCATATATGCTTCATCACTGTCTTCTTTTCTCTCTCCTTCCTTCTCTCTTCCTGTATATCTATATATACTTTTTTTCTTAATCACTTGAGAGTAGGATGCATTCATCATGCTCTTTTAAATCTTCATAAAAAGATCTTACATAACCATTAAATACATCAAATTTAGGAAATTTAATATTGACACAACACATATCTAATCTACTGTTCATTTTCCAGTTGTAAATTTTTTTTTTTTTTTTGAGACACAGTCTTGCTTTGTCGCCCAGGCTCAATGGAGTGCAGTGGCACCATCTCAGCTGACTGCAAGCCTCGGCTGCCGGGTTCACGCCATTCTCCTGCCTCAGCCTCTCAAGCAGCTGGGACTACAGGCGCTCACCACGCCCGGCTAATTTTTTGTATTTTTAGTAGAGACGGGGTTTCACCGTGTTAATCAGAATGGTCTCAATCTCCTGACCTCGTGATCCACCCGCCTCGGCCTCCCAAAGTGCTGGGATTACAGGCATGAGCCTCCGCGCCTGGCCATAAATGGTTCTTTTAGCAAGATTATGTACAGTATTGCACTGGTTGCCATGTCCTTTTTGTCTTTTTTCTCTCTCTTTGGTCTTTTTAAATCTGGAACTTTGTTTTATTGACAATGATAGTTTAACAATAAAGACCAATCATTTTGTAAAAATGATAACATTCTTGTGTCCGGAATCGGCGGGTTCTTGGTCTCACTGACTTTAACAATGAAGCCGCAGACCCTCGCGGTGAGTGTTACAGCTCTTAAGATGGTGAGTCTGGAGTCTGTCCCTTCTGATATTTAGATGTGTTTGGAGTTTGTTCTTTCTGGTGGGTTTGTGGTCTCACTGGTTCAGGAGTGAAGCTGCAGACCTTTGCGGTGAGCGTTACAGCTCTTGAGGTACCGCGTCTGGACTTGTTCATTCCTCCTGGGGGGGCTCGTGGTCTTGCTGGGCTCAAGAGTGAAGTTGCAGATCTTCACAGTGAATGTTACAGCTCATAAAAGCAGCGTGGACCCAAAAAGCGAGCAGTAGCAATATTTATTGCAAAGAGCAAAAGAACAAACCTTCCACACTGTGGAAGGTGACCCAAGCAGCCTGCTTTTATTCTCTTATCTGGCCCCACCCACATCCTGCTGATTGGTAGAGCCGAGTGGCCTGTTTTGTCAGGGCACTGATTGGTGCGTTTACAATCCCTGAGCTAGATACAAAGGTTCTCCACATCCCCATCAGATTAGTTAGATACAGAGTTTCCACACACAGGTTCTCCAAGGCCCCACCAGAGCAGCTAGATACAGAGTGTCGATTGGTGCATTCACAAACCTTGAGCTAAACACAGGGTGCTGATTGGTGTGTTTACAAACCTTGAGCTAGATACAGAGTGCCAATTGGTGTATTTACAATCCCTGAGTTAGACATAAAGGTTCTCCAAGGCCCCACCAGAGCAGCTAGATACAGAGTGTCGATTGGTGCACTCACAGGGTGCTGATTGGTGTATTTACAATCCCTGAGCTAGACATAAATGTTCTCCAAGGCCCCACCAGAGCAGCTAGATACAGAGTGTCGATTGGTGCACTCACAAACCTTGAGCTAAACACAGGGTGCTGATTGGTGTATTTACAATCCCTGAGCTAGACATAAAGGTTCTCCACGTCCCCACCAGGGCAGCTAGATACAGAGTGCCGATTGGTGCATTCACAAACCTTGAGCTAAACACAGGGTGCTGATTGGTGTGTTTACAATCCCTGAGCTGGATATAAAGACTTTCCACGTCCCCACCAGACTCAGGAGCCCAGCTGGCTTCACCCAGTGGATCCCGCAGGGGGTTGCTGCAGGTGGAGCTGCCTGCAGGTGGAGCTGCCTGCCAGTCCCGCGCCATGCGCTCGCACTCCTCAGCTCTTGGGCGGTCGATGGGACTGGGCGCCGTGGAGCAGGGGGCGGCATTCGTCGGGGAAGCTCGGGCTGCACAGGAACCCATGGAGGCGGGGGAAGGCTCAGGCATGGCGGGCTGCAGTCCCGAGGCCTGCCCCGTGAGAAAGCAGCTAAGGCCCGGCGAGAAATTGAGCGCAGCGCCTGTGGGCCGGCACTGCTGGGGTACCCAGTACACCCTCCGCAGCCGCTGGCCCGGGTGCTAAGCCCCTCACTGCCCGGGGCGGGCAGGGCCGGCGGGCCGCTCCGAGTGCGGGGCCCGCCAAGCCCACGCCCACCCAGAACTCCAGCTGGCCCGCAAGCGCTGCTCGCAGCCCTGGTTCCTGCTCGCGCCTCTCCCTCCACACCTCCTTGCAAGCTGAGGGAGCCGGCTCTGGCCTTGGCCAGCCCAGAAAGGGGCTCCCACAGTGCAGCGGCGGGCCGAAGGGCTCCTCAAGTGCCGCCAAAGTGGGAACCCAGGCAGAGGAGGCGCCAAGAGCAAGCGAGGGCTCTGAGGACTGCCAGCACGCTGTCACCTCTCATTTTGACAGGTTAAGCATGTATTACAATCTCATGGATAATGACCATGAAACTAACGAGACATTCGTTTCTGTCTCCTTTAGGAAGCCAAGTTGGCTTTTCTGCCCTGATGGTGCTTGTTGTGTTGGTTATGTGATTGTGTTTTTGTCAAAATTCACAGAACCATGTTCTAAAATGTGTGAAATTTATTGTGTGTAAAGTATACCTAGACCAAAAAAATGCTAGTCTCTAAAAGTTGAATTGTCTGAATATTCCACCAGAGTATATGCTTCCAGTGTTTTATTCTAGTCCTCATTAATTAAATTTTAAAAATTTGGATTGTTGCTTGGGAGACATGAAAGTCTTTTTTTTTTTTTTTTTTTTTTTTTTTTTTCAGACGTTGTCTCACTGTCACCCAGGCTGGAGTCCAGTGGCGCCATCTAGGCTCACTGCAACCTCCGCCTTGCAGATTCAAGCAATTCTCCTGCCTCAGCCTCCTGAGTAGCTGGGATTACATGCATGTGCCAGCCACCACACCTAGGTAATTTTTTTGTATTTTTAGTAGAGACAGGGTTTCACCATGTTCGTCAAGCTGGTCTTGAACTCCTGACCTCAGGTGATCCACCCACCTGGGTCTCCCAAAGTGCTGGGATTACAGGTGTGAGCCACCACGCCGGGCCAGATTCCCGGCCTGAAATGCATTTTTAAAGTCTATTGCTATATACTTAGGGACAAAGATGGTTGTTAAAGGTAGAGAAAACAAAACATTCAACATGTCTTGAGGAAAAGGAAGTGTTGGTGGGGGTGAGGTGGGGGCAGTTGCTTGTCTGTCCTGGAAAGGCAATTTCTTACCGCTTCATACCCATTTTATACCCATTCCATTCTTTCTAGAAACACAGATTTCTGTCCTCATTGTTTTCATATTTGTCTCCTATTGTCATGTTTTATGAGCAAGTCATAAAGGGAGGAAGAGGGAAAACAAAGTTCTGAGGCTTTCTTAATCTACTTGCTCAACCTGCATTTTTAGTAACCATAAAGAAATTGGTTGGGCTCACTTTTACAGCTTCCTCTTCTAGCAAGAAGTCCCACCACATGCCATCCACCTAGCCACTTAATGCTCGTCGAACAAGTCAAATCTATAGCAAATATGTAGTCTTGTTTTGTACTTTTTTTCAAATGTTATGTAAAAGGTATACTGTAAAATCATACTAGAACTTCTTTCACCCAATGATTTTTAGATGTACCTACACACATGTAGCGTCCCCATTCACTTTAACTTGCACTGAATAAATATATCAAATGTACTCTTCTATCTCCCCACTGACAAGATACTTGGCATTACGTACTCCAGACAACCAGGCAGCGACTGTTTTAAGTCTTCTTATGCTGTTGTTTGTGCTAGAATTTCTCCACAGCATATTTTGGAGGTGAAATTACTGGATCCGTGTGTATGTGTACATCTTCACCTTTACTAGGTATTGACAAATTCCCCTGCAAACAGGTTGTACTCCTTTTCACTCCCACCAGCTGTGTAGGACAGTTCCCATTTCTCACCAACAGTTGCTATAATTAGACTTTCCTATTTCTATCCAAAGGATGAGTATAACATTGTATCTTATTGTTGCTTTGGTCTGTATTTCCCTGAGTTCTAGGGTAGTTGAGCTCGGTAAATAACTTAACCCCACCCTTTGCCTCGTTGTTTTTAATTGGGGTATGTTTTCCTTATTGTAGTTCTTTAAATATTCTGGATGGCAATCCTTTATTAGTTATACCTTTATATTCTCCCATTCTGAGGCTTATGCTTTCGCTTCTTTAATATTGTTGTTTTTCAAGTTTCAATTTTTGTAAGTTAAAAATTGATATATAGTAGTTGGACATATTTTGGGGGTCCATATGAGTTTTGAAACTTGTATAACATGTGATTATCAAATCAGTGTACTTCGGATATCCATCGCCTCAAATATTTATCTTTGTGCTAGGAACAATACAAATCTTTTATTTTGAAATTTACAATAAATTATTGACAATTTCCCTACTGTACTTCATTGAACTAATTTTTAAAACATAAAAAACACACAACAAGTGTATACATTTTTATCACATGTGCATTCCTGGTTGCCTGGCGTGCTGCTCTTGTGTCAGCCTCTCCCAGATCCAGGCTGATGACACTTCCTGCCATCAGGAATACTAGGATACTGCCTGTGGTCATGGGAGGTGAAGAGAGATCTAACAGTTCACTTAGATGCAGTGAAATACAGCCATCCCTCGGCACCACGGGAGATTGCTTTCAGGACCGCCCGCAGCTACCAGTGGAGCGCATGCTCCATTCGGCCGCTCCGTGGAACCCGCACATACTCCACGCAGCCACTCGTCTGTGGAACACAAGTATTCCATATGGTCTGTGGAACCCGTGGATACAAATTCAGCCCTCCACATAGGTCAGTTTCACATCCCACAAATGTTTTCCATCCCTATTTGTTTGCACATGCGGAACCCGTGTTTTTCAAGGTCATCTGCACTGCTGCTCACGCTAGTTGTATGGAGGTCAGAAAAGAAAATCAAACCTCTTCACTGAACGGAAATTTTTTGTTTTGTTTTTCCCTGAGACAGAGTCTTGCTCTGTTGCCCAGGTTGGGGTGCAGTGGCGTGATCCCAGCTCACTGCAACCTCTGCCTCTGGGTTGAAGCAATTCTCCTGCCTCAGCCTCCCAAGTTGCTGGGTTTACAGGTGCCCACCACCACGCCTGGCTCATTTTTGTATTTTTAGTAGAGACGGGGTTTCACCATGTTGGCCAGGCTAGTCTTGAACTCCTGATCTCGTGATCTGCCCGCCTTGGCCTCCCAAAGTGCTGGCGTTACAGGTGTGAGCCACCATACCCGGCCGAACGGAAGTTTTTAATGCAGTCAGATATAAATTTGATTTGTTGCTGTGCCTTCTCATAATCTATGCACTTTACATTTAATATGTAAAGTTCAGTGATCTCCAGTATTTTCACCAGTTGTGAAACGACAACCACTATCCAATTCCAGAGCACTTTCAATATCCATGGCTGCTATGGAGTTTCACAAAGAAAACTGCCAATTCCTCTCAACCTCCAAGGCCCTGGCAACCACATATCTATTTGTACCTATTTGCCTATTCTGGACATTTCATGTATGTGCAGTTACGTGCCTGACTTCTTTCACTTAACACTTCAAGGTTCACCCATGTCATAACATGCATTAGTACCTCATTCCTTTTTATGGCTGTTTATCCAGTTTTCAGTTGAGGGAAATTTGGGTTGCCTGCATTTGGGGCTATTATGAATCATGTTGCTATGAACATTCATGTACTAGTTTTTGTGTGGACATGTCATCAATCCTCTTGGATATGTGCTTAAGATTGACATTGCTGGGTTCTATGTCTAACGCTATGATGAACTGTCAAGATGTGTTCAACAATTGTCTTTACCGTTTCACAATCCCGCCAGCCATATACGAGGGTTCCAATTACTCCACATCCTTGCCAATACTCACTACTGTATTATTGGCTGTTAACCTTTAAGAAAGGCAGCCTAATGGCCTGCTACAAAGAGGTATAGGCATTCTAAGCCCTTTCAAGGGTCATTTCACCCTGTCAAAGAGGCTGTGAAAATCAGGGAGACTGAAGATCAGGTGTTCTTTGTATGCTTCCCTTCCCTGCACTTCCTTCAGAAATGGGTCCTGCCTCCTTGTATTAGCTTCTCTTAGGTATTTTTTTACAGATTAAAGAGAAAAGATTCCTTTCCTTTCTTAAAAGAAAAAGTGCATCTACCCAACTTTTATATTCAACAAAAAAGCCTTCCCTTGTGTCCAGCTATGGGTAAAAGGGAAAGTGAGAGGACTTTCCCAAAAAAGATGGAAGATGGGAAGAGGAAGAATGGAGACAAGAATTCAGAGTCCATTTACACTTCAGGGTCTTTTTGAAACTGCTAATCAGGATGTGTTAATTTTGAAGCTGAAGGTATCAACACCAACATGGGAAGGAGTGAAGGAAAGAGCAGAGGTTCCCAAGTCAGGTACTGAGGGTCTGCACTTTAAGAGGGTGTTTCCTGTACTGTAGTGAAGACCCAACACCATTAGAACCTGTGTAAACGTCTCACAGCAGGAAAGGGACACAGGACAGGAAAAAACATCAGGAAAAGTAGAACCCAGGGTGCTGGTTTCTCTAGTTTGTCAGATACTGCATTCCAAAGTCAAGCCTGAGGCTGTATGACTCGAAAGAAAATAGGTGAGCAAAGTTGGGAAAATGAAGTCCAGTGAAAAATGAAATCCCAAATAAAGTTCTGAACACATTAAGCTCACGATTAACAGTCTTTATCCACCCAGCATCTACGGTATCCCCCCACTGAGGGAGAAGCCAGTTGGATGAGTTGCTCACATCTCCTGGGGCCACAGTTTAGACCCCAAATGGTTCCCAGGTACCTCTACTCAGACAGAGGTGATAAGGCCAAGACCTTCCAGAGAAAGGGGGACAGGGTGGTGGCAGCTGGGAAGTCACATATTTGCCTCTAGAGGGACATCTGCTACTCAGCTCCTTGGGAGAAGATACATACAAGGCTTCCAGGTCTGAAATTTCGTGACAATCCATAACTTTTAGGCTCTTTAACATTTACTCTATTTAAAAATGCTCCCATCACCTTTTTCTTTTTGAAGGCACCGCATGGGCCCAATCTGGCCCACCAGTCACAGTACAGCTCCTGGACTGTCTACCTCAGGGACTCCCTTTCCATCCAGTACAGTGCACATACCCTTATTTACTATGGATTAAAGGATCACACAGACACACTGTAGCCATGGAAAAACCCTCGTTTATTTGATTAAACAAAAATAAAATAAGCTGCATAGGAACAATTTTAAAGTCCAAAGAGACACCAACTTTGTTTTAAGGCTGTAGTAGCTGATACAGCATCTCCTTGCTACCTCCTCCAGCCTTCTCTGTGGACCACAGTGATACATTCAGAAGCCTGTTAGCTAACACAGGAGTTTTTGAACACTTTTCCATTGGTTCTTCACCTGCTCATTGCCTGTCATGCCTGCGGCCTGCAATAGTAACATTTAAGATTTAAAATGTGAAAGCCAAAAGAGGAGGGGGGAAAAAAACCCAAAATCAACCAAACAAAAACTCACTTTTGCCTAAAGGTTTGGGGGGAAATCTTCATTTCCCCACCCATCTACTGCATTGATGGGATTCACATTACCACGGCAGTGCCCATTTAAAAGTGGCAAATGGCAGTCAGCACCCCACCCCGGACAGGCTTGCAGTGTGGTTTCTGCGGCCAGGGGAGTTACTACGGTAGTGCATATTCCTTATATCATGTCTGCCTTGGACAAATACAAATTAAGAGGTTTAACTTAGTCATTCTAACATAAGGCAACTTGCCCACATTAATTCCCCCAATTGTTTATTTAAAAAAAAAAAAGACAAAAAGACTCAACCGAGTCACATGTTCTGCAGTTAAAAATTAAAGCATTTTGCTGACCCGGCATGAGAGCTAATGGACAGTATTAAGCAAGATTCAGTTTAACAACCCTCCCACCCACCCAAGTATAACTAACATGCTAGTTAAAAAACAACACCCCTTACCCACCCACCCTTACCTGCATCGATTTTAGGAGAAAAGGGAAAAAAAGAAAGGAATCTTACCACCCTAAAAGCAAGAAAACCCCAGAAATGTGAAAAATCTTCCTCTGAAGAAAGACAACTACACAGACTGCTAGAAACACAAAGAACTTACAGAGTTACAGAGCTGGTTATTTAAAGAAAGTAAACACTTTGCTACACACATCAACATTCAGTCAGTGTGCTCTGAGATAGAGTCTTAAGAAAAATACTACCTGAGCTTGTAAGTTAATACAATCATTAAAAGGAGGTCTAAGACCATGTGGATACACAAAACTTTTAGAACCATTATTGGTTAAATGATGATGGAAAATATCCCACCAGGCTGGCTTGTTAACCCGTAAGATCAGTTTTAAAAATAGACATCATTGAGGTATTTCTTCACCATGACATTTATAAGCCCCTCATGATAATGACAGTGGTCTTAGGACCCTCCTCTCTTCCAAACAACCAAAAATTAGGGCAGAAGAGAGGTGGGAGGGTCAATACAGTATATCCTGGTAATGTGCTTCTCAACTTTATCAAGTATTTAATAAACAAGGAAAAAAAAAACCCGTCAACATGTTACCTTTGGTAGAAAAAAATAAAAACAAAACAAAAGAGCAATACACACTTCAACAGTCACTGCTCAGTCAAAACAGTGATTGTTGCAACATCATGGTGATGAACGTCCTGCCGGGTCCAGAGAGCTACAAATACAATCATGAAGTCAAGAGGATTCTCATTCCCTTCAAATATTTGATGTTTCCAAGATCTAGACCTTTAGAATTGCTCCTAAAGGGTATTATTTGCAGACATTCGAAATACAGATAAAATATTTTTCTCTTGAAGAGAAAGAGACCTAAAGGTCTTTATTTGTAGTTAAGTCCTCCAATAGGTCAGATTAACCAGTAGTTTCATAATACTGAACAACAGTAATGGTATGCATAATTCTTTTTGAGGGGGAAAAGCCAGATTGCTAAGAACTACTTGGATTTATGACTACATTTGCCTGACATTTCTCTTTCAAGGTAAGTAGAACATTTCTCCTGGGAGAAATCAGTTGTAGATTTATGGTAACATTTCTTTTAGAGGTAGCTTCCCACTCCCACCCACTGCCCACTGGATTAATACTATTCTTTTTGAGACCTGTCAGATGCTAACATGAGGTAGATGACTTGCCACAAGTGAGGTAGAAACTCAGCAAAAGCAGTCAGTGTGGTCTGGAATGCTGCGTCCTGTGCCCTTGGCCCTATAGAAAACCAGAGAAAGCCGTAGAGCTCTGGAGGCCCTGGCCCTGTGACACCATCACCTGCAAGTACAAGAGTGTGACTTTTATACAGCCCCAGACTGTTGGAAACTCATTCAGAGTGATGTTTTAAATATACCTTAAACATACCCTAAATACTTTTTGGCACCACTGGATTAAAAAAATAAGATCAGAAAAACAAGCCTAAAACTTTGGCATATCTTTCACCACCTACCAGAACAGAGCAATCGTAGAATCTTCCAACGAGGAAGGTAACACATATATAAACAGTATTTTGCTGCTTCAAGCCTAAAAGACTTTCCTCCTCAAATAATTAAGCTTTGGCTTAACTAGAATAAATCAGACTGAGCCGATCTCAAGCTATCTCTTGCAACTCCATCACAAAGTGCCTCAGTTCTGGCAACATTTTTGGCCCAACACGTAATTTGGATTCGGTTTATGGTACCCTTTGTTATGTGTTTCCCAAATAAGTTAGACTTAAAAGGGCATTGAGGAGTTAGTGCACTTGGGGTACAACCCAGGTCACTGTGCTCTAGTCAACTTGAGTGCCACTTGCAGCCACAACAGGGCACATGTTCTGAGACAGCATTAGATCTTGGGACCAAAAATAACACTTTTGAAATGTTAAGTCAGTGTCAAGCAAAAGTAGTTTTTACCTATGGGTTAGATGTCCTTTAAACATCTCAATACTCAAACCTATATATCCAAACCCAATGGGCATCTCCACACATAAACTGAGCTTACATCATACCCCACCCAACCCTTGCCACCTGACCAGATCAGACCTCCATGGGGACTAGTAATTGTCATACTTACTCCCCAGAAACCTTTTTATTCTCCTACCTCATAATACCCAGGACCTTATTTTTTCCATCAGGATGACGACTCCCTTCTTTGACCCAACTCCTGGCTACCTGGCATTACCCGGGCAGGAGATTATGCATTTAAACACAGGTACTTTTCACAGTTTCACACTAGGGACTGCCAAATGTTGGCTTTTATCATCTTTCTTTGATTTAGAACATTTCACATCATACAATAAACACTCTCCAAAGTGCTTCGCACCAATCCCTATGGGTCAGGAGTCAACCACGGGCAGGAAAAACCGCCAATGTTTTAAAAACAAAAGCTTTCCAAATGTGACCATGTTTCTCAAATACCAGTCATGCACCATTTTGGGTACAGAAAGGTAAGGAGATAGATATACCACCACTGAGGACAAAGAGGTAGTATCTCTGACCTACACACCTATTTCAGGGGATAGTTCTAGTTGCTCTAAGCCTGCAAATTTACAAGTCTGTAAATTAAGACCTGATAATTTCAGCCATGGAGCGAAAATCTTGGCTTTTCGATCACATCCATAGTAAAATGTCAAATAAGGAGCTCTAGTTACTGTTATGCACCAAGAACATTTCTCATTCAGGTCCCAAAATTTTCCTACATCTGGGGAAATTAGAAAGAAAAGAGCAGAATGAAAATGATGATGAAAAGATTTTAATCAAGATCCATCTCCTCAATAAAATTTTTTTCAAGCATTTAAAACCAGTTGTCTTTGGTGTTTAAAGGGTGGCTTGTTGGGCAGCTGGGGAAAGGGAAGGAAGATCAGCACCAAGTTACTCCAAAATAGAAAACAGTAAAAATGTTTAATTATATTAACTCTTTACCAAAGAACTTAGAGCTTAACGGCCAAAAGGCAACTGAATAGGCATTGGGGAAGGATTCACTATTAAATTCTACAGTAAAAGGAGCTTCTAACAAACAACATTTCCTAACACCTTCCCACCCTGTAACAGCAGCTGGGAGCCAGCAGCAGTTTGAAGCTACTTTCCAACTTTTGAATCTTTTATTGCATGCAGTTCTCCTCTGTGAGATGAGGTTTTTTTTTTCCTTCCCATTTTGGTCACTCAGAAACCCTAGAATTAAAGCAATGGGAAGAGACAGAGTAGCTTGTAGTAGTAGTAAATTAAACGTCCAAAAGAGGTGTACGGGAAAAGCAACTTGATTGACTTGTCACACTGTCCCCATCATCTCCTTTTCTATTGGGATAACAGAAACAAATTGCTCCATTTGTTAATCTGTTCTGCTCATTTAAAACGATACCCATTTTGCAATAGAAATTTCTCTTAAACAGAGGAACAGAAGTTGATCCATAAGTCTTTAAACAAGAGGTCTCCCTTGTAAGTCACTGACGTTTGTTTGAGAGTCCCTCTTTTCCCTGAGGAGGGCTCCTCCAGAATTTGGTTCTTATTTCAGTATTTGGGGCATTGCAGGAACCCACTGGGTTCTGACAAGCAGGGTATCAGCTACATCTGCTTTGCACTTGAAAGACAGACAATGCCCAGAAGCACAAGTTTTGTACCCAAGTCCAGCTTACAACCAACCAATCCTGTAAAGTGACACAGATTCTACCCCACAGTTCTGCAGTGGGAGCCTTAAATTTTCATTCTTTGGTACCGAGTTACAGGTTTAAGAAAAGACATTACATCCTACATTTCAGGTTGGGACAATTTGGTTTCTAGATCCTTTATGGTCAAAGGCCTTGGGGGGAGAGGGGGCGGGGGGATTCATGTTAACCATGAGGTCCTAAAGCATGGCCTGGGTGCAAACAATCCTATAAAAAGTGACCCAAGCAGAGGGTGTGGGACTGGGCTGTTGGTATTAATTTGACTTTCAAACCTTCTATTTCCCTGAACTTTCAAAGCAGGAAAAAATTGTGCTTGTAAAATAAAAGTTCTTTCCTTTGCCTACTCTTCTTAGGAAAAGAAACCCCTAGCACTACAGAACAACATGCACTCGCGGGTCAGGGCAGACCCTGCCCTTTCTGTGGAGTTCCTATAGTTTGGGGGTGCCTTGTTCTTTAATGTGCTCCCTGACTCCCTCAGCACACGCATGTCCACCCACATTCATGTCCACGTCAGCCCATGCCTGAAAACCCTCTCTCTGAGAACGAGGTTAATTTCCTTTTTCCTTCCATTTAACCCTTTATAACCTAACAGCAAAATAAGAAAGCATAACTTTTGAGAATATGTTTAATCAAAAATCCTGAGCTACCATCTATATACTTTTTTAAGAAACCAAAGTGTGAAAAGGAGAGGTTCTTTGGGAGGCAGTGTGTCATTTTCAGCTTTACTACTTGGGTGCAAGATGGCTTTGAAACAAACATGCACACACCCTCCCTTAAAAGAAACAAAGATTATATACCCTAAAATATGAAGGGTCTGCTTTTCTTGGCTAGCAAGCCACAGCCACAACGTCTAAGATCAAGAAACGATGCAGAAGAGGATGTTAAACACACTGAGGTATAAACAGAGAACAGAGGAAATTTCTCTGTTGCAGCATTTAAAAAGAGAAGATTTTCCAAAAAGATCAAAACAACACAACATAATCTAAACCCCATATAAACAGTATTCTCAAGAACACAGGTATTCTATAATTATGCATTTCAAATCCTATTTTTTCCATGTTTTATAGTTTTTTGTTTTTTTACTTAGTAGTTTTTTTTTGTGTTTCCTTGGCTCAATCTACAGAATACACCCCACCACACACATCCAGTGCCCTCCCAGCCATACAGATGCCAGGCTTGTGCATATCATGCCCCACGCAGGGGAAGAGGGAAATGCAAACTCCACTGAGGAGGGGAAGAGGGCCTGTTGCAGAAGGAAATGTAAAGATTTATGAGGTAGATAGAAATTATCACTTCACAGGCTCAATCCCTGCAGAAAAGATAAGTACATTCATCTGTAAAAAAATAAAGATGAGGTAGGACTTAAGCAATGTTGTACTTTTCTTGTTCTCTTTAAAAAAAAAAAAGAAAAAAGAAATTTCCCTGAGACTGTTTCTTCTTTGAAATTCAAAAAGAGAGAGAAAGAGAAAGAGAGAGAGAGAGAGAGAGACACGCACACACACCCCAAACACAGAAACCTAGGAAATGCAATTAGAAGACGAGGATTCGATTGTTGCCAAAGTCCACCACAACGATCATTCCGTCGGGGGTGATGGCGATGCCGGAAGGGCGGTCCATCTGCCCAAAGCCGCTGCCTTGAGCACCAAACTTGCACAGGAAGCTGCCGTTGGATTCAAACATCTGTACCCGATGGTTCCTGGAATCCGCCACAATGATGCGCCCTTCCTGGTCCACAGCTACCCCTTGTGGGCGCAGGAACTGCCCATTGCCTGTGCCCTCCGAGCCCAGAAAGCGTGCCGACTGGCAGTCGGGGTGAATAACCAGGAGCCGGTGGTTGTTGAAGTCAGTGACCACCAAGTGGCCCTCATGGTTGAAGGCCACACCCCGTGGGGAGTCAAAGTGCTTCCAGAGAGCCCCCTCGAAGCCATACTTGTTTAGGAAGACACCATCAGGCCCAAACAGCTGGATCCGGTGGTTCCTCGTGTCTGAGACCAGGATCTTGCCCTCAGAATTCACCGCCACATCCCAAGGGTAGTTGAACTGCCCATTCTTGGTTCCTTTCTCACCAAACTTGAGGAGGAACTGGCCCTCGAACGTGAAGATCTGGATGCGATGATTGTCCTTGTCAGCCACCACGATCCTGCGTGAGGCGTCACAGGCCACGCCGGCTGGTCGGTCGAACTGCCCAGGCCGGGAGCCCAGGGTGCCGAATTTGTGGTGGAAGGCGCCGCAGGGCTTGAACACCTGGATGCGGTTGTTGCTGCGGTCGGCGACAATGATGTAGCCCTCCTTGTCTACACTCACACCCCAAGGGCGGCAGAGCTTGCCATCGCTGTCACCCTCACTGCCGAAGCTCAGGCCCGGGAGCCCAATGCCCACGTAGCTGCGGCCTGACTTGACCACCACCTTGAAAGGGCTGTTCTCAATGTGCTGGTTGCACAGTGTCACAGATACCAGGTGCTCACCCTCCAGCTGGGGTCGGTAACTCACCACGTATGTCCCATTCTGCTGATCACTCACCTCTGCACCAAACAGGTTGCCATCAGGGCCCAGGACCACAGCCGACATCAGGTCGCCTCCTGAGAGGCGGGGCTCACCATCGTGGTCATAACCAATGACTGTGAAGGAGGCCACCTTACCCTGGAGGGCACGCTTGAGGCCATCGCCTGTGGCCTTGGTGAGTGGGGCAAAGGCCCCGCTGCTAACAAAGCCAAAAGACTTGATGGCAAGGTACAGTGCCTGATCGGGGGGTGTGAACATGACTCGGTCGTCTTCCTGGGGCTGCAGGAGGCTCCGCACGGTCTTCAGCTCCTGCACCTGGGCCAGCATCCGGTCTCGGGCCAGTAGGATGTCTAGCGCTCTACCCTCCTCCAGGACCTGCTGCACGGCACTGATGGTGCTCTCAAGCTTGTTGAGGTTTTGCCGCAGCTTCTCCACCTGCAGGTACAGAGACTTGGCTTTCACCTGGCGGATCTTTTCTACCTGGAGGGAAAAGCAAGAGTGGAGAAAGACACAGAGGCTTAGAGCCAAGCACAGAAAATACCACATAAGCCACAACTAATCACAAGGAAGCATCAGACAAACACATATTGTGGGATGGTCTACAAAAGACATCTGTCTTTCTTCAAAAGCAGCAAAATCAAAATGGACCAAAAAACCTGAAGAACTGTTCTGGGTTACAGAGGATAGTTACTAGAAACAGGACAACTATATGTAATTAGTGACTCTGGACTGGAGGGAGTGGCTAGCTATGAAAAGCACTGTTGGGACAATTGTTGAACCTTGATTATGGACTGAGGAGTAGATGCTAGTACTGTATCAAAATCAAATTTCCTGATTTCTGTAATTGTAATGTGATTAGGGGTAAAGGCATTGTGTTTCCAATATGCCAACTCACTCTCAGATCACAAACATATATACACATACATACATACATACATACACACACACACACATACACGCACGCCTCATGCCTCTAATCCCAGCACTTTGGGAGGATGAAGCAGGCAGATCACCTGAGGTCAGGAGTTTGAGACCAGTCTGGCCAACATGGCAAAACCCTGTCTCTACTAAAAATAACAAAAATTAACCAAGTGTGGTAACAGGTGCCTGTAATCCCAGCTATTTGGGAAGCTGATGTGGGGAGAATCGCTTGAACCCGAGAGGCGGAGGTTGCAGTGAGTAGAGATCACACCATTGCACTCCAACCTAGGGAACAGGGCGAGACTCCGTCTCAAAATAATAATAATAATAATAATAATAATAATAATAATAATAATAATTGGGACAAAACGTACATAATCAGTAAATCTGGAGAAGGAATATATGGAGTTACTATTACTGCAACTTTTCTGTAAGCTATAAATTAAAAAAAATAAAAGTTAAAAACAGCCATCTAGAGCTGGGCACAGTGCTGTGCACCTGTAATCCCAGCTACTCGGGAAGCTGAGGTGGAAGAATCACTTGAGCCTAGGAGGCTGAGTCTGTAGTGTGCCATGACTGTGTCTGTGAATAACCACTGCACTCCAGCCTGGGTAATACAGCAAGATCCCACCTTAAAAAAATAGCAAGATCCCACCACCAAAACCAAAAACAGCCATTTGACAAAGGAGTGTACTGAGCACCTACACTTTGCCAGGCATTGGAGGTACTGCAGTAACCCACAGAAAATATAAAATATGGTCCTTGCTCACACAGAGTTGTAGTTTAGAAAAGCAGTATTCAAAAGCAAACGAAGAAATAAGGATCATGTCAGATAGTGATAGGTGTTAAAAAGTAGAAAAAGGATGTGAAAGACAGTGTCTAGGGGCCCTGATACAGACAAAGAGCACTGAGGGACAGTGCCTTTCACAAGTTCAGACCTACAGGTTGAGACTAGGCAAAAGGCCATAGGGAGAGCTATCTCAGCAAAGGAAACAGCAAAGGTCCTGCTGTGGGCACAGGCTCAGCATTTCACAACCACAGCTTTCAGTAGGGGAGTGACATGACAGATTCATATTCTTAAAGAATTAGTTTGGGGCCCAGCACAGTGGCTCATGCTTTGGGAGGCCAAGATGGGTGGACCACCTGAGGTCAGGAGTTCAAAACCAGTCTGGCCAACATAGTGAGACCTTCTCTGTACTAAAAATACAAAACTAGCCGAGCGTGGTGGCAGGTGGCTGTAATCCCAGCTACTTGGGAGGCTGAGGCAGGAGAATCGCTTGAACCCAGGAGACGGAGGTTGCAGTGAGCCGAGATCGTGCCACTGCAGTCCAGCCTGGGCAATAAGAGCGAAACTCCGTCTCAAAACAACAACAACAACAACAACAAACCGCAAAAGGATTAGCTTGGGAAATGTGTATTAAAGGAGACCACCACCACAGGGCACCTTTTTTTTTTTTTTTTTTTTTTTTTTTTTTTTTTTTTTTGGTAGAGATGGGGTCTTAATGTTGCCACGGGTGGCCTCAAAATCCTGGACTCAAGCAATCTTCCCACCTCAGCCTCCCAAAGTGTTGGCATTACAGGCGTGAGTCACTGTGCTTGGGCCAGTTTCTCTTTACTTCTGTATTTTAAGAATGGTTTTAAAAACCCAACTGGGAACCTGAGAAGCCCTGTACCCCAAATTTTAACATAGCACGCTTTTGGCATGTCTGTATTATTTCCAAAAGAGCCCTTTAAATCTAAAATGCTATAATATATATGGACATGGATTCTAACCTGCCAAAATAATTCCTGCTTGAGGTTCTCAAACCATGCTATTTAGAAATATGGAATTTTGTTTTACCAATGAAACATTAGTTTCTCTATTCTTTAAAAGTTCTCTAATTCTAAGCAATTTCCCCCTGTGAAGCGAATGAACTTATCCAAACAGTTTTCACAGAGGACCATGACTTGAGTTGTTCTACAGATCTGAAAGCCATAGAAGGCTATTTCAGAATAAGCGTCCACTGTTGAAAGAGCTGGATTTCAACCTGACTTTCCCTTTAGGGTGGGAGGGGTGATTATATGATTTCGACTCATTCCTGCTTTTTCATCTGTTCAGTGAACCAGGATACATGTGTATGGAGAGGCCCACGTGGGGACAGATTAAAGAATATTTGCCCATTAGGCCAAACCTCCACCTTTGGTTCTTACCCATGAACTATATATATGCAGCTAACCCCATGAGGTAGCCAAGTCCACTGGAAATACATAAGGCCCAAGAATGAAGAGAGGCATCTGGATATTTACAACAGGGTTATCTTAATCCTTGCACTTATATATCTTAAAGTAACCAGAGATGCAGGAAAACAAAACTTGTAACAAAGAGATGCCCAGACAGAGACAGGCAAAGTAAGAGGGATTTGCTGGGAAGGAACAGAAAAAAAAAAAAAAAAAAAAAGTCAGTAATTAGTCAAAGAGAGAGGGACCCCACAGGATTTGGAGCAAGGTTCTATAGCAAAAGTATCCAAAATAAGGAAGCTTATTTTGGAATGCTCTGAGGATGAATTTTTGGGCAAGCAGAAACTGCTTACTACAATGAAGAAGGGATGGACTCTTCTTTCAAATAGGCTTCTCCCAAGAGTAAAAACTTGCTATTTCTTCTGAAACAGAACTGCCTTTAGAGAGGACAGTGGGTCAGCCTCACAGGAGGGAGGGTAACTAAGGTGAAAGCGGCAGAAACCCCCACACACAAAGGCCTTTTTCATCAGGAAATCCAGAAGAGCGAGTTTGTGGCAGAGTTCACTACAAAGCTCTCAGGTTGCAAGAAATGGGCCCCTCAGTTATAATTAACATTCGTGGGTGGCATAACACTGGCAGACCCATGGGGACATCTGAGTGTCTGAAAATGATGTCATGCCCACAAAGGTGCTCAAAAAATATGCTGAATTAAAAATCTTGGACTAACACCTCCAAAGTCTCTTGTCAGAAAGCAATTGAGCCATATTCCTTAAGAGGTCAGAAGAGGCAGAAAGCATCCATCCAGTTGTGAAGTTAACTAAATGGAAAATGCAATGCAAAATCCAGGGACACCTTGCAGAACATTGTAGGGCCCAGTAGTTAGCAAAGTTCACTTGCAGAAACTGAGGTGCCATCCCCACCATCATCATATTGTTTGGAGATGGAAACAGGCACACTCCACAAGGATACCCTTATAAATCAGCTCTAGTCTTTTTCGTGTGTTCAGAGAATGTAATTATAGTTAAAGAATTGGCATGGAGTACTGGCCCTTTCATAGACCTAACTCTCCTCCTTTCTGAGTGGGGACATAAAATCAGAAAAGGAACAGTTGGAATGCTGGCTTGGGTGGGGCAAGTAGTCTTTCTAGCTGATTTTTATCTAAACAGCACACTAGTGTGCTCGGCACTCTTTCCTGCTCCAACAGGAAGAAAGGACACACACTCACTGCCCTCCGAAGAGGAAAACTGGTTTTCCACAAGAGGTCAGGAAGTGCAACCAGCCAGGTCACCAAAAATAGGGATGTTTCCTACCAGCCTGCCTTTCTTAACAACAGTTTCGACTATGCTCCCTTCTTTAGCCTCCTTTTGAGTGAATGCAATATAAAACTGGAGACCGCTTCCAGTCTTGGTTACCCACGTACTTCTGAAAAGGCTTCTTGTTGTTTTACTGCAGACAGCACCCACAATGTTCCAGGGACCCCCTGCATCTTTCTGCTAACAGGCTTTCTGGAAAATTACGAAGTGTTTTAAACTTAGAGCTTGGCTCCTGGATCTGTAAAGAGTCCCGTAGAGTGCTGCTGAGGTTCATGGAAGCCGAGTGGGCACAGCCTGGGTGGGGGAGCTCTCCCTGTTACCTTCCACAGCAGCTCACACTCGCGTTCCTCCAGGGCTTTCTTATGCCTCGCCGTCACGGCTTTGACCTCCGACTGCACAACCTTCGCCTTCATCTCCACCTGTTCCGCCACCGTCTGGGCCTGCTCGATGCTCAGCTGGAAAACCAAAAAGAAACAACTTCGAGGCATTAGAAGGACTGTCATTCCTTATACAAAACATTTGAATCTGCTCTGTCAGACTTGAAAAGCTGACACCCTGGGTTCCCAGACCACTTGATTCACTCCCTTGGAAGGAAAACAGGCACTTAGGGAGAGACTGGCATCTGTTTGACATGTAACTAAAGGAGTTGCTGGCAAGAGCTGGATTTCTTTGCATGAGAAATAGCACCTACACAGTGAATGTCAGAACTATTAAGAGATACTCTGACACAGCAAAACCAGTGTAGCTGGGTGACAGATGAAAACTGGGAATGAGGATCAGATGTAAAATGTACAACTCCAGCCACACAAGCAACTTCCCCAGACTTCCTGGCCTCACCCTCTGCCTAGGCGAAACCCCGCAGGCCAGGAACATCCCTTACGTGAGGGTGTGCGACAGGGTAGTGGCTAATCCATCCTGCTTTTGTCAAGGCACTGGCAACACAGCTCACCCCAGCCAGAACGAACACCAAGTGCACACTGGGAATATCCCCCGATCTACCTAAGGAGCTGTGCCCCGTGGTCAGAGACCATCTACACGTCATCACACACGCCACCCTGTACCAGCCGTAGTAAATCAGCCAGTTTAATCAGACGTATTATTGTTAATTAATCCAGACAGAAGGCATGGTGTTATCATTAATATTACATGGTTGAGATACCGAGCTATTAAATCAGGGATTCCAAAGTGATTGCTCTTGGTACAACAGGTTTCGGGTAGGTGATTCAATCAGGAGGGTGTCAGGGAAGCCCAAACTGGAGCCTGGTATGGGCTTAGGAATCAGAGTGACCAATCATCCAGTTTGCTCTGTACTGAGGGGTTTCTGGGATGTGGGACTTTCAATGCTAAAACTGGGACAGTCCGGGGCAAACCAGGCCAGTCATCCCTGGAGTCAGGTAACCCAGGTTCCAATCCTGGGTTAGTTTAGGGCCTCCTACTAGTTGTAAGGCCTTGGACAAGCTCCTGGTCCTCTCCAACCTTGGTAAAGGTAGATGTGAGGGAAATGCATGGGTAGAGCTGAGCTCAGCACCTGGCACAGAGTAAAACACTGTTATTAATAGTTCTCAGCTGATAAAACACCTGGGACAAAAGTTCAGCCATTGTGTCCCGTCAGGCCACTTAGCTCCTATCATAAAATTTACCATTAGTCACACTTAGTATGTTCAGTGTTGTATAATCACCACCACTATCTAGCTACAGAACATTTTCACCACCCAAAAAGCAAAGGCCATTACCATTAAGGAGTCATTTCCACTTCCCTCCTTCTACCCCATGGCGATCACTAATCTACTGTCTCTCTACAGATCTGTCTGTCCTGGGCATTTCTTTTTCTTTCTTTTTTTTTTTTTTCAAATAGAGATGGGGGAATCTTGTCACATTGCCTAGGCTGGTCTCGAACTCCTGGGCTCAAGTGATCTGCCCACCTAGGCCTCCAAAAGTGCTGGCATTATAGGCATGAGCCACTGCGCCTGGCCTGTTCTGGGTATTTCATATAGATGGCATCATCATACAATACACGATCTACCTTATTTTTATGAATATTCTTCCTGCCCAACAGTTTGACTTGCTCTGGATGACAGCTGACACATTCATGGCATGCAAGACACGCTCAAAGGTGCAGCCCCAAAAACACCCATGGAAGCCAGGCACAGAGGCTAATGCCTGTAATCCCAGCACTTTGGGAGGCCGAGGCAGGCAAATCACTTGGGCTCAGGAGTTTAAGACCAGCCTGGCCAACATGGTGAAACCTGGTCTTTATTTAAACAAAACAAAACAAAAAAGCACACCACCCGTGACTCCAGTGGTTAGGTGCCACACTGCATTCTCTGCCTAAGAGGATCCTGTGTGACCTAAGGATCCACTGAGCTGATTCACAGGGGAACTGGGTAGATCCAGAGGGCTCACAGGATATCCACAGCCTGGAATGCTTCACCCTAAATTTCCAAACCCAGTTCTGATGCCACTTCCCTTCTGAAGCTGGAAGGGAACAGCACATTTCTGTAATGTTTCTGCTCCACCTTTACAATCCTGTCTCAAGTACCATTACATATCAAAGCAGGAGCTAAGTACAAAGCCCATGATACTTAAGCCACCTGGGATTTAGCAGAACAATTAGCAGAACAATCTATAAATTTTATATTTGCACATCTCTAGCCATAACCATGTTTACCAAAGCACTAGGTAGCTGTGTTGGGTTAAATATTGTCCCTCCAAACATCAGGCTCAACTAAATGTGGGCCAGGATGTGACCTTGTGTGGAAATAGGGTCTTTGTAGATATAATTAGCTAAGATGAGGTTATAGTAGATTAAGTTGAATCTTAAATCCCAAAACTGATGTTCACAGAGGGTCATGTGCAGACACAGATACAGAGAACAAAGCCACGTGAAGACCAAAGCAGAAACGGAAACTGATGCAGGTACAAGCCAAGGATGCTGGCAACTGCCAAAAGCCAGGATGAGGAAAGCAATGAGTCTTCCTGAGGGCCTTCAGAGGGAGCATGGTCCCGACACCTTGATCTTGGCCTTCTGGCCTGCTGTTTTAAGTAATCCAGTTTATGGTAAATTGTTACAACAGACCCGATAAACTAATACAGAAGCCAATAAAGTGAAGCAGACAGATATTACATCCACATTACCTAAAAGTTAAAAAATCAGAATGGCCAAGCAAATGAGCATGCATATAAGCAGGTATCATAATAGCATTGATACATTTTTAGTATCTCACGCTGTCAGGATTCATCCAGGGAAAAAGAGAGAAAGCGAGAGAGAGCAAGAGAGCTCCCTAGACATTTAAACAGAATTTAGCATAGGGAAATGGTTAAACAGGTATGGGAGAACTGCTGGGGCAAAGAGCACACTGAGGCAGAGAGTACCTGCAGAAGCAGCTTCTTCTGCTTTGTCTGAGAGAACAAAGGAAAGAAAGCTGTGGTTACAAGAACCCAGAATAAGATGGTGAGGTTACATCCAGCTAATTCTGAGAGTGGCAAGATCTGAAATTGAAACCAACTTCTGCTGTCAGGGTGAAAAAGAATTGCTATTAAAAATTGGGGCCGGGTACGGTGGCTCACACCTGTAATCCCAGCACTCTGGGAGGCAGAGGCAGGAGGATAGCTTAAGCCCACGAGTTTGAGATCAGCCTGGCCAAGAGTGAGACCCCGTCTCTACAAAAAAATAAATTAGCCAGGCATGGTGGCGCTTGTGTATAGTCCCATCTACTTGGGAGGCTGAGCTGGAAGGATTGCTTGAGTCTTGGGAGATCGAAGCTGCAGCAAGCTGTGACTGCACCACCGCGCCCCCCAGCCTGGGTGACAGAGCAAGACTCTGTCTCAAAACAAATATATAATATGATAATAATATAAGTAATATGAATTGGAAGAAAAAGGGAAGAAGTCCTTTTCCCATACATGTAGTTTGAAGAGTCACAGCCCCAGTGTCACATGGCAAGAGTGTGACAGGGTTAGAGCCCAAAGAGTAGAACTTAGTAACCGGCACCCTCTATATTTTTAGATGTGTTGGTTATTAATTAGCACAACTGGTGTCCAAGCTAATATTTCACCAAGGCAACCAAACCTATGTCTGTAACATTTCTTAATCCTTCCTCAATAGAAAGCAGAGGTGGCAAACTGCTTTCTATTAATATTAATGTCATACTACTTGCCAAATTGATTTTTTTACATCTAACTTCTATCATATGTTAGAAGAAAAAAAAAGACCCAGCCTGGGCTACAAGAGCAAAACTCTGTCTCAAAAAATAAAAAAACAAAAACACCACTCCCTTTGCATAGGAATGGGTGTACTACCCTACTCACCTCTTCCCCTAGTCTCCTAGCCAGGCTTATCGCTTATCCCTCATGTCTGGAACTCACATTTTATGACAAAAATTGCTTCTTCCATTTTTCAAACAGGTTCAAAGGGGGATTCAAAGCTTTTGTTGCAATTTTAATAATCAGCAAGCATGCAAAGATATTCCTTGGGCTGAGAGTCACAAAAGCCCTACCCAATGCATAGTGGAAAAATAGGTCTTTCCCTTCCAAATTACGCACGACCCAGCCAAGCATGGCATTCCAAGATGTGCAGACCAGGACTTATTGAACTAGTTCCCAACCTCTAACAGCAGGGCATCTGAAGGACATACAGGGCAGATAGGTTGGGGGAAATGACAATGTAGAAAGGCTGGGTAAACTTCCAAAACAGATATATACATTTCACAGTAAGAAAAGAGAAATCACCCAACAAGCATGGTGCTTGAGAGAAAATTTAACCATCTTTGGGATGTTAACAGATCTAATTAAACATTTAAAAGTTGAGGGTCTACATTTGGACTGGCAAATCAGTGCACTTTCCAGCTGACTACTGAGTGGCAGTCAGTCAGCATGGTGGAGACTTGGGCCAAATCTGGCTCTCAAGGGAAAGAATATAGATATCGATCAGTGATGCCAACTGTGGAGAACAGTGGTATTTAAAGAGCCCAACGGTCAGAAGGTAAGAGAATGCAATCATCACCCATACACTTGTAGGCGACCATACTGGGTATGCGGAGCTACTGTGGTGCACTCTAAAATGTAATTTTTGGCCAGGCGCAGTGGCTCATGCCTGTAATCCCAACACTCTTGGGAGGCTGAGGCAGGTGGACTGCCTGAGGTCAGGAGTTGAGACTAGCCTGGCCAACATGGTGAAACCCCGTCTCTACTGAAGATACCAAAATTAGCCAGGTGTGGTGACGGGTACCTGTAATCCCAACTACTCAGGAGGCTGAGGCAGGAAAATCACTTGAACCCGGGAGGCAGAAGTTGCAGTGAGCCAAAATCGTGGCACTGAACTCCAGCCTGGGCAACAGAGTGAGACTCCACCTCAAAAAAATATATATATATACATATATAAAATTTTCATCACATCTTTCTCTGAATCTATAATTCATCTCTAAATTGTCCGTGGGTTTCTTCCTTTGTTAGTTGTATGTAAAATAAATGTACACCTTACAATTAATGGCATCTTAAATGTGATGAAATATAGTAATTGAAGAATCAAAACTTTCTTATGTAGAAACCAACTATTCCTGATCCTGTTTATCGCTATCCCCAGCAAATCAGTTTACCTTGTGGAATCCTCTAATAACATACATGACCAAAATGTCATATATTCAAGAAAAGCAGCAAAGTGAAAGTAACAGAATGTTCAAAAAAGCAATAAAAATGAGTGGTTGCCCCCTAAATGCCCTACAACAGTGATGAGGTGCTACATCTTCCATGCTGTTCTTGTTATGGCCAACTCTAGACACTCACCAGGGTAGATTCTCTTTATAGGACAATCCAGAATTAACTCAAGGATTTGTATCTGGAGCTCTTTCCAGAACCAAGACTCTCAGGACAAGTTGTGAGTCTCTTTAAAGTCATAAGTTAGGAACTCTGATTCACAGTTAACTGAACATCTGACATCTGCAATTTAATACCAGACATTCAATGGGGAAATATACTTTCAGTATACATATCCTCCTCATCTGGAAATGATTTATTAGATGGTTACAACAATCACACAAACTGATCTTAAAAATAAATGGATGAGGCTGGGTGCAGTGGCTCAAGCCTGTAATCCCAGCATTTTGGGAGGTGGAAGCGGATAGATCACTTGACACCATGAGTTTGAGAAGACCAGCCTGGGCAACATGGTGAAACCCCATCTCTACTAAAAACACAAAAATTAGCCAGGCGTGGTGGTACAGGCCGGTAATCCCAGCTCCTCACTTGAACCAGGGAGGCAGAGGTTGCAGTGAGCCAAGATCTGTCACTGCGTTCCAGCCTGGGCGACACAGCCAGACTGTCTCAAAAATAAAAATAATAAAAAATATAATCACAAACTATAGCCATACCTCATTTTATTGCACTTCATAGATAAAAAAGAAAATAAAAGAAAAACCCACATTTTCTTTTTTGAGACAGAGTCTTGCTCTGTCGCCCAGGCTGGAGTGCAGTGGTGTAATCTTGGCTCACTGCAACCTCAACCTCCAGGCCTCAAGCAATCCTCCCGAGTAGCTGGGACTACAGACACGCAACATGAGGTCTGGCTAACCTTCTTCATTTTTTGTAGAGACAAGATCTCACTATGTTGCTCAGGCTGGTATAGAATTCCTGAGCTCAAGTGATCCTCCCGCCTCAGCCTCCCAAAGTGCTGATGTTACAGTTTTGAGCTACAGTACTCAGCCAGTTTTTTTTTTTTTTTTAAGAAATTGAAGATTTGTGGCAATACTGCATCAACCAAATCTACTGGTGTCATTTTTCCAAAAGCCCATACTGTCTCTGTGTCACACTTTGATAATTTTTGCAGTATTTCAAACTTTTCATTATTATTTTATCTGGTGTGCTGATCTGTGACAAGTGATCTTTGGTGTTAATCAGGCCACTTAGTAACCCTACAATGGCCTCTAAGTGTTCAAGTGAAAGAAAAGGTCCTACAAATCTAAAATGATTAAGCTTAGTAAAGAAAGCAAGTAGAAAGCTACAGACAGGCTGAAAGCTAGGCCTCTTACACCAAACAGTCAAAGCTGTGATTGCAAAGTAAAGTTCTTGAAATAAATTAGAAGTTCACTCCAGTGAACACTCAAACAGCAATGAGGCAAAACAGACTTATTGCTGATATGAAGAAAGTTTAATGATCTGGAGAAAAGATCAAACCAGCCATAACATCTCCTTAAGCCAAAGTCTAATCCTGCCTGAGCAGGGACCTAACTCTTCAATGCTATGAAGGGTGAGAGATGAGGAAGCTGCAGAAGTTTGAAGCTAAGACAGGATGAGTGATACGGTTTAAGAAAACAAGTTATCTCCAAAACATATATGTGTAAGGTGACACAGCAAGTCTGATATAGAAGCTGCAGCAAGTTACCCAGAAGAACAAGCTAAGGTAATTGATGAAGACAGCTAAACAACAGACTTTCAAGACATCCTTTTATTAGAAGGAGACAGCCTGATATTGGAAAGACATAGTCTTATATTGGAAGAAGATGCCATGTAGGACTTTCATAGCTACAGAAGTCAATGCCTGGCTTCAAAGCTTCAATGGACGGGCTGACTCTCTTGGTAGGGACTAATGTAGCTGGTGACTAAGTTGAAGCCAACAGTCATTGTCCATCCTGACAACCCTAGGCCCCTTAAGCATTATGCTAAATCTACCGTGCCTGTGCTCTACAAATGGAAAAACAAAGCCTGGATGACAGCATGTCTGTTTGTAGCATGGTTTGCGGAATTTTTAAAATTTTTATTTATTTATTCATTTATTTTTTTGAGACAGGGTTTCGCTCTTGTTGCCCAGGCTGGAGTGCAATGGTGCAATCTCAGCTCACTGCAACCTCCGCCTCTTGGGTTCCAGCAATTCTCCTGCTTCAGCCTCCCAAGTAGCTGGGATTACAGGCATGTGCCACCATGACCGGCTAATTTTTTGTATTTAGTAGAGAAGGGGTTTCTGTTTCTCTGTGTTAGTCAGGCTGGTCTCAAACTCCTCATCCCAGGTGATCCACCCGCCTCGGGCTCCCAAAGTGCTGGGATTACAGGCTTGCGCCACCATGCCAGGCCGGTTTGCGGAATATTTTAAACCCACTGTTCAGACCTACCGCTCAGAAAAAAAGATTCCCTTCAAAATATTACTGCTGATTGACAATGCACCTGGTCACCCAGAAGACTCTGCTAGAGATGCACAAGGACACGAAAGTTGTTTTCATGTCTGGTAACACAACATCCATTCTACAGCCCGTGGATCAAGAAGTAGTTTCAACTTTCAAGTCTTATTATTTAACAAATAAACTTCGTAAGGCGATAGCTACTACAGATAGTGATTCCTCTGATGGATCTGGACAAACTCATTTGTAATCCTTTTGCAAAAAATTTACCATTCCAGGTGCCATTAAGAACATGTGTGGTACTCACTTTGGCAGCACATATACTAAAACTGGAGATACTATAAAAGAGCATTCGTGATTCATAGGTAGAGGTCAAAATATCAACATTAATAGGATGTTTGAAGAAGCTGATCCCAACCCTAATGGGTGAACTCAAGGTCACTGATTAGGGTTGGGATCAACTTCTTGTAGCAGAAAGAAGTAGTGGAGGAAGTCACTGCAGATGTGGTGAAAATACAAAGAGAACTAGAATTAGAACTGGAGCTTGAAGATGTGACTGAATTGTTGCCATCTCATGAGAAAATTTGAAGGGATGAAGACTTGTGTCACATTTTAAGAAATTGTCAGGCTGGGCAAGGTAGCTGATGCCTTTAATCTCAGCGCCTTGGGAGGCCAAGGTGAAAGATCGCATGAAGCCAGGAGTTTGAGTGAGATCAGCCTAGACAACAAAGCGAGCCCCATCTCTACAAAAAATACAAAAATTAGCTGGGTGTGGTGGAGCATACCTGTAGTCCTAGCTACGTGGGAGGCCAAAGAAAGGGGATGGATTGCCTAAAAGCCCAGGAGTTTGAGAGAGATCCTGTCTCTTAAAAAAAAAAATGGCCAGGCGCGGTGGCTCACACCTGATATCCCAACACTTTGAAAAGCCGAGGCAGGTGGATCATCTGAGGTCAAGAGTTCGAGACCAGCCTGACCAACATGGTGAAACCCCGTCTCTACTAAAAAGACAAAAATTAGTCGGGAGTGGTGGCAGGCTCCTGTAACCCCAGCTACTCGGGAGGCTGAGGCAGGAGAATCACTTGAAACTGGGAGGCAAAGGTTGCAGTAAGCCAAGATTGCACCATTGCACTCCAGCCTGGGCGATAGAGCAAGACTTAAGGATGCTAAACACACACAAGTTATGGTTAAACAAAAACTTTCTAGGAAATCACAATCTATGTAGTGTACCTGGCTGTGGCGTTATAGATTAACAGACCTAAAATGCCTCTACCCAAAATGCCCCATGATCTAGTATTCAGATTAATGTTGGGCACACACTTTCAACTAACATTTGAATCATACCTCTAGGATTTATGCCTAGGTTCTCACCACTTACACAGCTGACTATATTTATTTTCCCCACACTCTTTTCTCCCCACAGAATTTCCAGTGAATTTCCATTTCTCTGAGATTTCACCATGTTAACCACTCATGATTTGTTGGTGCTCTCCTTAATAAGCCTCCAGCAAATTGTTACAACTCATTTTTTCTCCCCCATGGTGGCTTTTCCCACTAAGCACAGAGAGCACCAGCATTCTCTCAATAATGCTCCAACTGTTTTCAATCTCTTAAGAGAGTAAGAGGTTAATAAAATCATATCACAATCTAGGAGTTCAGACCTAGACACCAGTGGCTCTTTTTGTTTGTCTGTTTGTTTGTTTGAGATGGAGTCTCATTCGGTCGTCCAGGCTGGAGTGCAGTGGCACGATCTCGGCTCACTGCAACCTCTGCCTCCTGCATTCAAGCAATTCTCCTCCCTCAGCCTCCTGAGTACCTGGCATTACAGGTGCCTGCCACCATGCCTGGCTAATTTTTATATTTTTAGTAGAGACGGGGTTTCACCATGTTGGCCAGGCTGGTCTCGAACTCCTGACCTCAGGTGATCTACCCACCTCGGCCTCCCAAAGTGCTGGGATTACAGGTTTGAGCAACCGTGCCCTGCTGACACCAGTGGTTAAGTTCCTCAGGCGATGCCACAGTGTCGAGGGCACCGGTGTCGAGGAGACACCAGCAGGGTAAGGCATTTATTTGTCAAGGTCCCAACTGTCGTGGCATAAAATGAAAGACACAAACCACTTCATCCGCAGGGACAGATGCACTGATATACAACAGAATGATGCACAGGTGAAGACACTGACAAAGGAGAAGAGCAACACAGAGACACTCAAGGCATTTTAAAGACAATGAGCAATACTGGCATAACAATAACAGGATTAGTCATTCAAGAAAGTCTCTCAAACTTCCAATTTTATGATCTGAACATCATAAAATCTGACTCATCAGAAAAGATTGTTTCAGTATCATGCATGGGAATGTGATAGCGGCTGAGAAACTTATTAAATCAAATCCTCCCTCTTCTGTTAAGAGGCATGATCTCAATTCTTTAGCACTTTCAAAACGGATTTTTTTTGAAACAGAGTCTTAACTGTTGCCCAGGCTGGAGTGCACTGGCATAATCTTGGCTCACTGCAACCTCCACCTTTGGGGCTCAAGTGACCCTTCCACCTCAGCCCCACAAGTAGCTGGGATTACAGGCGAGTGTCACACCACACCCGGCTAATTTTGGTACTTTTTGTAGGGTTTCCCCATGTTGCCCAGGCTGGTCTCAAACTCTTGAGCTCAAGTGATCCACCACCTCGGCCTCCCAACGTGCTAGGATTACACAGGCGTGAGCCACTGAACCTGGCCAGAATCTTACTTTTAAAACAATTCACTTATATAAATATTCTAGAATGGTTCCTATGTAATTTCTCCTAGAGGGTGAACAATTTTTCTTCTCCTAGAGGGTGAACAACTTTTCTTGACTTTCAAAGTATCCTATAACACAGGGAAAAGTCACAATTTTCTGATTTCCTAAAACCTTGTCACCTGGATCAGACAAGATTTAATAGAAATTCAGGCACACTATCACCTATGTGAGAGAACCCTGCCAATTATCAAAGTTACACATGCCCCTCCCTAGCTGTTGATAGGAATTCAACAGAAACAACAGTTTCAATTACAGGGGATTCACCATCCAGGAAAGGACTGAAGACACCGAACCTCACATAACATTCTGCTCACTAATTTCTCACATATAAATAAGTAAATCTGTATCACAAAGGTCTCTGTCTAAAAAGCATTAGGCCGGGCATGGTGGCTCACGCCTGTAATCCCAGCATTTTGGGAGGCCGAGGCAGGTGGATCACCTGAGGTCAGGAGTTCGAGACCAACCTGGCCAGCAAGGTGAAACCCCGTCTCTACTAAAAATAGAAAAATTAGCTGGGAATGGCAGCGGGCGCCTGTAACCCCAGCTACTTGGGAGGCTGAGGCAGCAGAATCACTTGAACCTGAGAGGCGGAGGTTGCACTGAGCTGATATCCCACCACTACACTCCAGCCTGGGTGACAGAGTGAGACTCTTGTCTCAAAAACACAAATAAATAAAAGGCATTGGCTGGGCTCAGTAGCTCCCAGTACTTTGGGAGGCTGAGGCAGGTGTATCACCTGAGCTCAGGAGTTCAAAACCAGCCTGGCCAATGTGGTGAAACCCAATCTCTACTAAAAATACAAAAAATTAGCCGGGCGTGGTGGTGGGCGCCTGTAGTCCCAGCTACTCGGGAGGCTGAGGCAGGAGAATGGCGTGAACCTGGGAGGCGGAGCTTGCAGTGAGCCGAGATCGTGCCACTGCACTCCAGCCTGGGCAACAGAGTGAGACTCCGTCTCAAAAAAAAAAATTAGCCAGGTGCAGTGGTGCACGCCTGTAATCCTAGCTACTTGAGAGGCTGAGGGAGGAGAATCACTTGAATCCGGGAGGTGGAGGTTGTGGTTAGCCGAGATCACACAACTGCACTCCAGCCTGGGTGACAGGGCAAGACTCATCTCAAAAAATATGTTGTAGTAGTAGTAGTAGTAGTAGTAGTAGTAGTAGTAGTAGTAGTAATAAGCATTAAGCACCCAGCCTTTCTGCAGTCCTGGCTGGAAAGTGCCAATGTCCACTTTGATTTCGGGAGGTGGCTGGGTGGGACACGTGCAGGTGGTATGTTGGGGCCCAGGCTAGGTGCTTAGAAATCTGACCAGTAACTTTGGCCACATCCCTGACATCTTCACGAGACTGCCAGAACCCCTAAAGGGACCGCTGCTGCAGGGATGTCACCTGAGCTCATTTGGGTCACTATTCCACCCCCCACACTGGAATCTGCCCAATTGTCTGTCCATGCCACCCGACAGAAAGGGGGGCTCGATTCACGTGGGAACTGCAGAAGGGCAGGGAAGGCTCACCTGGATTGCCTGTCGTCCCTGCTGGGCATCTGCCAGCAGCTGGATGGTGAGTGCCCGTGAGTCCTGCAGTGCCTCCTGGAGGTAGATGAAGCTGTGGCCCCCATGCCGGCCCATTGTGCACTCACGACAGATGGGTACAGAGCAAGTGTCACAGTACAGGTGCAGCACCTGGGGACAAGAGAGGGTACAGGCATAAATGGAGATGCAGGACGGGAGGAGGAGGGAAGACAGCAACTGGAGGGCCCTGGCTCTCACAACCGAACGACCAGCTTCCCCAATGAGCAAGCACACCCCAAAGGGAGAGGCAGCAGTGGCGTAACTGCAAACATAACTAAAAATATCTGCTTCCTTTTTTCTCCCACTCTCTCTGCCCCAAATTAAGGGGGAATGGAGGGGGGAACACAACTGAATGCCATATCCCACTCTAGTCTCATTCAGAACTGTAACAGAGACACTTCGAAGGCAGAAACCAAACAAAACAAACCTCCTGGCATGAGAGTTTGCCCTGAATCTTAGCTTCATTATCCAGAAAAGTTGTTAAGACTGTGTTACCTAGTCTGATATTAGTGGCCTGGATGTAAGAATGTACCAGAAAAGTTTCCTTTGCTGCTCTAGCCTAGATGTGTGAAGCAAGGTTAAGAGCCAGTAACAACCATCCTCACACCACAGGTAGTAATGCAAAGTGCAAAGCATGGTTCTCCCAGGCACTCAAGCAAGCTACAGGCTTAAGTTTCTGGAACGAAGGCAAAAAGCTAGTGGTAAGGTCAGCCAGCTCCTTGCCTTTCTTCTTCATGCCAAGTTATTCCAAGGAGTTGAACCTGGGAGGCAGCCAGTGCTGACAGAACTGCTTTATGTGATGTTCTACACTTCCCTGGGGCCCAGCACGCTGGGAGGGAGGGAGGGAGGGAGGGAGGGAGGGAGGAAGAGAGAGAAGGGCTGGCACAACCTTTACCTGCTAATAAACAAGGAGCTCTCAAGAGAGAAAACTCCTTGGCATAGAAACTGGGCCAGTCTCATTACTGTATCTCTCCACAGAGCAGGGCACTTAGCGCCACTCTGTAAATGTTTGCTGGATTGCTTTCAAGAGCAGAGCTTAAATTTGCCTCTGGTACACCTGGGCATGAGGGGAAGCTAGCTAACATGCAACAGGCAGGGAAGCAGTATACAAATACAACACCCACACTTCATCTCCAGGTGAGGACAGGAGTTGGGGAGTGCTCAAGGCCACAGTGTTAGCAAAGACACAGCAGGGAAGCCAGCATGAGCCTTCTACAGAGCTGGTTCCAACACAGGTATGACACCAGCTCTCTCATCACCAGTACAAAGCACCTTGCTAGGTATGGTGGAGATCCAGGATGTGAGATTCCAGGCGATTCTGCGCAGACTGAATAGAAGCTCATTCTGGTGAGAAGCAAGGCAGAGTGTTGTGGGAGACAGAGATGGGGAGAAGGCTTGGAAGTGGCCCAGAAGGTTTTCTTAGGCGGAGAGCTCCAAAAAGAGAGGGCTGGGGGCAAACAGAGGGAGACTGCTGCTTCTTTCCTTCTCCAAGTTCTTTATTTTATTAACAACCAAAATCTTCACATAAAGTGTGTCCACTAGAAAAATGCTCCCCCTAAATGGTTCACTCAAGCACACAGAAGTTACTCCACTCGGGGCTAATTGAGTTAATAGGGAAGTGTGTAATCTAGGATGGGTTAAACTGGTTCTCTAGAAACTTTACGATTCAGAAACAGGAAAAACGAAAGATTTAGGATATTGTGTTTTTACTTTTGTTAAGTAACAGTTCTGCTATAACCAGGAGGTTTTTATGGATCCTACTTTATTTGTTTGTTTTTGAGACAGAGTCTTGCTCTTGTCACCCAGGCTGGAGTGCAGTGGCGACGCGATCTCGGCTCACTGCAAGCTCTGCCTCCCGAGTTCATGCCATTCTCCTGCCTTAGCCTCCCTGGGAGTAGCTGGGACTAAAGGTGCCTGCCACCACGCCCAACTAATTTTTTTATATTTTTAGTAGAGATGAGGTTTCACCCTGTTAGCCAGGATGGTCTCGATCTTCTGACCTCGTGATCCACCCACCTTGGCCTCCCAAAGTGCTGGGATTACAGGCGTGAGCCAACGCACCCGGCCCAGATCCTACTTTATACAAGGGAAATGTGGTAAGGTTTGTAACTTTCCTACTAATTTTGATCACTGCAGTGCTTTGCCAGCAATGGTGGCAGACTGAAACCAGGTAGCAGCAACTTGCCTCCTTTAAATCAGTTGCTTTTAAAGCTGATCTATCCTTCAGAGATTATCTAATCCTAATAATCTTTTAAATCTAAAATTCTCAAGTATAAATACTAATCAAAAGATGCTGAGCTGGATAAATTCAGGAAAAATTCCTGGCCAATCCCTTTTTACGACCTGGTGCTAAAGCAATTCTACCAGTTTGAACGACGTTCCTTTCCTTTGCTCTCTCCATTTGTCATGGGAATGAAGGGATCACTCCTATGCTGATGTGAAGTGTGAAAACCCTTCCATCAGAAAGTTTCTTGTACATGTGAATAAAACATGCCACCAAACCTTCGGGTGGCCTCCCTGCTTCTAACAGCTAAGCAACCTTGAGAACGCATCCGTTCTTTCCCTCTTCTCAAGACAGCTGTGTGGACTGAATGGCACTCTCCTGCTTCCTTCGGACTAAGGGGCTCTTGCAAATTGTAACTACCTAGATTGCTCTCATCTCCATGGCTAGTGAGTACTGGCACTACCTGGCTATGGAACCATCTGTCCAATCACCTCTCTTGACCTGTCTGGGCTTCAGTCTCATCTGTGAAACAAAAGGGGCCTGACTGGGTACCTCCGGAAGACCCCCTTCCACCCCAGAAAGTCTACCTAATAGAGACTTGACAACAGAAACTAAAGAGCTTCAAAATTAAGTTCTAGTAGCTGGACGTGGCAGCTCATGCCTGTAGTCCAAGCTCCTTGAGAAGCTGAGGCTAGAGGAACACTTGGGCCCAAACTACCAAAAAAAAAAAAAAAAATTGCTGGGCGTGGTGGCTCACGCTTGTACTCAGGAGCCTGAGGTGGGAGGATTCCTTGAGCCTAAGAAGTTGAGGCTGCAGTGAGCCGTGACCATGGCACTGAATTTAGCCTAGGCAACACGGGCTAAGAGTGCAAAACAAACAACAACAACAGAACAAGTAGTAAGTTCTGGGCTGAGCCAGGGTGCCCATTCCAGACTCCAACTATGTAACTATAAAGAATTAAGGTGATTTTTCTTAGGTTTAGATCAACCTCAAAATACAGAACCTGGATGATGCTGGACATTTGCAATCCCCCCATGAATGGTAGGTTTTAAAAGATTCTGCAGATGCAGTAGCCAGAAAAAAATCCTGGTCAGAACAGGTAGTGGCCGGTATGGCAGCGAAAGGCAGGGTGCCCTGAGCCGACACCAGAGCCCTCCTGTGACCAGCCTTGAGAGCCCAGATATACAAATGAAAGGGGTCTCTGAATGCAATCCCTGCTTGGTATCATTTTACACAGGATCGATGCAGTTCTAAGTACCCAGAACACACTGTGGTTTCAGAAGAGCCAGTGCTTTCACAGCTCCAGGCCGCCTGCAACAGAGATGGGGACAGGGAGCACCCAAATGGTTGATAATAAAAAGCTACCAGTGAGTAAAAGAATGGCCTCAATGTGCTCGTTATTAGTAAACAATGAATTTTTAAAAGAATGCATTGTCCAAAAACTATAAAATGAAATCCACTTTTATAAACCTTCCAGCTAAAAGTTGGAGCAGAACTTTGGTAGGATTTCATGCTTCATTTAGAAGCTCCATGTCTCATCTAACCACAATTTGAAACTGAAAAACCACAATTTTAGAGCTGTTAAAACAATCGATAGGTAAGGATGTGCATGGATGTAATTCTCTCTGAAACAGGTGTAAAATTATTTTTAAGGAAATAAACTGGAGCTGTGTGGAGGGTCCTATAGCCAGAAATGTGGTAGTAGCCATGAACAGCGGCTCCCGGGAAAGGGGGGAAGGGACTGGGAAGAACAGGTCGTCTAGCAGCAGGAATTCCAGGGCCTGTTTGGGGCTTCCCGGGCAGATGCACAGACACGCCCCCTCGGGCCTGGCGACAATCCGGCTGCCCCAGCTAAATGGAGGAGGCTTGACCTCTGACCCTGCAAGTGACCACCCTCTTCCCTGCCCCCAGCTTCCAGAACGTCCCACCCATTGCCTTCCTCTCCCCAAAATCTAGAATACCAGGCAGAGACAAAGACCTAGGAATGTGAGCCCAGCAGGAAAGGAACGGGCGGGAGACTAGGCCGGGAGGAATGGGGGAGGGAGGTTAAAGGAAAATAAATAAATAAAAATACAAAGTAGGCATGTTTGTACCTTAGCCAGTGTTTAAATAAAATGCTTTGTTAATGAACGTGTGTGCACGCATGTGTGCACATGCAAATGCACGTGCACCCAGGCTTCTGGAATCTAGATTTTACACTATCTGTGGCCCAACAAGGAACACACACACCAAGGGACATCTGAAAGAATGAGCTTCAGGTTTAAAACACAACTACCCCTATCAGTGAAGAATGTAAGCTGAAAGGACAGAGGAAGGCCCAGATTGCCATTTAAGTTCATCGAAATGTCTCAACTAAAATACATAAACTGCTGTAAACTTTTTAAAGATTAGTTTGGTATCCCTTAAAATGACTGAGGACATTTACTTGGGCTCCCACAAACCAAGGCTGAACCGCTGACACCTGGCTAGATCTCCACCCACCCAAGAGGGTTTCTGAGTTTCCCACTACAGAAGTAAAGTGGAGGCAACAACAGGTTCCAGAAGCAAATGAGGCCCAGAAGAAGCCTTACCTGTGTGTGCTACTCTGCAGGTTCTCACGTGGGACAACACAAGATTCGTTTTAAAAATGATAAGCCAAGTTCAAGGAGGTAAAATCTAGCCATGAAATAAGTCTATTAAGTAATATTAAAACAACGCTTTACTTGACTGAGATAGACTGAGTGCTTGTGCTCAAATCTGCAGCCCAAACCCTCAGCAGAAGCCTCTCCTGTAGCCCTGGCCACGTGCTGCCCCACAACTATGGCCTGGATAAATATAGGAAAGGAATAGGGACCCAGTTCAGGCATAGTCCTCACCAGTTCAAGACAACAGAGCCCCGCTGCAGACACATTATCCTTTCTGTGGTGGGAGTATGAGGAGGGAGTGTTTCCAAAACACTTTTTATTTGGCTAGGTAACAAGTATTTGTTCAAATGCAGAAAGTAATACAAGCAAACAGTTTTTTAAAAAAAAAAAAAACCCTAATGTCTCACTCAATTGTCTCCACTTTAACCATGAAAAAAAAAAAAGCTTTATTCTAGGCGTAACTTAGTTTTTTAAGACAAAACAAAGTTTCTCTTAACTATATTAACTTGGAGAATGTTCTGGGTCACTCCGTGCAGAGATGCCTGGCTTTCCGAATGGCTGCATGGTATGTTGCTATATGAATGTACCACAACTTAATGAGTATAGGCTAATAAAATTGTAAAACTGTTTCCTGATTTTTGAAAAATCGCAAGCAGTGCCACAGTTAACATCCTTGTTCTTTACAGAATCCCTAGTTTTCAATTTGGTAATATATTCAATTGTTACATCACTTGATATAATGGTTATTGGGGGAAACCTACTTGCAAGCTTGGATAGTAAGAATTCCCGAATTCTTTTTAGTCAGGTCGACCTTCACCCATGTGAAGGGCAAAGTACCAGTTTCTGTTCTCAACACAACCAAAAACAAAAGGCCAGCAGGGGATGCCAGGAGAGGCAGTCAGTATGGACACAGTTCACAGTTGGAATTGGAGTTAAGATCTACTCCTGCTTGGGTGGAAGGCTTTGATGGGTGCCAACATTGAAAAGGGGCCTACAAGAGGAGCAGTCCAAGGAAAGAAAAAGTCTTGTTGTGTTGCGTTCTGGCAGTCTCAGCAGCGTCTGTTAAATAAGATTAAGCGGGGCTGCTTCATGGTATCTCTAGAAATTGAAGGAATCTCAGGCAATAAAAAAAGGGGTGTTAGGAATTAAAACACACACACCACACACAAGCAATTAACACACACACCCTGAGGCCCACAATCCCCTTTCTGCAACTCCAACATCCAAGACGATGCTCTGGAAAACAAAAGTTGTTCCATATACTATTTGGCAGCAAAACTGATGTGCAACACGGTACTATAGTTATTATAGTATTTTTGACAATCACTGAGTACATTTTTATGTGTTCTCACCACAAAAAAATAAGTATGTGAGGCAATGCATGTTAATTAGCTCAATATACATACTCTACAATGCATACAGACTTCAAAACATGTTGTACACAATAAATATGTAAGATTCTGGCTGGGGATGCTGGTTTAGGTCTACAATACCAGCACTTTGGGAGGCCAAGACAAAAGGATCACTTGAGCACAGGAGATGAAGGCTATAGTGAGCCATGATCGCACCGCCGCACTCCAGCCTAGGCCACAGAGCCCGAGACCCTGTCTCAAAAATATGTATGTATATATACACACATACACACACACACAAATTTTTGTCAATAAAATAATTTTAAAAACTGAAACTGGTGTGAAAATGATCAATCATTTTTACCTATGTCATTTAGTAAATGTTTATGTATTTCACTGCAAAACTAATGTTCTTTTGCAGTCCCATTATATGTATTATGTAAATGCACAGTATTAAACGTACACATGTAATACTGTCTGGCTGAACAAGATTCATTCCCAGGCTAAACAAGCAATATAACATGTGAAGATCTAAAAAAGAGGAGGGGGAGGGGGGTGGTAAAAGTGGGAGTGTCCAAGAACAATCTGCAGTGGGGTCAGAGGCATCTACTCATCTCAAATTTAAATGTTTGGGCTCCATGGACAAGACAATTTGAAAGGAAAACTTGAAATCAGAGAGGGATGCCGTTATCTCTGCATCTGAACTCATCGCAACTGCTGGTACCCAGGGAGAGGTATAGTTTGACAAACATAAAATGTCATCTGTTAGCACTTGTTCACTTTAAGTTTTTATGTGACTCCAAAAACCACACCATGCTCCCTTCTTCCCTAATTTTCTTTAAAAATTCTTCACTACCACTGACTGCTGCTCCCCAAAAAGTTGCCATTACTCCTCTCCAACAGCAGCCAACCAACCACACCTCGCAAGCCCCTGCTCCCCCAATGCCCCATTCTACAAGACTTCCAAAACACTGCGTAGGTTCCTTCTATCACCTGCTCCCCTGCTTGTGGGACCAGGCCCCACAATCACACAGGCCCTTGGTGAAGTGGTCCAGCTTCACAAGTCCCTGAATTATTTTCCATCGACACGGCCCTGTCCAAAGTCTCGGAGCCTCAACATACTCCAGTAGCACACCACCATGTCTAGGTGTTTCTCCTGAACACACAGCTCTTACTAATAACACACAAAACACAAAGCATTGATCAGGCGTGGTGGCTCACGCCTGTAATCCCAGAACTTTGGGAGTGCGAAGAGGGCAGATCACTTGTTGACTAGCCTGGCCAACATGGTGAAACCCTGCCTCTACTAAAAATACAAAAATTAGTGTGGGGGCAGGCCCTGTAATCCTAGCTACTCGGGAGGCTGAGGCAGAATAGATTGAACCCAGGGGGCAGAGATTGCAGTGAGGCGAGATCACGCCACTGCACTCCAGCCCAGGAGACAGAGCAAGACTCCATCTCAAAACAGAACAAATAAACAACCAAACAAAAAGGCCTGGTGCAGTGGTTCACGCCTGTAATCCTAGTACAGGCGCATGCCTGTAATCCATCTCCAAAAAAAAAACAAAAATCCTGGAAGCATCATGTTTTAAAAGTAAGTCATGTTGTACATGGTGGCTCACGCCTGTAATCCCAGCACTTTGGGAGGCTGAGGCAGGCAGATCACTGGAGGTCAGGAGTTTGAGACCAGCCTGGCCAACATGGCAAAACCCAT
Organism: Homo sapiens; assembly: GCF_000001405.40. Lineage (NCBI taxonomy): Eukaryota > Metazoa > Chordata > Mammalia > Primates > Hominidae > Homo > Homo sapiens. Next base: position 234,239 of record NW_025791770.1, on the reverse strand, counting down.
CTCCTCTAAATACACAAAAATTAGCCAGGCGTAGTGACGGGCATCAGTAATCTCAACTACTCAGGAGGCTGAGGCAGGAGAATCGCTTGAGCCCAGGAGGCAGAGGTTGCAGTGAGCCAAAATCTCCACTGCCTCCAGCCTGGGTGACAGAACAAGTCAGACTCTGTCTTAAAAAAAAAAAAAAAAAAAAAAAAAAAAGGTGGGGCGGGGGGGGGGGGGGGCCGGCGGGCGGCAAATTAAAAGGTCCAGATAGTGAAAGTGACTAAATTCTGTTTACAGAGTTGAATGCTGGAATTTGGCTGGGCTTACTTGCTGACTTGATAAAAAGAGAAACAGCCTCATTTCTGGCTCACAGGAACTATCAGAACTATTAAAAGTGTGAAAATGAGTTCATCCTGGAAGAAAATCATTTTCCCCCAGCAATGACTCTCTTAAGGAAGATGAAAACCCAGATAAGAACAATGCCCTGGGCAGCACAGCAAACGCCTTCGACCAGTTTTGGCAGAGTCAGACAAAGTAGTTTCATGAATATGTCTCTTGCTGCCGCCCAACCCACACAGCCATCAGTGTGGCCTGAGAAAGGGTGGTGTAACTCGTGTATGTAGTTTTCCGTGATTCTGACCCTCCGCAGGCTGCAACAGTGGGTTTTTTGGTTTGTTTTTGTTTGCTTGTTTTTTGTTTTTTTGAGATGGAATCTTGCTCTGTCCCCTACGCTGGACTGCAGTGGTGTGATCTCAGCTAACTGCAACCTCCAACCCCCGAGTTCAAGTGATTCTCCTGCCGCAGCCTCCTGAGTAGCTGGGACTACAGGCGCGTGCCACCACACCCAGCTAATTTTTTGTATTTTTAGTAGAGACGGGGTTTCATCGTGTTAGCCAGGATGGTCTCAATCTCCTGACCTCATGATCCGACTGCCTCGGCCTCCCAAAGTGCTGGAATTACAGGCGTGAGCCACTGCGCCTGGCCCTGCTACAGTGAGTTTTACAGGGCAGGAGCAATCCTCCAGGTGAACCATAAGGGGCAGAGGTCGAGGTAAAAGGAGAGGAGGGGATTCCGGCAGGGAAAATGACAGGCACCCCCCATGTTGAGCTAAAATTAGCACTTCTCCAGACCTTTGTGAACACACACACACACACACACACACACACACACACACACACACACACACCACTTAATTTTTAAAAGTATAATCATGATGTTGCAAAATACCAACTGGGGGACAACACACATGCCAAGTGGGGGAAGAGGGATGCATACTGGGGAATGTAGCTATGCCTGACATTTCCTTTACCCAGACTATCCACTCTACACCGGACCTGAGCCTGAGCCCTGAGGGCAGACGGCAGACACTCATGCTCTGCCCCTGGGGGCACTGGGGTGTCAGGACCCTGTTGACATCCTGCATCCTGCCTTTCAAAGCAGGGGATCTCGAATAAACAACACGTCCTCCACACTCTGCCTCTGGCGAACCCAGCGGGCACCAGCTCCCTAGGCCCTTTGGACTTACTTGACTCCCAGATCAGAATCTGCTTTTTGGGCTGGCACCTTGTTATCTTCACCCACCCCACACAGCTTGAGGCAAACTCATGGCCCACCAGCCCACCACCTTCAGTTTCTCACACATTTCCTGAAGGCTCTGCAATAAAAGGGCATCTTCCTAAGAGTGCCACACCTGTGCTTGGGGTGTCCTCTAACAGATCCAAGTTACACTACACAATACTCAGTGACAGCTTAGAAAATGCCAGAGTTGTGTTTTGGATTACTGCCTCCCAAATATAGTTTTGAACAAATAAAAACTTGATAGCTACTCAGAAGGCTGAGGTGGGAGGATTGCTTGAGCCCAAGGAGTTCAAAGTTACATCAAAGTTACAGCAAGTTATGATCATTCCACTGCACTCCAGCTTGGGCAACAGAAACCCTGCCTCAATCAATCAGTCTTGGATGTTTAAAAGTAAAAACAAAACTTCCACATCAACATACACCGTGGTACATACACACAACAGGATGTTTGTCAGTAACTACACACAAGAAGTTCAGGCGTGGTGGCTCATGCCTGTAATCCCAGCACTTTTGAGAGGCCGAGGCGGGTGGACCATTTTTAGTCAGGAGTTTGAGACCAGCCTGGCCAACATAGTGAAACCCCATCTCTACTAAAAATACAAAAGTTAGCCAGGCCTGGTGGTGGGCACCTGTGGTTCCAGCTACTCAAGAAGCTGAGGCAGGAGAATTGCTTGAACCCGGGAGGCAGAGGCTGCAGTGAGCCAAGATCTCACCACTGCACTCCAGCCTGGGTGACAGAGGAGACTCCGTCTCAAAAAAACAAAAACAAAAACAAATAAATAAATATACCTACATACAAGAAGCTTAAAGGCACTAAGACTGGTGAAAAAGCTAAAATCAAGAGAATATATTGCATAACTCCATTTATTAATATATGAAGATAAAACTCAACGTGGAAGAAAACAACAGTAGTTGCAGGTGAGAACGAGGGTGAACTAGAGGGACCCCAAGGGAATCCTTCTGGAATTAGAGAAAATCTATATCTTGATGCGAGGATTGATTACACAGGTATATATAAATCATCAAAAGTCAAAATGTACACTTAGCCCGGCCAACAAAGACCCTGTCTCTACAAAAGAATTAAAAATTAACCAAGCATGGTGGGGCATGCCTATAGTCACAGCTGAGGCAGAAGGATGGCTTGATGAGCCCAAGAGTTCGAGGCTGCTGTGAGCCATGTATGCACCACCGCAGTCAGCCTGGCTCAAGCCAGACACAGCAAGACCAGCTCCAAAAAAAAAAAAAAAAAAAAAAAAAAGGTTCAATTAATACTCCTCCCTCCCAAAAGTGAGGGGAGAATCCTTCCACTGACAACCTAAGTTGTTGAGGGGGTGATGCTTGGAGCTTGGCCACAGCGCAGCACTCTTCATAGCTAAGGACCTAATAAAATACTCATGGAGCCCATAAATGAGTTAACTCCAATGGCCCCACATAATTTACTTCTAATAGGTTGCTACCATTTTTTCCACAATGTTCCCATTAGGTATTATTTTTCCTCTGCCCTCTACTATAAATATTATCTTAAGTTATATCTCGCAAGAGGCAACCTCCCTGGAGGTTTTGAAAAAATTAGAACCCTGAGTCCCGATTTACAGCACCACAGGCGGCCAGCGGTCATACAAAGCCATATGAAATCATTAGTGTCCCAGCTGCCGCCCCGGCATGCATCTGACCTCTGATGTATTAATGAGTGGCCCATGCAGCTTCCAGCAGCAAATAAAAGAGATTTGTTCCAACACTGAGATCACTGCCCATGTAAATTATATATTTTTAAACTGGACACGAAAGACAGATTTGGACGTAGACACACAAGTTTTCCAGCTGCCTCCAAGGTTGCAAAAGCAAGGCAAGGTTTTAATCTGTTGTGCTATGGACAAGAGTCAGTGGTACTTTGGGGCTGACATTTAAAAAATGGTCAGACTCTGTAGGTGGCCATGTAACTCAGTCCTCGCCTCTTAAACAGCGGGCAACAGTGTACACCTGAAACCCTTTCAGTTCCTAAAGAAGCCAAGTAGGTTTCAATCACCCATGTGGCTGAGATGGTGTAGAAAGGCAGAATTTTTTAAAGCAAGGGAAGGCACTCATCACCTGGGTAAAACTGTCCTGAGAAGAGAAGCAGAAATACAGACTCAGATGAGAATACACTAGTAATAAAAACTGTTAGTAAATATTACTAGTCACATTTTCTACCTTTAACACAACCGAGCACTTCCCTCCTCTCTGCAAGTTCCATCATCTTGTGTCCTTGTCCCCTGCATTACTTAGTTGCCTTCTGTCTTGATTAGGGTTAGTGAATCAAGGTTACACTGTCCTATTGGTTGATAAGGCCTAGAGCCAGTTACCTTTCTAGGCAATGCCTCCCACCTGCTCCCCTCCTCCCCCAAAAATCAAGCAGTTAAGATATTACTATAGAAATTTTGTTTTAATACAGAGTTGTTCACAGGCAGTAATTATTTTAAATTGGGAAGTGACCAATCCTGGGAAGCAGTGGATAGCACACACGTGGCCTCTGTGAATTCTCTGAATGCCAAGAAGTACCCGTGCTGCACTGGGATTGCCGAGGCTCAGGTGGGGTGTGGGGGTGTGGAAGAGTGGGTGCTGGGGCATGTCTGTGAATTACGGAGATTTGTCTCCAAGTCCCAAGTCTGGGCTCTTCTATGGCATTCCCCAAAACTGCACCTGTCAAGGAGAGTATTAAAGAGAGAAGCCAGACACACTCTCCCAGTACCTCATCTTCCCCCCGACATTCCAGCAATTACAAGAGCCTTTCTTGACATCTTTCTCTGTAAGTAAAAGGCAAAATGAGCGAGAGCAGAGCAAACATCTTCAGTGCAAAAGCAGGTGAAAGAGGGATGCTTAGTCTTATAAAGAAAATGATTTTTATTTTTTTGTAGAGACAGGAACTCACTTTGTTGCCCAGGCTGGTCTTGAACTCCGGAGTGTTCCTCCCACCTTGGCCTGCCGAGGTGTTTGGATTACAGGCGTGAGCCACCGCGCCTGGCCAACAATTTATTTATTTATTGGCTGGGCACGGTGGCTCATGCCTGTAATCCCAGCACTTTGGGAGGCCAAGGTAGGTGGATCACCTGAGGCCAGGAGTTCGAGACCAGCCTGGCCAACATTGTGAAGCATGCCTGTAATCCCAGCTACTCAGGAGGCTGAGGCAGGAGAATTGCTTGAACCTGGAGGCGGAGGTTGCAGTGAGCCGAGATCGTGCCACTGCACTCTGGCCTGGGCAACAGAGACTCCATCTCAAGAAAAAAAAAAAGATTATTTACTTTATTTTATTGAGACAGTCTTGCTCTGGCTGGAGTACAATGACACGATCTCAACTCACTGCAACCTCTGCCTCCCGGGATCAAGCGATTCTCCTGCCTCAGCCTCCAGAGTAGCTGGGACTACAGGCACGTGCCACAACACCTGGCTAATTTTTGAATTTTCAGTAGAGATGGGGTTTCAGCATGTTGGCCAGGCTGGTCTCAAACTCCTGCACTCAAGCGATCTGCCTGCCTCGGCCTCCCAAAGTGCTGGGATTACAGGCATGAGCCACCGCGCCCAGCCCCACGATTTATTTTTAAAAACCCTTTTCAAGTTAGTGTTTGTAGCCTCTACTCCAAAAGTGGGAAACCTACCCTGCAGACACCTCTACAAATGTCAAAGGGGCAACAGGCCAGCCACGCAGAGCCCAGGCCAGGCCAGGCAGCCTGCTTTAGGAGCTTCTGAGATGGAAGCTACCTATCTGTCCCCTACACAGGGGAGTAACCTGAGGAAGGTGGGCCCCACGGCTGTGATCTAGGCAGTTACTGGGCAGGTTAAGAGTCGTCCCACCTCCCCAAGAGAAACTCCAAACTGTAGAGAGCAATGGTGATCTTCTCTTACCAACCATCAATAATCTAGAGGGTCCTGGGTAGAGCAATGAGGAGAGTAGGGCAACTGAAATGAGGCATAAAAGGCAAAATACCTCAAATTTAAAGGCCTTTTTAAAGAAAGGTGTGAGGGGTCAGGTGCAGTAGCTCACGTCTGTAATCCCAGCACTTTGGGAGTCCGAGGCAGGTGGATCACCTGAGGTCAGGAGTTCGAGACCGGCCTGGCCACAGCGAAACCCTGTATCTATTAAAAATACAAAATATAGCTGGGCGTGGTGGTGGGCGCCTGTAATCCCAACTACTTGGGAGGCTGAGGCAGGAGAATTGCTTGAACCCGGGAAGTGGAGGTTGCAGTGAGCAGAGATCGCACCATTGCACTCCAGCCTGGTTGACAAGAGTGAAATTCCATCAGAGAGGGAAGGGGAGGAGAGGGGAGGGGAGAGGGGAGGGAAGAGGGGAGGGGAGGAGAGGAGAGGGAAGGGGAGAGAAGAGGGGAGGAGAGAACAGGAGGAGAGGGGAGGGAGAAAGAGAAAGCACAACAAAGGGTGGGCCAAAGGGCCTAGGCAAACCAGAAGAAACTGGCCCAACAGGGAACAGAACTGGGTGGCAGGAAAGCTGGATTCCTTAGGTGGTATGACCTGAGGAAGAAGGGCCCAGCCCATGCAGGAATCACATGGGGATAAACCCACCCACCGCAAAAAGATCAATTCAGCTGCCAAACCAGGAACCATGTTACTGGGCTTCACTAAGGACAGAAATAAAGTCCCAGTCCCTTGGCTGCTCCCCATCCCTCTTCCCACCAGTGTGCACAGTCCACTACAAAGAAGCAGTCATTACAGCAGGATGTAAGCAAAGACCAAGTGAAGTGACCCCTGGAAAGCCAGGGAACCCAGGCACCCAGGCCAGCGGCATTCCGGGCAGGGAAATGTCAACTAAATGGTAATAAGATACAATCAGAAGAAAGACCAACATTTGGGGAAACTGTATGCAAAACCACTGGAATCAAACCCCTCTCCAGAACCCCAAAGTTGGCCAGGCACAGTGGCTCACGCCTGTAATCTCAACACTTTGGCAGGCCAAGGCAGGCGGATCACCTGAAGTCAGGAGTTCAAGAACCAGCCTGGCCAATGGTGAAACCCCATCTCTACTAAAAAAACACAATTAGCCAGGCATGTTGATGTGTGCCTGTAATCCCAGCTTCTTGGGAGGCTGAGGCAGGAGAATCGTTTGAACCCAGGAGACAAAGGTTGCAGTGAGCCGACATCACGCCACTGCACTCCACCCAGGCAATAAAGCGAGACACTGTCTCCAAAAGAAAAAAGAAAACCCTAAAATCGCGGTACCACTCATCATGTTTTTCCTCTTTTTGCAAATGATGGTAATGAAAAATAATTTCAAGTCTCAGGTATGAATGTTAATCAGAAATCCTACCTCATTCCAACAAATGAAGCTTGTTGGATGCTCAAGCGTGCTGTTCGACAGAACTTGTGAAACAGGAAACAGGCACCCACTGCCCAGACTGAGCAGGTCACGAAGCCAGGAGAAACCCCACACTTCTGCCCTATAAAAGTGGTGAGGGGCAGAGCCTCACCATCCACCCCATCAGATACACAAGGGTAAACTTCACAAAGATGGGAAAAGCCAGACCTGCTATGGTGGGAAAAAGAAAATTCACAAGCTCTTAGCTGGTGAAACAATCAGGTGGTTTCAGTTACATAATCGAAGTTTTCAGGAGACTTTTCTAAGCCCTCAAATTAGTCTTTACTTGGGTCCTGAAATTCCTGTCTTGCTCCATCTGGCCCTGAACAAGTCACCCTTACTTTGTCTATCACTTAAAGTCAGGAAAAGGTGATACACATGGCACAAGAAACCTAAATATTTGGCTCTGTCCTTCCCCCAAATTGTTCTGAGGCCCTACGTGGCTTTCCTTAGTCTTTCCACAATACTCATCCCACTGCATCTAAAACTCTTCCCCAAGAAGAGGTGGCCAGGGAGGCTCAGGCTGTTCAGCTGGGCCTCCCGGCTCTCCCAGAACTTCCTCCTGGGCCTCCAACTCCATCTGTTTTAGAGACAGCTCTTAAAGTTGGTCTGTACTCAGACTCAGAGACTATGAGGCCACAGTATCCTGGCCTCATAGTCAAGTGTGCTGTGTTCACTGCTAATTTTTAAACTATTTACATCGGATTTAAGACTGTGCTAAAAGCCTTGAAAGAAAAAACAACTTGAGAAGCTTCTATTCCCAGAGCTGTTCGACCGTCAGTCTGGGCAGGTTTGCTCACGATGTCTAGGCTTAACTGTTAACAGAACCCCTTTCACTCTCACCCATGGCCTGATTTGGAAAATATACCCCTGCTAGAGAGGATCAGTAAGACAAATGAGGAACTAACCAAAATACAGTTGACCCTTGAACAACACGGGTTTGAAACACAAGGGTCCACTTATACATAGATTTTCTTCTACCTCTGCCACCCCTAAGACAGCAAGACTAAACCCTCCTCTCTCTCTTCCTCCTCAGCCTACTCAAAAGACAAGGAGGATGAAGACCTTTATAATGATCTACTTCCACTTAAATAGTAAACACGTTTTCTTCTTCTTTTTGTGTCCCGCCCCTCACCCCGAGACTGAGTCTCACTCTATCACCCAGGCTAGAGTGCAGTGGTGCGATCTCGGCTTGCTGCAGCCTCCGCCTCCTGGGTTCAAGCGATTCTCATGCCTCAGCCTCCAGAGTAGCTGAGATCACAGGCACCCACTACCACACCCGGCTAATTTTTGTGTTTTTAGTACAGACACGGTTTCGCCATGTTGGCCAGGCTGGTCTTGAACTCCTGACCTCAAGTGATCCACCTGCGTCGGCCTCCTGAAGTGCTGGGATTACAGGCATGAGCCACTGCACCTGGCCATTATTATTTTCTTAGTAACATTTTTTTCTATCTTACTTTATTGAAGAATATAGCAGCACATAATACATGTAACATACAAATAATACATAATACATGTATTAATTGACTTTATATTATCTGTAAGAATTCTAGTCAACAGCATACTATATAGGTTTTGGGGAGTCTACACACAAATTTGACTGTACAGGGCGTCAGCGCCCCTAACCCCCCACATTGTTCAAGGGTGAATTAATTGCACATGAGGCCAGTTAGAAAAAAATTGCTTGCTAAAAATGGCTAGAAATTTTGCACAGAATGACTCCAAGAAGAACTTCAGCCACTGCCTAGGAGACACTGCAGTAGCATGCCCTTGTGCTAAGCAGGTAAATCAGAAATAGCTTCTCAGGGAGAATGGGACAGACCCAGGAGGACTGAGGTGGAAGATTTACAAATCTGCCAGTTAAAAGGAACAGCTTGAGCAAAGAAGCATGCTATTCCTGACCAAAGTGCAGAGGAAGAATTCGAAGTAAAACAGAGGGAACAGGGGACCCAGGGAAAGCTCCTGAAGAGAAGTGTGTACATGGCAGTTGGGTGACCTTGAGGGGCCAGAGGTTAGTGATTGTTCCAGCCACGTGGAAGGAGGCCAGGACACAACTTTGGGCCAACTTGTGTTGTGGAGTCAGAAAACCCGGGTTCAAATGTTGAGTGGTCCTTCTCCAGCAATTTTGGATAAGCTGGCTCACTGAGCTGTTTTCACCCATAAATGGGGATACTACATTTCCTCTCGGGGTGGTGGTGGAGAATTCATCCTGAGAGTACATGAAACCCAAAAATGTCCGTGGCAGTTCCAGAAAGAAAAGGCGTGGTCATGAGCCCGTAAGGGTTCCAGCCTGGTAAGTGGCAAGGCAAGTTAAATCACAGTGTTTGCAAGGCAGGACTGACAATGAGCCAAGAAGGCACTCCTGCCCCGGGTTCTCCAGGTTACTTTGTTTGCTCGTTGAAAAGAACGTTGAGAGATTTCATAAATAAGATTGGGAGAAAGCATGCTGAATGATGACCTCTGACCCTACATGTCCCAAATTCCTCTGCAGGAGGCCAGTGACTCCACTCTTATTCATGTCCAGTCAAAACAGCCTTTCACCCCTTTCACCTTCCACCAACAGAGGTCCTATTTTTAACATCCAGTACATTTCCTTATTGCCTCATGCTTGGCACTATGATGTCCTTGCCCTCAAAGTGTTATCAGTCTAAAAGAAGGGACAACTGAATAAGGCCAGCTGAGATGTAATCTCAGAGAACTTCCTGGAGGAGGAGAAGTCAAGTCTTAAAGTGCAAGTAGGGATGGGGGGGCAGGGGAGCGGTGAAAGTTCCAGGTAAAGAAAACTATTAGAGGGCCAGGTGCGGTGGCTCACGCCTGTAATCCCAGCACTTTGGGAGGCCGAGGCAGGCGGATCACGAGGTCAGGAGATCGAGACCATCCTGGCTAACATGGTGAAACCCCGTCTCCACTAAAAATACAAAAAAATAGCCGGGCGTGGTGGCGGGCACCTGTAGTCCCAGCTACTCCGGAGGCTGAGGCAGGAGAACGGTGTGAACCCAGGAGGCGGAGCTTGCAGTGAGCCCAGATTGCGCCACTGCACTCCAGCCTGAGTGACAGAGCGAGACTCCGTCTCAAACAAACAAAAAAGCAAAAATAAATAAATAAATAAATAAATAAAACTATTAGAGAAAACTAGGTACCTTCTAGCTCTGCCTAAGTCAGCACCAACAATGAACTCCAATCCAGGCTCTGCTCAGATGGTGCCTGTAGGAGAGGCCAGCTACCCATCTTGGGGCATCTCTCCTGTATGCTGTCCCTCTGAACTGTGGGTTGTTTTATAAACAGTACAGAAGCAGCTCATTAGCCCTGTGTACCACATAGGGCATCCCTTCCCTCACCACTTAAACCACATGTCAGCTTATACTGGGGTCTCTCTGAGATCCTTCCTCCTCTCTCTCAGCCAGGGTCTCCCTCCTGCTGTGCTCCCCAAAACCACCATCCCTGAAGATGAACCTTCATTCTGGGACATGTCCCTCTAGGGAACACTGCTTCTCCCAGATACTTTCCAGAGAACCGACAGGCTGAGGATCTGTCTCCTTCCTGCCCTAGTGTGTTCCCCATGTAGCAGCAAAAGAGGAGGGCTAGAGACAGGTCAGAGACATATCACGCCACACCCCTCTTTAAAACCCTCCAGAGGCTCCCCCACTTCACTCCTGGGGGTCACTGTGCCCACAGCGTTTGGCTGGGCCATCCTGGACTCCCTGCTATTCCCTCTGCCTGAAAGCCATGCCCTCCCCCACCCCACAGTGGCCCCATACCTACCTCCCTAGACACTTTCCCCACTACTAAACACAACACTGGTACCCCTCACTTCCACCCCCTTACCCGACTTAACTTTCCTCAAAGCCCTTTTCAATCCCTGAAAATGTGTATCTAGTCACGTTCATTTGAATTTAAGTACAGTAGTTCCCTCTTATCCTTGGGGGATACGTCCAAGACCCCCAGTGGATGCCTGAAAGCACGGATAGTACCAAACCCTATATATACTATGTTTTTCACTATACATATATACTTATGATAAAATGTAATTTATAAATTAGGCACAGTAAGAAGAGTAACAACAACCAATATTAAAATAGAACAATTATAACAATATATTGTGTAACAACATACTGTGTTATATGAATGTGGTATCTCTCTCTCCCAAAATACTGTGTGCTGCACTCACCTCTTTTCCAACTGTGGCTGACCGTGGGTAAGGGAGATCACTGTACAACGAAGGCTGGAACTGACTTTTCCGTCTTGTTCACTGCTTCATTCCAAGCATCTAAGTGTCTGGCACATGGATGCTCAATACCCATTTGAACAAACAGAAGGAAGGAAATAACGGCTTATGCAATAGCTCTATTTAAGTGGGTGGTTAGCACTGTATCCCATCAGCATCAAACTGTGGCCAGAAAATGATAATCAAAACACCATTCTCATCTATTAAAGAACATAAAACAACTTTGTGAGGAGTTGGAGCTGAGGGCTAGAAAGATTTAGCCAGATGATGCCTTGTTTCCTCCTTGAGTAAGGCCTAGGGAATGAAGACGATATTCAAACTAAGGTTCCTTCCAGTTCTGCACACAGCTAATTCCATCAAAATCTCATTCATGGATTACATTCCAGAGCCTTGGTCAAGTGGGTAGCCACAGAGAACCAGAGGAAAACTCAGGTTTCCATGAGCTGGTCACAACCTCTCAGAGCCTGAACAGCCTAAGCAATGTCCAGAAGCATCTTTACATGTATATGTCCATGAATGAGGTGTCTCTCCAGAAACAACTATCTCTAAGAATGTGCTAGAGAACAAAACTATTAAAATGGGAATGTAGGCCAGGCACGCAGTGGCTTACGTGTGTAATCCCAGCACTTTGGGAAGCCGAGATGAGCAGACCACTTGAGTCAAGGAGTTTGAGACCACCCTGGTCAATATAGTGAGACCTCTGAGTCTCTACAAAAAAATTTAAAAAATTAGCCAGGCATGGTGGCACATGCCTGTCATTCCAGATACTTGGGAGGCTCAGGCATGAGAATTACTTGAACCCAGGAGGCAGAGGTTGCTGTGAGCCAAGATCGCCCAAAGGGGCCAACACCAAGACTTTTCTTTCCTTTTTTTTTTTTTGAGATGGGAGTCTCGCTCTGTCACCCAGGCTGGAGTGCAGTGGCGTGGTCTCAGCTCATTGCAACCCCCGCCTCTTGAGTTCAAATGATTCTCCTGCCTCAGCCTCCTGAGTAGCTGGGTCTACAGGCACACGCCATGCCTGGCTAATTTTTGTATTTTTAGTCGAGATAGGGTTTCACTCTGTTGGTCAGACTGCTCTTAAACTCCTGGCCTCAAGTGATCTGCCTGCCTTGGCCTCCCAAAGTGCTGGGATCACAGGCGTGAGCCACCGCACCAGGCCTCCCACAAACTTTTGACAAAACCAAACTCCAGACTTGACAAACTTACCACGGGCTATCTCAGCACAAACTTTTAACTTCCATTTCTCCTCAGGAAAAAGGGTGTCCCTTCTCTAGTAAAAACACTTGCAAGCTACAAGACAATCTTTAGATGTTCATCCAGGCAGGAATGAAGCACTTCCTTAAAAATAGGTGATTTATAGCACCACATGAGACTGGAAGCAAACTAAATGTCCATTAATAGAGTACTAGTTAATAATGGTTAAATAAATTGATTCCAGGGCAACCATTAAAAAGAATGAGATATTCTGGCCGGGTGTGGTGGCTCATGCCTGTAATCCCAGCACTTTGGGAGGCTCAGGTGGGCGGATCACGAGGTCAGGAGATCGAGACCATCCTGGCCAACATGGTGAAACCCCATCTCAACTAAAAATACAAACAAATTAGCTGGGTGTGGTGGCATGCACCTGTAATCCCAGCTACTCGGGAGGCTGAGGCAGGAGAATCGCTTGAACCCAGGAGGCGGAGGTTGCAGTGAGCTGAGATGGTGCCACTGCAGTACAGCCTGGGTGACAGAGTGAGACTGTCTCAAAAAAAAAAAAAAAAGAGAGAGAGAGAGAGAAATAATCTCCAAGATACATTATTATGGAAAAAATACAGAAGACAGTAATGTATACATATATTTACTATTTGTGAAAAAGAAGAAAAATGGATACAAGTATTCCTTGGTAACCAAATCTATAGTAAGGGGGTCCCTGTCAAGTGTTTGCATGTCACAGAACAAAATTTCATACTTTTTATTCACACCAAACTGGGGTGTGTTTGTGTAGCTACTTAGAATTTAATTGCAAATACCTTTTGCTATTCTCTTCGTGTTCCTAAAATATTTTCCAAGACAAAGCTACATGTTTCATTATTGCTTATACTAAATACCAGATAAAGTTTGTTTTTGTTTTTTTTTTTTTTTAAAAGACAGTATACAAATATAAACCTTCCTCTACCCAGTTAGAGTTCTGTAATCCTCAGGCAGAGGCAATTCTACCTGTGTGCCATCAACCACTGCTAAATTCAGCTGCTTTCTTTTTTTCATTACTTCCAAACTCAAGAACCCTCAATGGCTCCCTATCCCCTACAGGTCAAGAATAAATGCCTGCTGGGTTTAACAAGCCTGACTTTAATAGCACATTCCCATAGCTCCCTAAAATGAGCCTAGCACAAGAAGACCTCTCTGGCAAAATGCTCTTGTCTTGCTTTGGGTCCGTTTCTAAGTTCTCACATCTGAGAGCCCCACTCTCCTATCACTGCATTTGTTTGAACCACTGTTTTGCTTCCCAATACTTCAAATTTCTACACAACACCCTCAGGCATAAACCCAGTAGTGGACATATGGAGAAGCTGGAGAAACCTATTTATCTGCCTCCCAACCCCCACCCTCCCTCTGGTCAGAGAAAGGAACACAGCCCTCAATGTCCTTCTCCAGGATGTGCCTCCGGCGCTCCAGTTTAGGCCGTGACACTGTCCCTGTCCCCAATTTCATTCATGGCCCCACAATCCAAAAGGCTACCCCCCAGGGAATCTGTGACCAGTTTGGTCCAAGGCCGAGGACCGACCATAAAACAGCCTGGTCCAAGCTGGCAGCAGGTCCAATATAGAGCCTTTGTTCCCACAGGACCCCTCGGGCACGCTCCAGAGGGTTTTGGGTACTTCTCTCTCCTGAATAGTTGTTCCCAAGTGGGAAGTGAACAGAAAATTCCTTTCCTGCCTACCCCACAAAAGAAAGCTGTTGCTATGCCTAAGTGATAACATCAGCTTTCCTTTCTCTCTTTTGCAATTTTGATACTCTTCAGACCTGTTTTGCCACCTGAAATTTAAGTTTGAAATAATTAAGTTTCCCAAGATTAATGTCACACAGTAGAACTGCCCCAACCCTTTCAAAGTTGCCAGTTCAGGCAGGGCGTGGTGGCTCAAACCTGTAAACCCAGCACTTTGGGAGGCCAAGGCAGGCAGACCACCTGAGATTAGGAGTTAGAGACCAGCCTGGCCAACATGGTGAAGCCCCATCTCTACTAAAAATACAACAATTAGCCAGGCGTAGTGGCGGGCACTTGTAATCCCAGCTACTCGGGAGGCTGAGGCAGGAAAATCGCTTGAACCTGGGAGGCGACGGTAGCAGTGAGCTGAGATCACACCACTGTAACTACAGCCTTGGCGACAGAGCAAGACTGTCTCAAAAAAAACAAAAACAAAAACAAAAAACAAAGTTTCCAGTTTGCCAGTTCACTTTCATTAATTAAAGGTGAGGAGGACAACGCTAAGTCTTCAAAGAACTTAGCTGGGTGGATTCAGTTAAGGAGAGAAATATACCAATCAGTGAATTCTGCATATTCTCCTTATCCTCCTCATTGGCTTGGCCATTTGTTCATTGTATTCCACTCTATTACCAACTGTATTCAGTTCTTTTACTAATTGTAGCCTGAAATTCAAATTTCACCATCTACTTAAGAAATTTTCTAAAAAGTGAGAGTGAGGAGGAAATTGAGACGTAAGGCTTATCAAAAAGAACAAACTTTTTTCCCCACAGCCCGAGAAACACAAGGTTTTAAAATGTGTAAGCTGAACCAGTAACATTTCCATAGTCACAGTGAGAAAGCGGAGCTTTCTAAAAAGCTTGACAGAACCATAAGAAAACAAAACAGGAAAGTGGAGAGGCTTGTTTTGAAAAATAATAATTTGTTTTTCATTTTGTGTATTTTGATAGAGAACACCTTTTCTATTTAAACCCCTCCCCAACCTGCACCTCAGGATGTCTCATTAGAATGAGGTGGGTGGTGGGGGTGGAGAATGACTTGAGATTTCGGGATCTGATCAATGCAACATGTTAGGGGCAGAGCACAAGGTCAAAAGGAAATGATTAATCCCACAAGAGAAACAGGCGGATAGGGCAGCGAATGGTCCCCCCTACAAAACCCTCACTAACAAGCCGGTCAAGATACCCTGCTTAGCAGCGTTCTCTCCATCCTGCACTCAGTATTTCAGCTTAAAATTCAAAGAATGTTCATCTACACAAGCTAGTCTTCCTTAAAGGTTATTTTTATTTGCTGTTATGTTCCAGTGGTTGCAAAAGAAGGTCGAGAATTAAGCAGGAGAGAGAATGACTCTAGTCATCAGGATGACTAAAACATTCTATGACAATCTGACAATTTCCATTCCTGGAGGGAGCCATGCTGATCATTAATGGAGGACGGAGTATTTTGGGCCTATTTAAAAGCAGTTACCAGTCAAGACATACAATATCCCTTTGAAATACTATGACATCAACACTCTGAAAGTACATAAATAGGTCAAACACAAGAGGAGGGGGAAGGGAAATGCCTTTTGCAAAAATCCTTTGGGAAACAATTTCCTCTTAGCTTTTCACCCTCCCTAATGCTTGCTTTTAGAGAATTGCACACAAAAAAAAATCTGTATTCCCAATTAGCAATGCAAACTTCACCCGCTAACCACCACATCCTCCTATAGAAAACCCTAGATTTGCCACAGGATTAGTATTTTAAACTCAGATGCCTCAACACCTTTCTGTCCCACTACCTGCCTTTGGAAAAGAGGCACGGAACGGAGGGAGACTGGAAGACAACGAACCTCCATGCCACAGGGCCTAAATTCTGAAACCATCCAGATGCGTGGGGTTTTGTTTCATTTTTGGCAATACATAATTAACAGATGACTATCTTGCTTTGAAAGACACTGAAGACATACCCCAAGAACGCTTTGAGCCACACAATCTTAGGAGCTAGATA
Organism: Homo sapiens; assembly: GCF_000001405.40. Taxonomy (NCBI): domain Eukaryota; kingdom Metazoa; phylum Chordata; class Mammalia; order Primates; family Hominidae; genus Homo; species Homo sapiens. Next base: position 218,155 of record NW_025791770.1, on the reverse strand, counting down.
GGAGCTACCTTCAATTTGTGTGCACAACTTGTGACAATCTCAGGGCCTGGCAACCCCTCAATTAGTGTGCAAAATTTTGAGCGTGCAGTTCTTTCTGGAGAGAAAGTACACAGGTCAGATTCTTAAAGGGGTTCTTGACAAAAAAGTTAAGAATCCATAGCCAATGCACCCAACTCTTACCCCACCGGACAAAAAAAGTGGAAGGGGAAGGAGGCTTGTTTACCTGGTAAAACAGCCACAGTTTAATTAAGAAATAAGGATTAGAACTCCAGGCCCTAGGCCAGGCTCACGCCTGTAAATCCCAGCACTTTGGGAGGCTGAGGCGGGTGGATCACTTGAGGCCAGGAGTTCGAGACCAGCCCAGCCAACATGACAAAACCCCATCTCTACTAAAAATACAAAAATTAGCTGGACGTGGTGGTGCACGCCTGTAATCCCAGCTACTGGGGAAGCTGAGGCAGGAGAACTGCTTGAAGCCTGGAGGCCGAGGTTGCAGTGAGCTCAGATCGCACCATTACATTCCAGCCTGGGTAACAGAGCAAGGCTCTGTCTCAAAAGAAAAAAAAAACCAAAAAAACTCCAGGCCCTATGCAAGATCCTTCCTCTAACCACACTGTTTAAAAATTAGTCCTGGGGGAAACTGCAGTGCCAGCGTTTCTAATCTAAGGCAGGTAAATGAACTCGCTCTACCTTCACCATGAAACAATGTTTAACTACCAAGTAGTAGCTCCACAAGACTGGGTTCCTTCTGACCTTATCCATCCAAACTGAGGGGCTTATTTTCCAACATAACAGCTTTTTAAATTCACTTGCAGTTATCATGCCCTTAAGTCCCCTGTCCACTTAGTACCCCCAGCTTAAGGCTCCCCTGACTGCCCAGGGCCAGGATCCCATGTTTTCCCATTTCCTAAAATAAGAGTGTTTGAAAAAATTTAAATATCATCTTAACCTCTCTCCAACCCTAGACCCCCAGAGCTTCAGGGAACTCATTGAATAGGGGTGAGGGATTGGGGTTTAGGGGCTTAGGGATGTGTCTGGCAGGGCTCTGAAATCCACAAGTTTCCACTGCTCCATGACACTACCACATGAAAGCTCAGCTTTCTGGTTGTCCTGTGACCTCAAGTCTCAGCTAACCAAGGTGATTCCCGCCATCCCCAGACTCCACTGGGTCCACAGCCTGGCCACTGCCCCAGGTTTCATTCAGCTGGCCAAGGCTGGTGTTTTAAAGGGCAAAAATGAAGAGGCATCAGGCATTTTAAAACTGCCTGGCTCAAGGGAAAAATAACCTCAGGACCCTAATCATAGACAAAACTAGGGGTATTTTTGAGCCTCGTTTCCCAAAAAGAACCATAAAAAGAAAACAGTATTAAGAAATATGAGATAAAGAGATAGCAGAGAATTAGCAAAGACAATCCCCTTATTTCTTCGGAGGGAACCTTCCACAACGGCTTCATGCCCTGATGATTCAGGCCCCCACCCCTCCAGGGAAGAGGGGTGGTTATCAGGGAAAGAAGTGACAAGACCAGCTGACTTCTGCAGACAAGATAAGAGTTTATGGGCCAGACCTTGCAAAACTCCCTTGGCAGGATTCCTCTGACCTGTAGAACTAAGAGGGCAGAAAGAAATGCACACTACCCTGGGGTGCACAACTGTCAAAACTCACCATATATTCAGATCTGTGCATTTCATCATGCGCACAGTATAGCATAAGTATCTACCTATCATTTCTATTTAACAAATTAAAAATCTAAGGCAAAGAGATTAACTCACATGAGGTCACACAGTATTAAGTGGCTCTTTGCCATGCTTGTATAAAGTACAGTCGTCTCTCGTTATCTGTGGAAGACTGCGTGTCCAGGACCCCCTTGGATACCAAAATCCAAGGATACTCAAGTTCCTTATATAAATGGTGTAGTATTTGCAGACAACCCATGAACATCCTCCCATATACTTTAAATCATTTCTAGATTGGTTATGAATATCTAGTACAATGTAAATATTATGTCAATAACTATACTGCATTTGAAATTTTTATTGCCTTATTTCTAATATTTTCAATCCACAGTTGGTTGAGCCCATAAATATATAAAACATTACACTCCCAAAACAAAACAAAAAACCAGCCCCATATTGAGAGCCAGCTAAGCCAAGACTCAGAGGCAAATGTGGGAGGAGGCCAACTCCAGGCGAATCTCTGCTTGTCAGCACATTCATTTGTCACATATGGAAAGGCCTGCATTTAACTGAGCACAAAGCTGAGCTCAAGACAGATAGTCAATGTGTACTTGCCAAATGTAAGGATACAGTAAGTCAGGCACTGGCCTGGATGCTTCCCTGTATCAACTCATTTAAAATGCACAACCTTAAAGTTAGTACAGCCATTATGGAGCCAAGGGCACAGAGGTTCCTCAGAAAGTTAAAAACAGCACTACCCTGGCTGGGTGCGGTGGCTCACACCTGTAATCCCGGCACTTTGGGAGGCCAAGGCAGGCGGATCACCTGAAGTCGGGAGTTTGAGACCAGCCTGACCAACGTGGAGAAACCTCTCTCTACTAAAAATACAAAATTAGCGGGACATGGTGGCACGTGCCTGTAATCCCAGCTACTCGGGAGGTGGAGGCAGGAGAATCACTTGGACCCGGGACGCGGAGGTTGCGGTGTGCTGAGATTGCGCCATTGCACTCCAGCCTGGGCAACAAGAGCAAAACTCAGTCTCAAAAAAAAAAAAAAAAAAAAAAATTGCTGGACCTGGCGGCGAGAGCCTGTAGTCCAAGCTGCTCCAGAGCATAAGGCAGGAGAATCGCTTGAACCTGGGAGGCGGAGGTTGCAGAGATGGTGCCACTGCACTCCAGCCTGGGTGACAGAAACTCAAACAAAACAAAACAAAAACAGAACTTCCACATGATCCAGCAATCCCACTTCTGGGTATATATACCCCAAATAACTGAAATCAGTATGTCAAAGAGCTATCTGTCCTCTCATATTCACTGCAGCATTGTTTACAAGACAGCAAAATGTGCCATATATGCATGGGTGAATACTATTCAGCCTTTAAAAGGAAGGAAATCCTGTCATTTGCAACAACTGGGATGAAACTGGAGGTTATTATGCTAAGTGAAACAAGCCAGGCACAGAAAGACAGACACCACATGATGTCACTTATATATGGAATCTAAAAAAGCTAATCTCATAGAAGTAGAGAGAAGAGAACTAGAGTAGAAGTAGAGAGTAGAATATCAGAGGCTGGGGTTGGAGCGGGGGGCTGGGGACAGGGGTGGGTGCAGGGGAGGGGCAAGGGGAGATGTCGGTTAAAAGTTTCAGTTAGACAGGAAGACTTAAGTTTTCAAGAGCTAATGCACAGCATGGTGACCACAGTTGTTAATGATGTATTGAGAACAGATTTTAAATATTTTAAACATTATCATTACAAAAAACATAAGTATCTAAGTTAATTACCTTAATATAATCATTCCACAATGTATGTATATACCAAACATCACATTGTACCCCCTAAACATATACAGTTATTATGCCAATTTAAAAATAAGAAGTGGTGGCCAGGCATAGTGGCTCACGCCTGTAATCCCAGCACTTTGGGAGGCTGAGGCGTGTGGATCACAAGGTCAGGAGATCGAGACCATCCTGGCTAACACGGTGAAACCCTGTCTCTACTAAAAATACAAAAAATTAGCCAGGCATGGTGGTAGGCGCCTGTAGTCCCAGCTACTCAGGAGGCTGAGGCAGGAGAATCCTGTGAACCCGGGAGGCGGAGCTTGCAGCGAGCCAAGATCGCGCCACTGCACTCCAGCCTGGGCGACAGAGCGAGACTCCATCTCAAAAAAAAAAAAAAAAAAAAAGTGGCTTACCAAGTTAGTTTCCCATCCAAAAACATAATAAATAAATGCACAAGCTAGTGAGCCATAGTCTCCAACTCCGTTTTTTAAAAAAGGATGCAAACTGCCAGGTGGATCACCTAAGGTCAGGAGATCGAGACCAGCCTGGCCAACATGGCGAAACCCTGTCTCTACTAAAAATACAAAAATTAGCCAGGCTTGGTGGCAGGTGCCTGTAATCCCAGCTACTCGGGAGGCTGAGACAGGAGAATCACTTGAACCCGGGAGGCGGAGGTTGCAGAGGTTGCAGTGAGCTGAGATCACTCCATTGCACTCCAGCCTGGGTGACAGAGAGACTCTGTTTCAAAAAAAAAAAAAGATCCAAACTTGGCCTAGGTCGCATGGCAATTTGACCCAGTAACCTCATGAAAGATCCCAAGGCCCTTTGTTCTCTCACAGGGCATACTGTCATTAACAATACATACAACTGGCTTATAATATCATATGATCTCATTTACCTAGTGACCACTGAGTTAAAGAAAGGGTTTGTACCTGTGAGTAACCCCCAGAGTAACCCCCAAACTGAAGACTCCTTGCAAACCCGCTAGAGGGAAGGAGGGCTGCCAAGCCAGGTGGCAGCAAGACTGTTCATGGTGTGGTGGCAGGAGCTGCTCAGCCAGATGAGGGACAGTGGGGACTCCTGAATATACTAAACACCTTCTTCTCTTTCATCCTTTTTGCCCTGGCTCCTGGGGATTCCTACATCTTTGCAAGCTTTCTGTGGGTTTGAGCCATGTGTCTCCCACATTTTCACCCAATTAACCCTGGGAGTGAAATGGAAGCCCTGGCATGGTCTGGGAGACACAGCCACAAACATTTCAGCTCTGTCTGAAAATTACTGTACTCCCCTCCACAGCACAGCATTAGCTGTTTTTATACAATCCAGACAGGTACCTGGAAAGCCTCCAGGTGGCTCCTGTTCAGCTCCATTTAGAGAGAGATGCCAACTAGAGGTGAAACCAGAAGGGAAGACCTGGCAAGGCCCTCAGATGCACAGCCTCACCTAGTTCTAGCTGTCCTTGTTTGTGTTGAAGGCAGAGTCCCACATGAAACAACTTTGGGGAGTTTCGCTCAAATTCAGCCCAAAAACTCAGTCTTCATTACCTTGTCTTAATTTGAATTTCCATCCCAATGTCATTAAAATTGGGGAACTTTGGAAGTACGGAATGGCTTCTTAGAAATACAATGTCTCCACTGGCTATCTTTTCAAGGTGGCTCAGAGGAGGGGGATGGCTAAAGGTTGATTCAATATTCTAGGAATTGTTATGGCTTGAAGTTGGTTAACCGACTTCATCAGCTAAGTTAAAGCTTCATTATTATCACAGGCTGCTTAAACCCACCAGGGCATCTGATAATAATACAGGTCTACCAATTTACAACTCAGGAGATATCATTTAAAATGAAATAGAAAAGTTATGATTGGCCAGGCTCGGTGGGTCACTGGTGAGACGCTCTCTACAAAATTTTTTAAAGTTAGCTAGGCATGGTGGAGAGTGCCTGTACTCCTAGCTACGCCAGAGGCTGAGGCAGAAGGATTGCTTGAGTCTGGGAGGCCGAGGCTCCGGTGAGCTGTGATCACGCCACTGCACTCTAGCCTGAGTGACAGGCCGAGACCCAGTCTCAGGGAAAGGGAATAAAAGTGAAGTTATGACTGACAATTGGGTAAAATGCCAATTCACAAAACAAAACAGTGTGCTGAGAACTCTGTTGTGACCTAAAATCCCCTCTTCCTCCTAGGGCAACATTTAAATCTGTTTCTCAAAGGGGCCACCAGCATTAGAATCCCCAGAGGTACTTGTTAAAGATGCAAATTTGAGCCCCACCCCAGTTTTAGAGAATCAGAATCTCCATGGGGTAGGGAGCCCCAGGGCTAACCAACTCCCAGGTCATTGTTAACCAGGGAAGGGCTGATTTACACAACCACACAAAATAACGACGACGCGAGAAAGCATGGGTAAGCACATAGTGGGCAGTCACTACAGATAATTTCCCCGTAAAATACTTCGGCTCTCATAGTTTTTAGGACACTTATTTTCTCTATAGTTCACATTAAAACATCTTGAGACTCTAACCAGAAAAAAGTGCGTTTATCTGGAGTTATTTGCATAACATTAAATCCAGCAGGATTTATGGAGCTCCTCCACAAAGGCAGGGTGGGCGGGCAGGGCCCAGATTAACCCTTGCCCACACCCTGGTTTGCTTTCTGGGCCGGCTCTGCACCTTCCCAGAAAGCAGCACGACAGGAAAGGAGCTCAGGGAGGTTCCCTCAGCTAATGGCCCTTGGGCGAAGACTCCTCCAGAATGTTACTTGTCCTTGGCTGGGCTGGAACAGAAAACCCAGCGGGTAACGGGATAAGCACGCAGGCGGGCATTAAGCCTGCTTCCCGGGGAAGATTAAACACAGTTAATTAAAACCCTGCAGAATGGGAGGCACGGGGATTAGCTGGCAGGGAAAGGGAGGGGGACCTGCTAGCAGGAGAGGTGATGCCTGCCCAGATTTCCTTCCCAGAGCTCTTTTGCCACTAATAAAGATTAAATGTGCTAAGCACAACTGGGCCATCCACTCCATTTTCACAGATCCCAGTATCCCTTACTTCGAGGCCCCTGGGTAAGCCTGTCCCAAGAGCTGGGCAAACCAAGAAATAAGCTTACTGGGGAGTTACTGCTATGCCTTAGAACTCTGGTTGATGAGAAAAGGGATCCTGGTGAGTTGGGGGGAGTGTCCTGAGGTGCAAATCAAGATCAACCCTCAATTACCATTACCTTCACATTTCTCCCACCCCCTGCTACCATGCAGGCCAGATCTTGGGGGGTGAAAGTAGCAGGAAGCAGAGGGCTCCCTTGGAGGGTGAGGCCCTGCCCCTCTTGTATTTCTCAACAAAGGCATGACTTGACCAATTCAGTCAAACCTAGTCCCAGCACCCTGGAAGCCCTTGCCCAATCACAATGTTCCAGGCCTATACCCAGCTGGAGGGGCTGTGGCCAACACCCCGATAATCCTATAAATAGTCCCACCCCCGCCCTCCAATTACAGAAGACCAAGGGAATCACCATCAAAAAGCATTTATTAAGCACCTAAGACTCATAGGGGCTTGGCCCTGCCCTGAGAGAGGGTCATTTATGACCATTAAGGCCAGAGTAAGGCAGGCTCCCAGAGGCCCATAAAACTCCCAGGGAAGGAAGTGGGGATTAACCACTTCCTCTCACCTCTCAAGAAGGGGTTTCAAGATGTACCAAATTGCAGAACAGAGGGTTCTTGGGTGGGGGTGGGGAGATGGGGATCAGAAGAGCCTACACCTGGCTAAGGCCTGTCTGTATAAGGGGACATGAATAACCCTGGGGTTTCTCAAATCACTTTGATTTTTACAGAGGAGAGCTTTGTAGTCCTCACTGCCCCGACTTCTCTGTGAGGCACATGCTGGCAAGACTCTGCACCCGCCCCTTGGCACGGGTCTGGACTCTATCCAGGAAGGGACAGAGCATACATGGGGATTATATGCATATTTGACAAGTGCTATGCTGGTACAATGGCTTAATTCTTTTACCTAACTCAGCAGTCTGATTTCTTGGATCAAAACCTGTCTATCCTGGACAATTTACAACCCCATCATACTCAATTTTTACTGAAATTTTTTTCAGGAACTCTCACCCAAATCTAAGAAAAGCAGCTTACAAAGAAGACAAACACAGGCAAGCTTGAGTCATGAAAGGAGAGCAGCATGCGGGATGGGACTTCCTGGATTGAGACCATGGTTTGGCTCTGAGCTTCCTGGGAGTCAAAGCAAAATGACCAACAATAAATAATTATGCCATTATCAAACTAACAGTTTTCAAAACGGACAATGTTTTCCCAGCAGTAAATCTAGACAGTGATGGAATCTGCAAATTCCCCTCCTCAGCATATGAGGACCAGCACTGAGAGTTTCCTTTCTCTTCTCCCTTCTCTCCCTGCTGAGCTGTGGGGAAATCCCTGCTGAAATTACAGGGGCAATCTTTATGGTGCTAGAGCAAAGCAGGTAGAGACAGGTGCTCAGAAGCGAGTGGAGTTGTTCCTAGGTGTATGGCGTGAGTTCCAAGAACTGCACCCTGGCTGAGCACTGTGGCACATGCATTTTGGGAGGCCGGGGATCACTTGAGTACAGAAGTTTCAGACTAGCCTGGGCAACATGGCAAGACTCCTGTCACTACAGAAATTTTTAAAATAGAAGTAAATATTAAAATAAATTAAAAAGGAAGCTTCCTGGTAAGTCCTGGGGGTCCAAGTTAGGTGAAGTCCCACAAACCTCTTGAAAAAGGAAACAATAAACTTTAGAACGTTTCATCAGTAGAGAAGCCACCACGTTAAGCCAAAGAATGTACGGCACTAAACTTATTAACCAATCCCTGCCTCTGGGGCTTTTTCTTTTGGGGGGTGGGGGTTGGCGGTGGGCCTCACTCGTGGCCCACGCTGGAGTGCAGTGAAGTACAGTGGCGTAATCTTGCTTCACTGCACACGCCACCACGCCCAGCTAACTTTTGTATTTTTTTTGTAGAGACAGGGTTTTGCCGTGTTGCCCAGGCTGGTCTCCTGAGCTCAAGTGATCCAACCACCTTGGCCTCCCAAAGTGCTGGGATTAGAGGCGTGAGCCACCTCACTAGGTAAAGATACCTAGTATTCTTTACGCAGTTTCTCCTAATGGTAACATCTCCCAAAACAATAGTATAATATCACACTCAGGGTACTATCGATACAATCAGGGCACACATTTCCCCTGTGCCTGGCTCCTTGGGTTTGTTTTTTGTTTTGTTTTTTGAGACAGAGTCTCGCTCTGTCGCCCAGGCTGGAGTGCAGTGGCGCGATCTCAGCTCACTGCAAGCTCCGCCTCCCGGGTTTATGCCATTCTCCTGCCTCAGCTTCCCGAGTAGCTAGGACTACAGGCGACCGCCACCACGCCCGGCTAATTTTTTGTTTTTTAGTACAGATGGGGTTTCACCAGGTTAGCCAGGATGGTCTCGATCTCCTGACCTCATGGTCCACCCACCTCGGCCTCCCAAAGTGCTGGGATTACAGGCGTGAGCCACTGCGCCCAGCCAGGCTTTTTTAAATGAGGAAGGGATAGAATCTTTAGTTTGTGGATAAGATAAAAGCTGGCTCACTTAGACCAGCCCGGGGTGACTGAGAAGGGAGGCCACCACTCAGGGCCAGAAGCATGCCCCCTTGCACCCCCAGCTGAGCCCTGAAAGCTCCCCAGCAGCAGAGTCGCAAGGCTTCACCAGTGTTAGCCACTTGGGCCAAGGTGATCAACATTCCAGGAGGCAGCCATTCCTGCTGAACAAAGAGCCCAGGGAGGAATTCCTCCTGCCCCAAGCATGTGGGTTGGGGGTGGTATCCAAACAAAACTGGACAGAAGAAAGCAGCCCCAGCAAGGGGCCCTAAGGAAGCCTACCCCCACTGCATGCCCTGTCGGAGGAATGGAGAAAACTCAAGGGAAAGTCTCCAGCACAGATTACAATTGGACCTTATAAACACAGAAGGCAATTTCGGGGCTTTGTCTCTAAACATAATGGAGTAAAGTTCAGGAGAGAGCAATCTCTATAGGAAATAGGCCAAAACCTCTGAATTTAATCATTAACTTTATCTCGAGGGTCTTTGTATTCATGTTATGTACTGGCTTTTACTGTAACCAGTGCAAACATTTTACTGTCCTTCAAAGCACAGAATGCGGGGTTTGTTGGCCTATTTAAAAGAGTGCCTACATCAACATGAGATGATTCTAGGGAGATTCCAATCAGAGATCCCCAGCAAAAAGGACCTTTGGAAGGGAAGGGGGGTGGGGAAAAGGAATTGGTGAATGCAAACTTTTCTCCCTCCCTGTGCTGGTGCACTCTTCCACTGACAATACAGTGGGTACATCTTCAGATGAGCAGGAGATGAACAACTCCTGTTTTGGAGGAGGCTTGCAGAGGCCTTGGGAAAGACATTTTGAGGCAGACTTACAAAGCAGCAAGGTTCTCTCTTGCTCTGAAGGGCAGAGGTGGCAAGTTTTTAAACTGGAGCGTTTGAATTAACTCTGTAAACATTAGTTGAACATTTGCTTTGTAGATACAGTTCTAATCGCCAGTAGAGTCCTCAGCAAAGTGCTTCCCAGTTTTTCAAACACCCAGCTCCTCAAAAGCACTCAGGTCTTTCTTCTGGGACCACTGCAAGTGGCTCTTCTACCCTCTTCCCCGGGCAGCACCCCACCTTCAATGCCCTTACCCAATTCCAGCCCAGCAACCTCTGACTTGCCAGCAGATCCACGTATGAGGGAAGAATTAGACATGAGAAACCAATTCTGAACCCTGCTAGTGCCGAGTGATAAAAGCGATAAGGGACCCCACCCCCACCCCCCCCCCAAAAAAAGCTCAATAATCAATTCGACTTACTACAGTGAAGACTCAACAATTATGCACAGAGGAAACAGCCTAAAGCCTACTGTAAGTTCTGGGGCTTGACGGGTCAGACGTTCCTCCTTGGTAACATCACGTCTTCCGGGGGCTGTGGCTCACGCTGTAATCCCAGCACTTTGGGAGGCCAAGGCGGGTGAATCATGAGGTCAGGAGTTCGAGACCAGCCTGACCAACATGGTGAAACCCTGTATCTAACTAAAAATACAAAAATTAGCCTGGCGTGGTGGCACGCACCTGTAATCCCAGCTACTCAAGAGGCTGAGGCAAGAGAATCACTTGAACCCGGGAGGCAGAGGTTGCAGTGAGCCGAGATGATGCCACTGCACTCCAGCCTTGGTGACCAAATGAGACTCTTGTCTCAAAAAAAAACTCATGTCACTTTCACACAGGACCTTATCATCCATGAAAGATGGTTCTGAATGGCATGTATAATAGCTGGTCCATGACAAGAAACACCCTCCACTCACACCCCTGAAGTGAAATGTCCTTGTAAGTTTAGATTTCTGATTAAGGAGGCTCAAGGCTGGGCATGGCGGCTCAGAAATCCCAGAGGCCAAGGCGGACAGATCAACTGAGGTCAGGAGTTCAAGACCAGCCTAGACAACATGGTGAAACCCCGACTCTATTAAAAATACAAAAAGTAGCCAGGCGTGGTGCCATGCACCTGTCATCTCAGCTACTCAGGAGGCTGACGCAGGAGAATCACTTGAACCCGGGAGGAGGAGGTTGCTGTGAGCTGAGATCGCAACACTGCACTCCAACTTGGGTGACAGAGCGAGACCTCGTCTCAACAAAGAAAAAAAAAAAGGAGCTCAAAATCCACATTTTTCCTAAGAGGGATAGTCTTCAGGAATGGAAACCACCAATCTGTCACATCCAATTGACCAACAGGCCTGAAAAGCTATGAACTTTCTCATAAGTGTTCACTAGCCTCTACAAGCAACCTTCCTCCAAGGACCAAAGAGCTTTAGCTCCCCTATATCAACTGCCTCTGGGAGAATACACAGAAACTGGCATTCTGCGTTAGGACTTCACTTCTCCACTGCATGCCCCTAAAATGCTTGATTAAAAAAAAAAAAAAAAAAGGCCAGGTGCAGTGGCTCACGCCTGTAATCTCTGCACTTTGGGAGGCAGAGGCGGGTGGATCACTTGAGTCAGGAGTTCGAGACCAGCCTGACCAACATGGAGAAACCCCGTCTCTACTAAAAATATAAAATTAGCTGGGCATGGTGGCACAAGCCTCTAATCCCAGCTACTAGGGAGGCTGAGGCAGGAATATCACTTGAACCTGGGAAGAGGAGGTTGCGGTGAACCGGAGCTCACACCACTGCACTCCAGCCTGGGCAACGATAGTGAAACTCCGTCTCAAAAAAATATAATAATAATAATAAGCATATAGTACCTAATCCAAAATAATTTAGTACTTCTACATGTACATCATTATCCATGGAACCGCAAATCCCCGGTAATTCTACCTCCCTTTATACTGATGTAAGGGTCTCCAGAAGGCAAGCCCTGTTTATTGCTTTGTGTCCTCAAACACCCGGATAGCCAGGCACATGGCAGATGCTCAATGAAAAGTGTGTTGATTGAGCAAAATTCACATCCACATTTTCCGAGCAATCCTTGAGGAATTTGCCTCCCAGCAGGCATCTGCTCAGAGGAAAACAATGTGCCCTGGCCATTTGCATTGTGGCCCTGAAACAGCAAATGTCTTAAACACAGAAGAGATAGAATCTGGGCCTTCTCAGAAGCTAAATGCCATAGAGGTAAAGACTTCAGGAGGTTTTTTTTCTTTTTTTGAGATGGAGTCTCGCTCTGTCACCCAGGCTGGAGTGCAGTGGTATAATGTCGGCTCACTGAAGCCTCCGCCTCCCGGGTTCACACCATTCTCCTGCCTCAGCTTCACTACAGGTGCGTGCCACCACGTCTGGCTAATTTTTTGTATTTTTAGTAGGGAGGGGGTTTCACCAAGTTAGCCAGGATGGTCTGGATCTCCTGACCTCGTGATTCGTCCACCTTGGCTTCCCAAAGTGCTGGGATTACAGGCATGAGCCACCACGCCCGGCGACGTTAGTAAGTTTTACAACTATCCTCAGATCAGTAGTAAGCCAGGACATCAAGACATTGCAACTTTCCATCATTAGAGATTTGACCATATCCACAGCCCCTAAAACTATACTTTTCATAAATCCTTTTGAGACCCATGACCAGAAAAGCAGGCCAAATTCTCCACAGATTTGTACTAAAAGGCCACACAGTAAAGGAACTTTCTGGGCTGGTGGAAATGTCCTATATCTTGATTGTGGTGGTGGTGGCACAGACATATTACAGACAGTACAAAATGCAATATATATTTCAAAACACCTTTATATCAATGCTTACACGACTAAATTACAGACAGTCATAAAGATGGCATTGCATACGCTTAGGAAATAAGAACAATTACATTATCCACGCTGTTAACAATGATTACATTTGGGGAGTGAAACTGGCAAGTTGTTGTTTTTTTCTTAATCTACTTCAAGTTTGCCTGTGTTATAGTGACTACTTATTTCTTTTGTAATTTAAAAATCCAATGAAGATAAAAATTGGGGGGAAAAGGCACCTATAAGATAGCAATTCTGTATAGAAAGACCCAGCCCAGGAATAGGTACATGCTGAAGGAATGGGTCGTTTGTAACAAGACCTAGACCAATATAAGCATCATCACTTGTCTGCTGTGAATAACTGAACGTCTGCAGAGACTATTTCCTTAATAGCTACCAGTATAATAGCTACCAGTATATGGCCACGAAGCATGAACACTCAACTGATTGCAAGCCAGCTGGCATTCACAAGTTAAGGGCCTTCATATACCTACTCTTCACCCACAGCCAACAGCTATTTTCAGAATGGCTTCCCTGAAAGCTAAGGTACAAAGAAAAAAAGGACAAGAAACCATTCACTAACAGACAGAACATTAGGCTCGTTATTTGTTCTAAATAAAATTAGATCCACCTTCTATGATATACCAAGACTATATTCTAAGGTGGGACCTAAAGACACAAAATGTAGAGGAAGTAAACATCTATCACACTAAAAATTTAAAATGTATACCAAGTTAAACTAAATGGAGGCAAACTATGGCCTCAGAAAAATCCTTTGTAACACACAACTAGTAATCAGTATTTATCCAAAATGCCTACAAATTGAATTTTTTTAACCCAAGATATCAGCCCAGGAACAGGAGCAGGGAATTCAGGAGGAAAACTCAAATGGCCAGTAAACATATGAAAAGCTCATGCACACCTCATAGCAATTGCACAAATGAAGAGTAAAACAACAGGACCAGCCATTTTTTTCATTAGATTGATGGCAATAAGGGAGGGGTGGGGAGGGAGGAAATGCGGCTGGTGGAAGGCAAGCTCTCCGGAGCAAAGTGCTGGGATCTATTAACATCTCAAACGTGCCTCTCCAGGGTTCTAGAGATCTCCTTGCTGGGGGAGCTGTCGGGGGAGGGGAAGATCTCCCTTCTATAAGAGAGGGTTACAGGGACACAAGGATGAGCATTGCTGGCAACAGCCAAATAAAAGAGGCAATCAGAAGCAGAAAAAGGCAAAATAAATTTCACACCATAAAGGCCAAGTTTAGAGCAAGTAATGACCAGCAAGTCAGTACAGGGTAGCACCTACACATGTTTTTTAAGACTAACCTCTATATGCTTGTGTATGTAAATGGTTGCTTGAAAGGAGCCCCACGAACCTGGTACACCACAACTTTGGAAAGAAGTGGGACGGGGTACATTTTAAAAATAAAATTTACAGATAATCCAAACAAAATAGGTTTATATATTACTTATAATTAAATCAGGATTAGAGTTAACTAAAGTTACTTCCTAGGATAAAAGATATCCCCAAGAAAAATCTCAGTTTTCTATTCATCCAGCAATTATGAGCTGACCAAGGATGGTGAAGGAAGGAGAAATGAAAAACATCAAATATTATACTCACAGGCATAAACATACTCAGAAAAATTACAGCCTAAAATGACAAGTGTTGTGAATTCTAAACAAAACGTTATTTTCCCAAAACCCTTAAATGTTATCTTTTAAACACATTTAAAACAAAATTGTAACCCCTTCCCTCCCTTTTTCACTCCTATCAAGTGTTAACATACTTTTGATTAAGCATTCATTGATCCGGGTTCCTCTTTTCTGTTCACAGTGAGCCAACCTGTCTGCTTTTACCATTTAGAGGGGGAGAGGACCCTCTCACAGTGATAACATTTACAAATAGGTGTAAAGTCAAGAAATTAAAATGAGAATGTTTCTTAACCTGCTGAAGCTACAGAACTGTTACACCTTGGACATTCTGCCCCCACTCCCCCCATCATGTTACACATGCAAAAACTGTGATTTGTCCAGATGTCCGTAACATGCCAATAACGGGAACCCAGCAGAGCCTGAAACTCAACCTCTTCTCTCAAACCAGAGCTTAACATCACCTCCTTCTCATCTTCATGATTTCATCTTGCACATGACTTTTAAATTTTATTCCATTTGATGTTTTACATACCTTTTTTGATGGGGAAGACAATTGGTTTTACATCTCAACAGGCAAACAAAAAAATCTGGAAAAATTAAGTTCTATGGGGCTAGGACAAAGAGGAACTGATAGAATGAACTGTCATTAAATTCAGACAAATTATGCGCTCAGATTATGCAGTAGACCCTAGACAAAATGAATGCTCAAAACGCCAAATGTGAACACCATCCCCTTTTTTTTTGAGATGGAGTCTCGCTCTGTCACCAGGCTGGAGTGCAGCCGTGCGATCTCGGCTCACTGCAACCTCCACCTCCCAGGTTCAGGCGATTCTCCTGCCTCGGTATCCGGGGTAGCTGGGACTACAGGCGCCCGCCACCGCACCTAGCTAATTTTTGTATTTTTAGTAGAGACGGGGTTTCACCATGTTGGTCAGGATGGTCTCGATCTCTTGACCTTGTGATCCACCCGCCTCGGCCTCCCACCATCCCTCCTTTTATAAGAAAATGAAATGTTCGTTTTCCAACTTTAAAACTGGCTATACTAGAAGTAAAACTCCCCCGATCTAGGAAGCCCTGGTATATTTAATGCCTTTCATTGTATGCCTGTGTATGTTAACATTTGTGTATGTAATTAACACAAAATCTACTTAAATAAACCAACAATAAAGCTGCAGATAAGACAGATAACTTTAGCTGTAGGATCTCAATCAAGGCAAGTCTGGATTTATTGCACAACAGGCTTAACATGAAATTTGTAGCTGTTGTGTCAAGTCCCAAACATCATCTAGACTTAATCACTATCTCCTGCTATGACAGGATTTGCTATCCTTTCTTAAAATGGTTTCCATTTATAACCGTAACAAACACAATCACTCGGTTTCACCTACCAAACTTCAGTTTAAAAGTGGAGACACTTAAACCTTACTTCATCCATACACATGGAGGTAACTCTGAGCCCCAAAGCTCCAAATATTTGGGTCAGTCCACAGCTGAACAGAGCTGTGGTTTTTCTTTGTATTTCCAGCACCTATGTGGTTTTAAAAATTAAATTAAATTGGAAAAACGAATTTTCCTCTTGGAATATTCCTCTAAATCCCTGAAGGCTCTTTTCAAGCTAACAACAGAAACAAAGGAAGTAAAAACCTGTTGTTTTAGGAAAATGAAGAATTAAAAAACAAACAAAAACCCATTTTTTTCCCCAATGGTCAAGGATGGGGGTGGGGCATAGCAGGTGCTCCCATTAGCCCCCATGCAGCACTGTCTGCATATGAATTCCTTCACTTTAAATTTCTACATAAATGTCTTCACTTATAAACAGGGCATATTGCAGAAAATATTTCATTTGATTCTCAAACAAAAAAGTCAGGTCATTCTTCCCACTGCACTTTAGCCTGAGCCAAAAATAAAATAAATAAATAAATAAATAAATAAATAAATAAATAAATAAAAAAGCATTCTCAGTACTCCTGCAGCCTGTACTCAACCTCCCCCTCTCACTCTTAAGATTATAACCATCACACACTGAATGTCTTACTTCACACCAGGGAGATAGCCGGGGGTTCCAAACCAGCCATCCACAGATGCTCCCTCTGTGCAACAGCAGCAGCCTCCACTCCAGTCAGAAGCAGATTAAGGACACAGCAAAGGCAGGGAATCATCTTATTATCCCAATGTGAAGTCTACAAGGGCCTGAGGGATGTGGGACTATTTTGTTCTCTGCTGTTTCCCCAGAGCTTACTTTATCAAATCAGTTTTCATAGAAATTCCAGTCAGTTTTCATAGAAATTACGATATTCTGCACTCCTATTTCATCTTTACTTGAGCTGGGTTAATTACAATCAACAGGTTTGGGAACAAAAACAGCTGCCTCTTTTTTTTTTTTTTTTTTTTTTTTTTTTAAAGACAGAGTTTCATTCTTGTCACCGAGGCTGGAGTGCAATGGTGCAGTGGTGCAATCTCAGCTTGCTGCAACCTCCACCTCCCGGGTTCCAGTGATTCTCCTGCCTCAGCCTCCCGAGTAGCTGGGATGACAGGTTCGTAACACTAAGCCTGGTTAGTTTTTGTATTTTTAGTAGAGACGGGGTTTCACCATGTGTTGGCCAGGCTGGTCTAGAACTCCTGACCTCAGATGATCCACCTGCCTCGGCATCCAAAGTGCTGGGATTAAGGCGTGAGCCACCGCGCCCAGCCCAGTCAATAATTCTTTATATTACCTATTAATTAATGTGGCTCTGGCCCCTGATACACCAATTATTTCTTCAATGTTATCAATCGTCCACCCCCTAGGAAGGGAGGAAGAGGAGGGTACCCTTATCTCTTCCTTACAGATGTTGAAAGAAGTAGAAAAAATTAGGTAAAAGGTCTAATTTTACAATCTTTATTATAATATTTTTTATTGAGACGGGGTCTTCACTTTGGAACCCAGGCTGGAATGCAGTGGTATGATCTCAGCTCACTACAACCTCCACCTCCCAGGCTCAAGCAATCCTTCTACCTCTTGAGTAACTGGGAACACCTATGTGTGTCACCACACCTGACTATTCCCCAAGAGTACTGTTCATTCAGCCTCAAACTCATCTCCCCATCTGAACTTATTTGGATTCCATTAACTTTAGCAGACAGGATCTCACTCTGTTGCCCAGGCTGAAGTGCAATGGCATGATCATAGCGCACTGCAGCCTTGATCTCCTGGGCTCAAGTGATCCTCCCACCTCAGGCCCTCTCCACTCCTCCAGTAGCTGGGACTACAGGGGCACAACTACTGTGCTCGGCTAATTTGTACGGACAGGGTCTTGCTTTGTTGCCCAGGCAGGTCTCGAAATTCCCAGTTTCAAGCCATCCTCCTGTCTCAGCTTCCCAGAGTGCTGGGATTACAGGCATGAACCACTGTGCATGGCCACCTTTAGTGTTTAAATTTCATCTAGTAATTTAAATAAGACCACATATAAAGTGGCCATATAGGGAAGTAGAGAATCCCCCCCCACCACAATTCACCTTTTCCTTTTCAGTTTTATATTCCCAAACAGTCAAACCACAAGACTAAAGCAAGGAACAGGATGTAGACTGCTCTTATACATCTTTAGCAAAGACCACAATTCACACTGAGCAGAAACAGGCATTCAAATATTTTGATGGCAAATTTTAACACATCAAGTTCTGTCAGCAATGAGGAACTGCCCAAGTTATTTCATGGCATCAAATACTGCTTGGCCATCAACCAAAATATATCTTTTAAGGAAGATAACAGCCGGGTGCAATGGCTCATGCCTGTAATCCCAAGAACTTCGGGAGGCCAAGGAGGGCAGATCACTTGAGGTCAGGAGTTCAAGACCAGCCTGGCCAACATGGTAAAACCCCATCTCTACTAAAAATACAAAAATTAGCCAGGCATGGTGGCACGCGCCTGTAGTCCCAGCCACTTTGGAGGCTGAGGCAAGAGAACCACTTGAACCCGAGTCGGAGGTTGCAGAGAGCCGAGATCGCGCCATTGTACTCCAGCCTGGGCATCCCAGCGAGACTCTGTCTCAAAAAAAAAAAAAAAAAAAAGGAAGATAAGCAACATTATTTAATTTCATGAAAAGAAACTAGCTGTTTGGCTGCAACTTGCAGGAAAAGTTGAAGCCAAATTTTTTCATGATTATTTACAGTTATGGGCACATACATTACAATATAAATTTTTCTAGCTCTTTCAAAGAACCTTCATGTGAAAGAGCTCCCCACAAATAGGTCTGGAAGATGTAGCCACCTCTATCACTCCCATCTTAACGGTCAGAAATCAAGTCAGTTAAGTGACTTGTCCAAGGTCACATAGGGCAACACTAGGACTTAAATCCAGTTGTTACTCTGTAGCTCATGGTCTTACCTATACCAAGAAGCTGAGAGCATTTTTCAAGCCACTCTTCCCCTTTCATCTCCAAAATCCCCCACGGTCCCCCACCCCCATCTATATAACGTGGGGAAAAATCCATCAAAACTCAACACTTGCAGGCAGGCACAGTGGCTCACGCCTGTAATCCCAACACTTTGGGAGGCCGAGGTAGGCGGATTACCTGAGACCAGCCTGGCCAACATGGTGAAACCTAGTCTCTGCTAAAAAATATCACAATTAGCTAGGCGTGGTGGCGGGCGCCTGTAATCCCAGCTACTGGGGAGGCTGAGGCACGAGAATCGCTTGAACCCAGGAGGTAGAGGTTGCAGTGAGCCTAGATTGCACCACTGCACTCCAGTTCCAGCAAAAAAACAAACAAACATCAAAACAAATAAAAAAAACCCTCAACATTTGGGGCAGGGGGAGGCATTCTATGGCTTGAAAACTAAGAAGTGTCCTTTGTTTCTGCAAAGGAATGAAGGCAGACTTTGGGCATCTTCTGAGGGTCAAACCCAACTTGCATAACTCATTGGAAGTTGACAATCAGGCAAAAGCTGGAATTGGTCCTTAAATCCACTGATATCGACAGAGGCCAGACTTAGTGTAAAAATCCCCAATCCATCAATGCCAAATTGCTCTGAGGTGTTGGGGCCAGGGTGAGAGGGTATGGGGACAGGAGCAGGAGATGAGCTCCATTCCCGGCAATCTGGAATAGAATATGCCCAGAGGATGCACCTCACCCTGATACTGTGAGATGGAGTTATCATTTCAAGAGATTAACAAAACTCAAAGCTTTCTCCCTTGCTAAATTATCGTTCTGGTAATACTTACTATTAAATGAATTTTGGAATGACAGGCGGTTTTTTGCAAGATGGTTATACTCAGTTTTTGGCTAAGAGACCAGAGCCCATTTATGCTTTTTAACGTTCTCCTTAATGACTTAGAAAAGGTCAAAGCAGGAAGATAAAATACAAAAAACAAAAACATTTAGAGGCTGGACACGGTGGCTCACACCTGTAATCCCAGCATTTTGGGAGGCCAAGACAGGCGGATCACCTGAGGTCAGGAGTTCAAGACCAGCCTGGCTAACATGGTGAAACCCCATCTCTACTAAAAATACAAAATTACCCGGGCACGGTGGCATGTACCTATAGTCCCATATACCCGGGGAGGCAGGAGAATGCTGGAACCCAGGAGGCAGAGGTTGCAGTGAGCCAAGATAATGCCAACTGTACTCCAGCCTGGGCGACAGAGCAAGACTCCATCTCGAAAAAAAAAAAAAAAAAAAAAAATTCAGGCAGTAAATTTAGTATTAAGCAGATTTTTAAGGGTTAATTTCAAAAAGCTACACTTGTCAATAACACATGTTACTGTCACATAAATAGCAATGTGGAAAGAGTGCTAGACTAGGAGTCAGGACAGTTTCTGATGAAGTCATTTCATAACCAGGCCTCAGCATTCCCATTTGTAATGGAGAAGCTTCTTCTATGAAGACTTAAGGCCTTTCTTGTGATTTGATTCCTCTTCAGATGCCTCCTCCAATGCACACACACGCACACACAAACACACACACACACACACACACACAATACCATGACATTAATGCTTACTAAATATTCTAGTTGCTGAGATTAGACTGTTCCATTGAGCAAGTTGATCTGCTTCCTTGATATGCCACAGTTTCCCTTCCTCTCCCCAGCCCCCACACAATATCTTGGCTTTAAAGATTAGTGGTGACAGCAGGGCATCGTGGCTCACGCCTGTAATCCCAGCACTTTGGGAGACAGGCAGATCACCTGAGGTTGGAGTTTGAGACCAGCCTGACCAACACAGAGAAACCCCCTCTCTACTGAAAATACAAAATTAGTTGGGTGTGGTGGCTCATGCCTGTAATCCCAGCTACTCGGGAGGCTGAGGCAGGAGAATCACTTGAACCTGAGAGGTGGAGGTTGCAGTGAGCCAAGATCGTGCCATTCCACTCCAGCCTGGGCAACAAGAGCAAAACTCCATCTCAAAAAAAAAAAAAAAAGAAAAGAAAAAAGAAAAAAAGAAAATTATCCAGGCATGGCGGTGCACTCCTGTACTCCCAGCTACTCAGGAGGCTGAGGCAGAAGAATTGCTTGAACCTGGGAAGCGGAGGTTGCAGTGAGCCGAGATCACATCACTGCACTCCAGCCTGGGCGACAGAGGGAAAGTCCGTGTCAAAAAAAAAAAAAATTAGTGCTTTCTAGTGGGGGACAGTGGCTCATGCCTGTAACCCCAGTACTCTAGGAGACTGACATAGGAGGATTGCTATCACTTGAGGCCAAGAGTTCAAGATCAGTGAACTGGGCAACAAAGTGAGAACCCTGTCTCTACAAAAAAATTATAAGAAAAATTAGTGGTTTTCAAACATGTCATATAAAATGTAAATTGGGGCCAGATGAGGTGGCTCACGCCTGTAATCCCAGCACTTTGGGAGGACAGGCAGGAGGGTGGCTTGAGCCCAAGGGTCAGACACAAGCCTGGGCAACATGGTGCAACCCAGTCTCTACAAAAAGAATTTTTTTTAATTAGCCGGGCATCGTGGCATGCACCTTCTCAGAAGGCAGAGGTGGGAGGATCACTTGAGCCGGGAAGGTTGAGACAGCAGTAAGCTGTGATTGCACCACTGCACTCCAGCCTGGGTGACAGAGCAAGACTCCATCTCAAAAAAAAAAAAAAAAAAAAAAAGTTTACAATTGCCTTCAATTGTAGGGCACTGTGCTATGAGACTTTATATTTCAGCTCTACTCCTTACAACACCGCAAAGAGTTACCCTCATTTTACAGATGCAAAAACTGAGGCAAAGCAGAATCTAACCTAGAATCAGAGTGCTCAAGCAAAGCCAAATAATAGACACTTGATTAAGACTGCCTATCAGGAGTCTTACATTTTTCCAACTGTTACCTAAACTTTCTACTCTCCTGCTCAATGCTTATCTACAACATTTCTGGAAGCATTTTCAGTACAAATCTATTGATAATCCTAAGTAATAGAAATATCTCCCTTTGACACTGATCTCGGAGGGCACAGACCAAAATGTGGAGATATATGATCTAAACTCCTGAATTCCTTTAAGTGTCCAATACATGGTAATAATGGCTGCTGATGCCACTCATTCACAATTCTCATTTCTAAAACACCAGTGCTTAAGTAGTCATCCAATCTATATTTAGCAGCAAAACTTAAGTGCAGATTTTTTATACAACAGCATTTTAATAATTATCCCAATTAGTCCCAAAAGAGTATGAAACGACTTCCCCAAATCCACTGGCATTTCAAGAAAAACATTTTAACTGCAAAAGGTTAAGACGAGAAGAAAATGGCTGGCCAAACTTTCCAGAAGTAACAGCTACAGGATGCAGCAGCCAACAGATGTTTACAAAGGCTCTCATTCTCAGAGGCGCCTGACCTGATTGACCACTCAGGCTCCAAGGTCCATTCAAGGGCCCCTGGAATTCACAGGGTGTCAGAACCAGGAGGGTATGTCCTCAGTCTACACAACTGATCTGCACCCACTTTATTCTTTTTTGTGCCCACTGCTCTGCTTTAAAACCTATTAATGTTGACAAAATGTGCTATTCTGCAGAAGCTCTTATAGATAAATGATCACAATCAAGAATTATCCCCCCTTGCAAGGCGCGGTGGCTCACGCCTGTAATCCCAGCACTTTGGGAGGCTGAGGCGGCAGATCACCTGAGGTCAGGAGTTCGAGACCAGCCTGGCCAATATGGCAAAACCCCATCTCTACTAAAAATACAAAATTAGTCAGGCATGGTGGTGCATGCCTGTGATCCCAGCTACTCGTGAGACGAGGCAGGAGAATCGCTTGAACCCAGGAGGCAGAAGGTACAAGGAGCCGAGATCACACCATTACACTCCAGCCTAGGCAACAGAGTGAGACTCCACCCAAAAAAAAAAAAAAGAATTATCCCCCTACCCTTCATGACAAAGGACCTCATTCCCAATAATCACAACTTCAATATGCTAACATAATTACTGAAAACAGTATTTTTATTGCTAAAGACTACTACTTCTATGTGGAAAATTGTTTTTGAGTGAAATACAACTGACTGCTAATTTTTTGTGCCAACTGATAATTTATAGCTTCACTAAAAACAAACTCATAGCCCGGGCGCGGTGGCTCATGCCTGTTAATACCAGCACTTTGGGAGGCCGAGGCGGGTGGATCATGAGGTCAGGAGATCAAGACCATCCTGGCTAACACAGTGAAACCCCGTCTCTACTAAAAATACAAAAACAATTAGCCGGGCATGGTGGCAGGCACCTGTAGTCCCAGCTACTGGGAAGGCTGAGGCAGGAGGATGGCGTGAACCCAGGAGGCAGAGCTTGCAGTGAGCTGAGTTCGCACCACTGCACTCCAGCCTCAGGGACAGGACAGAGCAAGACTCCGTCTCAAAAAAACAAACAAAACACAAAACTCACCTGACCGGGTGTGGTGGCTCACACCTGTAATCCCAGCACTTTGGGAGGCCAAGGTGGGTGGACCATTTGAGGTCAGGAGTTTGAGACCAGCCTGACCAACATGGTGCCACTACACTCCAGCCTGGGTGACAGAGCTCCCTCTCAAAAAAAAAAAAAAAAAAAAAAGAACTCACCTGATGGGAATTAAAGTTCTGGTTAGGAACCATCTAGGATTAGTAGAAAATCTACAGTAAGGATGACAAAAAAAACTATTAGCCTAAGTCTAATATGAGTATCTCTAAAACTCAGGTTTGGATGGGAGTTTGTTTGTGAGACATAGTCTTGTTCTATCGCCCAGACTGGAGTGCAATAGCATGATCCTGGCCCACTGCAACCTCCGCCTCCCACGCTCAAGTGATTCTCCTGCCTCAGCCTCAGTAGCTGGGATTCGTCCGGCTAATTTTTGTATTTTGAGTAGAGATGGGGTTTCACCATGTTGGTAGGCTGGTCTCGAACTCTGGGCCTTATGTGATCTGCCCACGTCAGCCTCCCAAAGTGCTGGGATTGCAGGCGTAAGCCACCGCACCCTGCCTGGATGGGAGTTGAGTGGGATCTTCCCCCATTTCATTTCATTCTACCACCTTCAAAGCCAGTTGTAAGCAAACTGCATTTATCTACAGCATGAGGAAGGCAAGAGATGGCATGGGAGAGGCAAAGATTTACTTTGGAATATCGTTTAAGTCAAACAGTTTCAAATGTAAAGGGACACCACTAGGCCCCCTACTCCTCCCACTTTTTAGGTTGACAAGTCAGAGTCTTGTCAATCAAAACAGTCAATCTGGTTTCAGTCAACTCAGTTTGTGAGTATAGACAAAACCTCAAAAGGAGGGGAATAATTTAGTATTGAACAAGCAGGAGGTCACATCAGCTTTAGAGGAAAGATGGATCAAGCTTACTCTTGCAAGCCACAATGCTTGAAAGGTCAAGAAGAAAAGCGGTAACGGAGTAGGCTTCAATGGGTGGCATCTTGCTCCCTTAAGGCAACTGTAATTCTTTATCATTATCTTTCTCTTGCTCGCTTCCAAAATGTCAGAGATAGCAAAAACAGCCTTAGTGAGCCAGGCCTTTAACCTTTATTAGTTTTATGGGTGGGAGTGGGAGAAGGGGGGAAGCAGTATTTTGAAACTGCCTGCATAGTATAGAATTCATCTCACCCTTTTGCCTGTCAAAAATGACACTGAAATGGTCCTTTATTTGCTAAGAATGAACACAGACAAAATAAACCTTGCCCTGTGTAGAGAACTGGATGGAGAAATGGCAAACCATGTGACTTTTAGCACCAGAAATAACTCAGAGGGGGTTAAATTTTAGAGCTACAGAATTATTTAATGAAAATTTCTCTTGAACCAGAAAAATTTATAAACACGTTTTACCCTGGCAAACCACTTAAAAAAAAGCGTTTTAGCCATTTAACTTCATTGACAGCTTCCACAAGAGCTAACTCCCTTACTATATATGCACGATTATTAGTTCCTTTTTTCAGTGAAAAGACATAAAGCCCAATTATGCTCATAATTTTACATGTGAGGAGAAAGTTGCATCCATATTAAGTAGTACTTGAGGAAACTAGACATTTAAGCCTCCTGAGATCCTTCTAGAAAAGGACTACCTAAGGGCCAGGCACAGTGGCTCACACCTGAATCCCAGCACTTTGGGAGGTCGAGTTAGGCAGATCACCTTGAGGTCAGGAGCTCAAGACCAGCCTGGCCAACATGGTGAAACACCGTCTCCACTAAAAATACAAAAATTAGCCAGGCATGGTGGCACATGACTGTAGTCCCAGCTACTTGGGAGGCTGAGGCTGAAGAATTGCTTGAACCAGGGAGGCGGAGGTTGCAGTGAGCCAAGATCGCGCCACTGAACTCCAGCCTGGGTGACACAGCGAGACTCCATCTCAAGAAAAAAAGAAAAGAAAAGGACTATCTAGCCCAGCGAGGTGGCTCATGACTGAAATCCCAGCATTTTGGGAGGCCTAGGTAGGCAGGTCGCTTGACCTTGGGAGTTTGAGACCAGCCTGGGCAACATGGCGAAACGCCATCTCCACAAAAATTACAAAAATTAGCCAGGTGTGATGGCTAGAGCCTGTAGTCCCAGCTACTTGAGAGACACAGGCAGGAGGATCTCTTAAGCCTGAGAAGTCAAGGCTTTAAGGAGCTGTACAACTGCACTCCAGCCTGGGATGAGTGAGACTCAGCCTTAAGAAAAGGACTAGGGCCAGGCGCGGTGGCTCTTGCCTGTAATCAATCCCAGCCCTTTGGGAAGCCGAGGCAGGTGGATCACCTGAGGTCAGGAGTTAGAGACAAGCCTGGCCAATATGGTGAAACCCCGTCTCTACTTAAAAAAAAAAAAAAGAAAGAAAAAAAATTAGCCGGACAAGGTGACGAGCGCCTGTAATCCCCGTTACTTGGGAGGCTGAGGCAGGAGAATCACTTGAACCCGTGAGGTGGAGGTTGTAGTGAGCCAAGACTGCACCACCGCACTCCAGCCTGGATAACAAGAGTGAAACTCCATCTCAGAAAAAAACAAAAGGACTAAATAAAAGTATTAAGTAAGTAGCTATAATACAATGGGAGGGAGAACTAGATGGGAAATGGCAATTTTTACCTAATCTTCAAACACTTTTTTTTTTCTTTTTTTGAGACAAGTCTCACTGTTGCCCAGGTTGGAGTGCAGCGGCACGATCTCGGATCACTGCGGCCTCCGCCTCCCCAGTTCAAGCAATGCTCCTGCCTCAGCCTCCTGGGTAGCTGGGACTACAGGCACGCGCCACCACGCCTGGCTAATTTTTGTTGTATTTTTAGTAGAGACAGGGTTTCACCATGTTGGCCAGGATGGTCTCGATCTCTTGACCTCGTGATCCGCCCGCCTCGGCCTCCCAAAGGCGCGGTGGCTCACGCCTGACCCTCTTCAAACACTTTTAGGAAGATTTCCCTGTATCTTTTTAGATAGTCTCGCTCCGTCACCCAGGCTGGAGTGCAATGGCATGATCTCGGCTCACTGCACCCTCGGCTCACTGCAACCTCCGCCTCCTGGGTTTCCCCATTTCAAGTACAACTATTTCACTTTGAAAACAATGTCAATGATAAAGAACAAATACCGTTGTCAAATGAAGAACTGGAAGTCTAGAAAAAGTAACGTTTTTTTCCCCAAATATCTTGTCTTCCAAAATGTATATTCCTAGAATTGGAAATAAAAATCTTGTATCAAATCTATGCAATCCCCAAACCACTAAAACCACTATAGTTTATCTTTGTAAAGGAAGGAAACTGAACAAATAATCACAAAAGGTTTCCCAGACAGTGCTGATACCACAACAGCCTCCATACTACTAGCACAGTTTATGACAGGTTATGCCTTCAAGGCAACCTCATCAGCACAGGCTTGCCAAACTAGCTGTGGCCCACTTCCTGAGGGTCCATGTTGAAAAATCCATTCCTATGCACTTTAATGGAACTACCTTAAGCCCACAAAGGCTAAGCAATTAACATATCAATAACGAACATTTCCCTCCCATATATTTTTATCAAGCATTTTCTGAATTCAGTAGGCTTCCTAATGTCTACCTGCTGAACTGGATTCAAAGCAGCAACCTCTGTAATTATTTTCAAGGCAGTTAGGTTTGGTTTTCCAGCCAGTAGGTGAGATGTCTGCACTCAGAGGACATATTCACCCAGTAGTGTAGAGCAGGTTGAAAGCAGGTAACAGAAATACTAGAATACCCATTTCTGTTCACTTTCTCTCCTTGTCCTTCCTTTAAAAAAATTTTTTTTAAAAATTTGTTGAAATTAATATGAATCAATCGGATTCCAATTAAAATGCCAATTTCTTGTAGAAATTCTCAAAGTTTATCATAAATTTCACCAACTTAGTTACATCTGATCGCCTCTAAAGACGGAAAAGATAGGAAAGTGGTTCTTTAGCTATACCTACATTTCACACCCTTAAAAAGAGAATTACTTCGACATGCAGTGTAAGTGGGAAAATTTGTATTATGCTTTTAAAAATATTTTGGTATGGATTTTATAATTTATGCAAGAACATGAATATAATTTAAAATAAGCATGCATACACTGAGTATATGCAGACCTGAAAAAACTTAGACTTTGGGAACAGAGAATAATATACACTGGTGCTGAATACAGGTACAGTCCCATTTACAATATGACTTAAAATATACAAAACAAATTCACACAGCAACCGATTATTTTAGGCAGCAAACCTCCTTGTTCCAAGTGACTGAAGCCACTTTAAGTTTCCTGCCAGGAGACAGTCCCAGGAGTGCTCAATGTTCAGGGTCAAATCAAGTTGGAATTCTAGAACTTTTCTCTTCAGGAGGCATTTTAAAGCCCAACACAGGGACCGCATGGATTCTACCAACACCTGCACCCCTTTTTCCAACCAGACTCCAGAAAACGCCACCCCCAGACCTGCCTAACTGGGAACAATATTGCCATCCTCGGGTGGGGCGGGCTACAATGTTTTCCAGGTGGCAACAATGTCACCCCCACTGCCCCTCACCGCTAGTGACAGAGGCTTTCCTGGGTTCAAACCCTGCTCAACTTCCCGCCATTCACAGAATCCTGACGCCCAGCTTAGGCACACAACACACCCAGCATTTCTGCTGCCGGTGTCGCCTCCAAGGCTGCAAAGGGCTCACGTTCTATGTGCCAAAAGCAAAACAACACTAAAGGGTCACTTGTGAGCAGCTGGAGCAGCGCTCACAACTCCCTAGTTGTGAAACTCTTCCCCCAAAACTCAAGCGAAGACCCTACTCCATGACCAGAGCGGCCGTGAATACCCCAGCGGGTGCCTGCGGGGAGAAGAGCAGCCGCCGGCCAGGCCACGTCCCCAGAGCCGAGGCAGGCTCCGGGCTGGCCGGGCGGCGGCGCAGGCCCGCGGCGACTCTACCTGCGCCCGCCTCTCCCGGGACCCGCGGCACGCAGCGGGCCCGCGGCCAGCTGTTCCGGGGACGGCGACCTCGGATTCCTCGCCTTGGATTCCCCGCCCGGATGCCGGCTGGGCCACGGAGCCTGCAGGCCTTTCGGACTCTGGAGGCACAGAACTAGTGAAAAGCCCCAACTATGTTGTTGAAATAAGCCAAAATAAAAGAGTAGCAGCAAGTACGTCTCATTATTTCGTTGGAAAACCCAAAGATTTCCAGGTTATCATCATTACGGTTTAAAGCCAATTGCTCAGACGAGACACCTTACTTGCCAATCCTAAGAAGGCATTTTACAAGGGGATGCTTAAGGAAGAAAGTCCCCCTGGGCGAGAGACCCTGCAGGCTGGGGTAGGGTGTTTGGGCCTCCTTCCCAAGGTCAGGTGGCCTGAGTCACTATAAGGAAAAGGTGCTACTCTGAATTATTTAACGGAGCCTGTGGACAAGGGAAGCAACTCAGTTAAGGAGCTCATCTTAAAAATTGAGGTAGACAGTATACACATTAAAATATGTGGATTTAGGCATTCAGTGTATCGCAGTCCAGATATGGGTCAGTCTATCATCCTCCAAAAATGTCCTAAAGCTCCTTCCCAGCCAGAGAGGGATGACTTTTTAAAGGAACAATATTCTCAAACTGTTAACGAGATCAAAAGAAAAGGAATTATTTAAGCTGTAGGTGGAACCGTTTATGAACCTCACTACCTGTTAGTGCTGTCTCTCCTAACACTTTAGTCTTCTACTCAGAACACTGGTTTGTCACCTTTAATCTCAAATTTCTAGCGTTCTAAATCCAGGAATGAATAAAAAGGCCAAACAACTTCCGAAATGTTTTTAATGAAAAGCTAAAGGGAGCAAGCAGAATCTTGCTCAAAACTGAGCAAATTTTATGTTAAGGATTATTAGTTACTTCAACCTGACATTGCACATGCTAAAAAGTGAATTTGAAGAGCTTCCGAGTACCTCCCAGGGTGAGTGGAGAGCTTCACTTCTCAATTCACACTCCCCAATGCAGTTTGAAGGGTTTTCTAATTTTAAAAGTGAATAAATCTTTTACAAGTCTGCCAACACTGAGCATCTACTGTTTCAGCCCAAATAAAATATAGGTGTATCTTTAACTGGAAATATAAACTGACATTTAAACTAAAAGCACCTCTCAGAAGGGGAAACTCCTGGATTCAACCCCATTCTGCTCACCCTGCATTTGATCCCAAACTGCAAGTGAATTGGCTCCATTTTTCTGTTCCTGGGATTTGGATCGGTATTTACCTCAATCACTCATTTTTCTAAAAGTGATGAAAGAACATGAACCCACAGTATATTAAAACTAGGAGTCCATTCAAAGTTTAAAAACGGAAAAAAAAGATAACTGCCCCCTAGCTTCTTACCTAGAAGAAACCTTTTAAAAGGAGATGCCTACAACAAGTAGATTAGAATTTCAACTTTTTTCCAACAGGAGAAGCCAGCTAAAGGCCATCAGGCAATAGCTCCGCCCTCCTCCCCAAATAACAGGTTAGGAGTGGAAAAGGCAGCGGCGCTGGGCTCACCTTTGCGGTGCTCGGTACCCACTCTCCAGCTCACACAGGCCACGACCCCCACTATGGCTTTTAAAGCCTCTGCAGTCTCCAGCTTACGCTCTAAGTCAAGACTTTCACCCACACCCTCTCTTACCGGTCTACAGGTAGATCGCCTAAGTTACCGACCCCCTCGGCAAGAGCCCGCTTCTCAAGACTTTTGGCCTGCCTTCATTGGGTTCGGGGGAGAAGACGACACTCGCATAATACCAAAGTGGAAAGGAGAAAGGGGTCACACTGTGTGAAAAGCAAATGTTTACTCGACAGCCCAAAGGGCGAAATCGAGCCCGAGGGTTGCAATGTAGCCCTAAAAGCCTTTGCACTCCGGCGTTCCAGCAGCGTACGGCTGCCTTGGTCTTTTCCAAGGAAGTCGAGACCCTGGTTGAGCCGGGTGGATACCTCCTAACCAGGGAAACCGGTTCCTGTAGGGCTTGGAGTCGGGGCAGGCGGGCGCGGCCCAAGAGACTCAGGCTGGTGAAGGTAACGTCGTCCCTTTATTCCGCTTCTATCTCGGGGTGCAGCCGTGGGCCCACGAACGGCGATTTCACGCTAGGAGAATTCAGGGGCCAGAACACGCATTTTAAACAATATAGGAAGCAGCCGCAGAGAGAGAAGGGCTTAAGACTGGGGGCCCTTGGCCCTCAAAGATCCACAGACGCTCCCACTCTTACCCAACATAAGGAGGCAAGGACTGCCATGCTGTCCCAACAACAAAAAAACCAGTCTTCCCCTCACAAGTGCGCACGTGGAAACCAGGTCTACGGAGGCACACAAACTCCACGCACTCACCCACACAACCATCTCTTCCGGGCTCACGCCCCATTTTAAAGGCAACAATCTATGAGTTTTCCAAACAAAAATCTGAAAATAAAGGAGCGCCTTCTCAGCACGTTGGGAGGCCTCTGGTGTGCCCACAAGAGCAGGAGCAGGCCACGTCTACACAAACACACACACCTATCTCCTCCCAACTCACGCCTAACTCAAGACGATTGCCGCGTTTTGCCACACAGAAATTAAAATCAGAAAAGGGAGGACCCCACGCTATGGGATTTTTCGGAGCCCCTCGCGACACGTACACAGAATCCACTTCCACATACTTCCCAGGTCATGATCTACTTTGGTAGCAAGGACTGCCACGTAGCCAAAGGAAATACAAACCAAATCCGGAGAGGGCCTCCTCCCCTCGCTGTGGGACCGGCCGGGAAACGCTGTTGAGCACACACGCAGTTATCCGATGGACACAAACACACGCCCCCACGCACTCACCTCGTCGTCGTGGTGCTGGCAGAAGCCGAGGCGCTCGGGAAACACTGAGAGGATGGAGAAGGGCGGGCCGGGAAAGGGCGGCCCGAGCCCGAGCTGCTGCGCCGCTGCTGCGGCACCGGGACCCGGCGGGCCGCGCTCGATGTAGTGGTCCTTGGTGAGGCGCACGCGCTGGTGCGCTCGGACGCAGTTGTCGCACAGGTGCTCCTGGCAGTCGAGGCAGCGCGAAGAAGCTGCGTTGCCCTCATCGCACGAGCTGCAGCCGTGAGGACGGCGGAGCAGCAGCGCCGACGGGGAAGCGGCAGGGCCGCCGGGTGCCGAGCGGGAAGGCGCGGGCGGCTGCGGCGCCTGCGGGAGTGGCGGCGCGGAGGCGGACGCGCGCGGGTGCGCGTGGTGAGCGTGGTGCCGGTGGTTGCTGTGGCCGCCCGCTCCCGCCGGAGCGCCGGCGCGCCCGTTCTTGGGCGGCGGCTCGTCGGCAGTGGCCACCACCGCGTCGAGCAGGTTGCTAAGCAGGAAGGCGGACGAAGGCAGCGCGTCCATACCCGCCGCCTCGGCTAGCACTACTTTCTGGTCGCACACGGGGCAGCGCAGCTTGAGCGGCTCTCCCGCCGCGCCGCCGCCCGCCGCCGGCAGCCGGTGCGCCTCGAGGCAGGGGCGGCAGAAGGCGTGCAGGCAGGGCAGGACGTGTAGGCGGCGCGCCGCCGCCCCAGGGCCCCCGCCGCCGCCCCCCGACGACGTGGACGTCTGCGAGGAGGACGACGACGCGGACGAGTTGGAGGAGAGCGGCGCCGGCGAGCCGCACATCTCCTTGCACAGCAAGCAGATCTGGAAATCGGTCTCGGGGAACGAAGCCATTTGCAACCCAGCCCGGAGGAGGGAGGAGACCAGAGAGGAAGAGGAGGAGGAGGAGGAGAGAGCGGACGAGGTGGGTGGGGGAGTCACCGACTCACTCAGAAAAATGCATCGATTAGGCCTGCAATCCGGGAGCCGGCACCAGAGCAGCGCTGCCCGCTTGGCCTCGCCACGTCCGGCCCGAGCGCTGCCACCCCCGACACTGCAGGCATTAAATGCCACTATCCAGCGGCGACACAGATTCCTCCGGATAACTTGGGGGCCGCGTGCCTTCCGAAGAGGGAACGCCGGAACAAGCCCCGACAGGCGAGGGGCGAGCGGGGGCAGGGAGGTCGGAAGACTCCCTGGAGCAGCTGAGGCTTCCCTTCGCGATAGACGAAAGGAGTTCCCAAAAGGAGAGTTCGCTGTGCAGTCCCAGTCCCGGCGAGAGCAGAATTTGGTTCCACGAGTATTTGGTGCGTTGCTTTTCTTTAAACGGATTTAGTCTGTTCTTGGGAGGGGAAGGAGCCCCAAACTAGTAAAGGCGGGAGCGGTGCGTCGCCAAGCCGGTGTCTCCCCGCGCGACGTCGGCTGCCCCGCCGCATGACGCGGCGGCCAGGGGCTCCTGGGTGGCCCGGCGTGCTGCGCTTGGGGCTTGCGCACAGCCAGGCACGGCCTCCCCTGCAGGGCGGTGGGCCCCGCAGCAGCTGCAGCTCGTGGTGGCCCAGCCGCGGCCGCACGCGTGCAGTACGCACGCGCGTCCCACGCGCCTCGAGTCTTCCGCGCGCCTGCCCAGCCGGGCCGCGGCTGCCCGCGCTTAACACGCACGCGCGCCCCACGCGGCCCGGAGCCCTCGTGCCCCCGCCTCGCCTGGCCTGGGCGCCTCACGCACGCTCCTTCCCCTTCGGCTTAGCGCGCGGGGCCGCAGGTCCCCGCGGGCCGCCCTGAATTATTCATCGGCAGGAAGATATTAGATGTACCCGCTCCGCGCGGGCCGTCGTGCAATGCTATCCGAGCTCCGCGCGCGCCCTGCGCCCCTCCTCCTCCTCACGTCCGTCCTCTCTGAAACCTTGGCAGAGAAGGGGGATCACATTTCCTTTGTCATCGGGCCATTTCGCCCTCGCCTTGGTCCCCCCTCCGATCCCGAGCCTCGGGGATGGAGGCTCCTCTCGGGCGCGCTGGAATCAGTGGAACCGGCAACAGCCCCGCGCGGCGAGCTCGGGAGCCGCGTGGCCAACGCCGCCGGCTCGCGCCCGCGTCATCTTCTTTCTGAAAGGAGTCGCCGATCCGGACGCGGGTGGCCTCGGCCGCGCTGCGCCTACCGAGCTTTGCTCCCGCCGTGCCCCGGCCTCCTGGGGCTTTGCACAACTCCCCCAGTTCGGGTTGCGTGCGCGCGCGCGCGCCCCCTCTTTCTCTGCTTTGCCGCCTCTGCCTCCTCCTCCTCCTCCTCTTCTCTTCAGTACGCCGGTTATTGGGACTGATCGGAATTCGGAATCCTTTTAATCTCCAAAGGAGCAAACTCACTTCCGCCCGAGTGCTGGGAGGGGGCTGGGGGAGGGGAGGCAGGGGAGGGGGCTCCAGGCAAACAGGAAACATTAGCCCTCTCAGCACGGCCCGCTTTTGTGTGCTCCCTCCCTCCGCCCTCCAACCTCCTCCCTTCTCCCGGCCGCTGGGGAGATGAACGCCCCCGGGCTTCAGTGTGACGACCTTTGAAACCTTCTGAGCGAGGAGCAGAGAACGACTCTTCCGTTTATTTAAAAAAGAAAAGAAAAGATTTCATTCTGAATCCCTGGCTCAACCGAGACATATCCACTGCCCGGGAGATCTCGGTTTTTACCCACCTTTTCTTTTTTTCTTTTTACGTTTTTTAAAGAACTCTGCATATCTGATCACCAAAACATCACACGGTGGTGTGCAGTTGGATGCATGGAATTAAGCGAGTCTGAATTCTGATCGGCAGAGGGGCCAGAGTTCCCTTTTGAGTTTTAATGGGGCTGGGGGGAAGCAGGGGGCAGCTGTTCTGGGGAGGCGACCTGGTGATGGCCCCGCAGCCATCTGGGTGGTGCCCGAGGCCGCCTGAGCGGTTCTGGGAGAGGAACTTGCATGGCCCTGGAGAGAGACTCACTTGGAAGGGCAAGGAGGGCCACTTACCAGGATATAGGTAGTATCTGGCCTGGAGGCCAACGGGGTAAAAATTGTCCCCTTCTTAACACTATCTCGCTGTTAGTGATATCCTATTTAACCTGGTACAGGCAACAACCTGATGACTCAAAAACATCGTGTTGGGAGAGAGAAGCCAAACACAAAAGAGTTCATACTGTGTGATTCCATTTCCAGGAAATTCTAGAACAGAGAACTAAGCTATGGGGAGAGGAAAAGTACCCTTGGGGATGAGGAGGTATTGACTGGGAAAGGGCATGAAGGAACCTTCTGGGGTGGTGAAATAAAAATAGATTGCCGTGTATGTACATTTGTCAAAACTTATAAATGCCATTTAAGATCTATGCACGATTTCACTGTTTAAATTATACTTCGATAAGCAATTTAAAAAAACACCTCGGTGTCCAACCTGCATAACTATGCCTGGATCATAAAGATGGAGAAATTTAAAAATACACTACATGGACCTCCCCAGCTCCTCTGGTTTTGCTCATTGGAATCCATGGGAAAATCACCCTGGAAAAAGCCCTTAAATCAACCCAGCTGGACACATGTGCTGATGGCCCTAGGAAGCTGCAGAAGTACCTCTCCAAAAGGATGAAGCCGTCTTGGGGGCCAGGGTGCTGTCCTGAGATGGGAGCGTTTCCTAGGCTGAGGAAGAGCCTGGCAGCCCCACCGGGAATGCCTAAGCCCTCAGCTGCCCCCAGAGCTCCCTCCTTAGCACCTGGAGCAAAATGAACATCAGTGAACATTTTCTGAAATGTGTGAGGAGTGAAAAATTATTGATCAAATAAGACCAAAACAGAGCCCCTCCTTTGCCAAACGAAGAAGCAAACTTTGTATAATTTAAAAATTAAAGAGGAAGCTTCTCATGCCACCATCTCTTGCCTAAACAATGTATTTCTTCCATAATTTGAGACCTGTGTAGAAACATGAAATGCTCATATGAATCAATGCACTCCTATAATTTTTTACCATAATTTTCTACCATACTGGCCTTGCCATAGAGATGTTTCATGTAATTTTGTTTTGTTTCGTTTCTTTTCCTTTCTTTGATTGTTTTTCCTTCTTTTTTAAAAAACAAAAACAAGAGGAAAACAGATGGGGGAAGAGAATTGCCAGAAGGAAGATGGCCCCAGAGGGTCAGAAGAGGGATGGCCCAGACCTGCTGTCTCCCTCTTAGTTTGGCCCCACCCACCACCAAAAAAAGAAAGAAAGAAAAAGAAAAGAAAGATGACAAGGAAAAAAAACCTCAATCGTCCTCCTGGTCCTAAGACTCAACATGTATTTTGAAAACGAGTAGCAGAGGTGGTACTTCAGCTGAGCCATCACGGAGGAGCAGGAAGGCTGTAACTCCAGAAAG
Source organism: Homo sapiens (assembly GCF_000001405.40). Lineage (NCBI taxonomy): Eukaryota > Metazoa > Chordata > Mammalia > Primates > Hominidae > Homo > Homo sapiens. The sequence continues at coordinate 182,807 of NW_025791770.1, read as the reverse complement.
AGGAATCAAACTTGACAGCGGTTTGTGGGTTTGTTTCCTGGGGACCATTGCTCAGAGGAAAAAAAAAAAAAGGAAGAAAAGAGAGAGCGAGAAGTGGGGGTGAGGTTTGATTTCTCATCGTGAAGTAGCTTTCCTTCTTTCTTTTCTTGAATTGACAGCACATTGCCAGGAAGCAGGCCTGTAGTGTAAATTGTTAAATTAGCACATTCCTAATTTTGGTTAAGACAATTTTTTAGCACTGGTAGCAAAGGGGGAAATCTTTAAGTCAACCAATTTAACCCCACTTATATAAGAAATACAGCTTATAGCTATAATGATTTTTTTTAATATGGCATAGCGACGGTTAGTATTTGAATCTAATAAGGCTTTATACAGCTTATCCATGAGGAGCCAGAGCTACACATCCAGATGAGGAGCCAAAGACACAGTCCACTGCTATAAACTACGTTGTATTAAATTTTTCATTGCCATCCTAGCTAATAAACACCCTTTGTTAGCAAAGGAGGAGGACGCAGGCTTCCAGTTTTTCCTCCACTCATTTACATTTGAAAGGGAGTCTATATGCCTTCAAGAATCCTGAAAATAAATCATCTTGTATTTTAATAATTAACTAAAAAGAAACTAAAGGTACAAAAAACTAGCCGTGTGTGGTGGCAGGCGCCTGTAATCCCAGCTATTCGGGAGGCTGAGGCAAGAGAATTGCTTGAACCCGGGAGCCGGAGGTTGCAGTGAGCTGAGATCCTGCCACTGAACTCCAGCCTGTGTGACAGAGCAAGACTCCGCCTCGTAAAAAAAAAAAAAAGAAAGAAAAAAAAGAAACTAGCCCTAAAATTATATAAGCAATACATTTTCATTCTTTCTTGAATTCATCTGTAGCCATGTTTTGTATTCAAAGGTGACACTAGCTTCTGTCACTCTCTCAGACCTTGGGTTGGGGGTTAGGCCACATTTCCATCTGAGCGACTTCGCATCTGCTTTCTTCATCTGATCCTTTAATTAAATATTAGATGCACCCACTTGTTTTGATGTCAAAATTGCACCTTTCACCATCATCCTCAGGGTGCATTCAGATAGTTTTTAAGTCCATAAATCACCAGAGTATTTTTTTAAACATTAAACATTACATCATAATTACTATTTTGAACGATGGCAGGGGGTGAGGGGATGGGATGGGGGGAACCAGCCTAACCTACTGAATCATTGCCTGCATCCTGCCGGTTAGGGGGGATGGAGTTCTTACACACCAGGCCAACTCTTCACTGCAGCCTGACTCTGGCCTTGGAATCATTAACAGAGTGTGTCAGCTGCTTTCAACAACCCTGAGTCCAGAACAGCAACATGTCAGATGATATCATGGGAGCTCTAGTCACCTAGAACTTTATAAATTAGAATAGAGAAACTTGAATTGCACATATAAAAGGTAAAAGTAAATATCTAGCTTTGGTGGTTAACTACAGAACTCAGCTAAACTAACACTTCAGCTCCACTACCCTTTTTTTCTTTTTTTTCCTTTTTTCTTTTTTTTAGAGACAAGGTCTTACTGTGTTGCCCAGGCTGGTCTCAAACTCCTGGCCTCAAGCAATCCTGCTGCCTCAGCCACCCAAAGTACTGGGACTACAGACTTGAGAGCTCCACCACGCTTAACTGGAGCTTTGGACAAGTTGCTTAACCCTTCGGTGCCTCAAATTTTTAATCCATGTAATGGGAATGATACAGGTACCTGACTATCAGGGTTAAATGAGTTACTAAATGTACAGTGCTTAGTATAGTACCAAGCTATAAATGTTCACTTTTTTTTGTTTTGTTTGTTTTTTGTTTTTATTTTTATTTTTTTGAGATGGAGTATCGCCCTGTTGCCCAGGCTGGAGTGCAGTGGCGTGATTTTTGCTCATTGCAACCTCTACCTCCCAGGTTCAAGCAATTCTCCTGCCTTAGCCTCTCAAGTAGCTAGGACTACAGGAGCGTGCCACCATGCCCGGCTAATTTTTTTGTATTTTTAATAGAGATGGGGTTTCACCATGCTGGCCAGGCTGGTCTCGAGCTCCTGACCTCGTGATCCACCTGCCTCGGCCTCTCAAAGTGCTGGGATTACAGGCGTGAGCCATGGCGCCGGGCCCCATGTTCACTGCTTTTTTTTTTTTTTTTTTTTTGAGACGGAGTCTTGCTCTGTCGCCCAGGCTGGAGTGCAGTGGCGCGATGTATGCTCACTGCAAGCTCCACCTTCCGGGTTCACGCCATTCTCCTGCCTCAGCCTCCCGAGTAGCTGGGACTACAGGCGCCCGCCACCATGGCCGGCTAATTTTTTTTGTATTTTTTAGTAGAGACAGGGTCTCACCATCTTAGCCAGGATGGTCTCAATCTTCTGACCTTGTGATCCGCCCGCCTCGGCCTCCCAGAGTGCTGGGATTACAGGGATGAGCCACCGCACCCAGCCGTTCACTGTTTTTTAATCATTGGTATTCACCGGGTGCAGTGGCTCACACCTATAATCCCAGCTCTTATGGAGGCAGAGGCGGGAGGATAGCTTGAGCCCAGGAGTTCGAGACCTGCCTGGGCAATATAGCGAGACCTCATTCTCCACAGAAAGAGGGGGGAAAAAAAGACCAAAAAAAAAAGTGTAATAATTGGTATTCAGCAGAGTGGTTTGCAAACTGCCTGCCGACACTTAAGTTTGTCATTGTCTAATCACTACTCTCCCCTGGACCTCAACATCTCACACAACAAACCACATCCTCCTTCCCCTCCATAATAGAAAGTTGTAGTCTTGCCTCTTGTCATTCCCAGCTCAAGACCCCAAAGTGGCTGCCTGCTGCCAACCATTTTAAAGCTAAACTGTCATTCCGGATTTTTGAAAATGAAATTTGTGTCTTTCATAATAAGGGTTAAAAACAATGAAAGTTGTTTTTAAAATATAGGCTGGGCGTAGTGGCTTATGCCTGTGATTCCAGCACTTTGAGAGACCGAGGAGGGCAGATTGCTTGGGCCCAGGAGTTTGAGACCAGCCTGGGCAACATGGCGAAAACCCATCTCTACAAAAAATACAAAAAATTATCCAGGGCTAGGCGTGGTGCCTCACCGAGGCAGGCAGATCACCTGAGGTCAGGAGTTCGAGACCAGCCTGGCCAACATGGTGAAACCCTATCTCTACTAAAAATACAAAAATTAGCCAGGCATGGTGGCGCACGCCTGTAATCCCAGATACTTGGGAGGCTGAGGTAGGAGAATCGCTTGAACCCGGGAGGTTGAGGTTGCAGTGAGCCGAGATCCTGCCACTGCACCCCAACCTGAATTACAGGGCGAGATCTTGTCTCAAATAAATAAAGCAGAAAAATCAAAAGCTATATAAATCAATACATGCTGTTAAGCCTGACCAGCTTCTTACTCCAAATGCTGCCTGATTTTGTAGCTGAAAATTTTTACGCCATTTATTCATCCTTGTTTGGCCTAGTCCTCTCCTTCACTCATTCTTTGAATTCACCTGCTGTAGAATTCAAGGGCTCCCTCTTACCTAGAAAAGTTAACTCAACTGCTTAACCTGACAGCCGAAGACCTCTCTAGTCTCTCATAACTCCCTGTCCAGTATTACTTCCTTTTTTTGTGTTTTTAAATTTTATTTTATTTTATTTTATTTTATTTTATTTTATTTTATTTTGAGACAGAGTCTTGCTCTGTCACCAGGCTGGAGTACAGTGGCACGATCTCGGCTTGCTACAACCTTCACCTCCCAGGTTCAAGTGATTCTCCTGCCTCAACCTCCCGAGTAGCTGAGATTACAGGCATGCACCACCACATCAGCTAATTTTTGTATTTTTAGTAGAGACGAGGTTTCACCATGTTGGCCAGGCAGGTCTCGAATTCCTGATCTCAGGTGATTCAACCACCTCGGCCTCCCAAAGTGCTGAGATTACAGGCATGAGCCACCATGCCCGACCCAGTATTATTTCCATCACTCTTCCACACGAGGCCCACCCGCAACCATCATATACCCAGACTCAACTGCTTAGGACCCATTATGGCTCCCATTTTTATTTTGCATTATTATTATTATTATTATTATTATTATTATTAGATAACAGGGTCTCACTGTGTTGTCCAGGCTGGAGTGCACTGGTGCCATCATAACTCCCAATATAGCTTCTGCCTGGCGGTTCCAACTCAGCCTTTTCCCTCCTCCCAGAACATGACTACTTTGATTAATAAAGCATGGCAGAAGTAATGCTATGCCAGGTCCAGGCCTAAACTTTAAGAGAATTGGCAGCTTCCACCTTGGTCTCTCATAGCCTGAGCCACGACGTAAGAAGTCTGACCTTCCTGGCCGGGCACGGTGGCTCACGCCTGTAATCCCAGCACTTTGGAAGGCCGAGGCGGGTGGATCACGAGGTCAGGAGATCGAGACCATCCTGGCTAACACAGTGAAACTCCGTCTCTACTAAAAATACAAAAAATTAGCCGGGCGAGGTAGCGGGTGCCTGTAGTCCCAGCTACTCGGGAGGCTGAGGCAGGAGAATGGTGTGAACCCCGGGGGGCGGAGCCTGCAGTGAGCCATGATCGTGCCACTGCACTCCAGTCTGGGCGACAGCAAGACTCTGTCTCAAAAAAAAAAAGAAAAGAAAAAAAAAAAAAAAGAAGTCTGACCTTCCTTCCAGAGAGACCACATGAAGAGGCTCAGAATCTCCATGAAGGACAGGGACTCACTGGAGCCCAGCCTCCCAACTGTCCCTGCCAAGGTGGTAGTGTAAGAGTGAAGCCATCTTGAAACCTCCATCCTTGAACATCCCACCCAGCCGAGCCTGTCTGAATTCCTGATCCACAAAATTATGAAATATAATGGTATGACTGTTGCTTTAAGCCACTATATTTTGTGGTCATTTGCTGCAGCATAGCAATAAATAATTGGGACATCCATTACTCTCAGCTCTTCTTTTTTTTTTAGACAGAGTCTTGCTGTGTCGCCCAGGCTGGCGTGCAATGGTGCAGTCTAGGTTTACTGCAACTTCCGCCTCTCAGGTTCAAGTGATTCTCCTGCCTCAGCCTCCCAGGTAGCTGGGATTACAGGCACACACCACCACACCCGGTTAATTTTTTTTTTTTTTTTTTTGTAGACAAGTGGTTTCACCACGTTGGCCAGGCTGGTCTCAAACCTCTGACCCCCTGATCCACCCTCCTCAGCCTCCCAAAGTGCTGAGATTACAGGCTTGAGTGACCGCGTGCGGCCACTCCCAGCTCTTTTTTTAAAGCAGCTTCATTGGCCAGGCACAGTAGCTCACACCTGTAATCCCAGCACTTTGGGAGGCCAAAGAAGGAGGATTGCATGTGCCCAGGAGTTTGACACCAGCCTGAGCAACACAGCAAGACCCTCATCTCTACAAAAATTTTAAATTAAAGAAAAAAATTTTTTTTTTTTTTTGATACAGAGTCTCACTCTGTCACCTAGGCTGGAGTGCAGTGGCACGATCTTGGCTCACTGCAAGCTCCGTCTCCCGGGTTCACACCATTCTCCTGCCTCAGCCTCCCGAGTAGCTGGGACTACAGGCGCCTGCCACCATGCCCGGCAAATTTTTTGTATTTTCAGTAGAGACTGGGTTTCACTGTGTTAGCCAGCTTGTCTCGAACTCCTGACCTCAGGTGATCCACCTGCCTCGGCCTCCCGAAGTGCTGGGATTACAGGTGTGAGCCACCGCGCCCAGCCAGAAAAAAATTTTAAGGCCGGGCACAGTGGCTCACGCCTGTAATCCCAGCATTTTGGGAGGCTGAGGCAGGTGGATCATGAGGTCAGGAGATTGAGACCATCCTGGCCAACATGGTCTCTACTAAAAATAAAAAAATTAGCCAATCATGGTGGCGTGCACCTGCAGTCCTAGCTACTCAGGAGGCTGAGGCAGGAGAATCGCTTGAACCCGGGAGGTGGAGGCTGCAGTGAGCCGAGATAGTGCCACTGCACTCCAGCCTGGGCAACGGAGTGAGACTCTGCCTCAAAAAAAAATTGAGGGGAGACTTTTTTTTTCTTTTTTCTTTTTTTATTTTGAGACGTAGTCTCGCTCTATTTCCCAGGCTGGTGCCATCTTGGCTCACTGCAGCCTCCACTTCCTGGGCTCAAGCGATTCTCCTGCCTCAGCCTCCTGAGTAGCTGGGATTGCAGGTGCTCACCACCATGCCCGGCTAATTTTTTGTATTTTTAGTAGAGACAGGGTTTCACCACGTTGGCCAGGCTGGTTTCAAACTCCTGACCTCAGGTGATCCACCCGCCTTGGCCTCTCAAAGTGCTGGGATTACAGGCGTGAGACACCACGCCTGACCTTTTTTTCTTTTTTTGAGACAGAGTCTTGCTCCGTCATCTGGGCTGGAGTGCAGTGACGTGATCTCAGCTCACTGCAACTTCTGCCTCCCAGGCTTAAGAGATTCTCATGCCTCAGCCTCCCAAGTAGCTGGGATTATAGGCATGCACCACCACGCCCGAGTAATTTTTGTATTTTTAATAGAGATGGATTTTGCCATGTTGGCCACGCTGGTCTTGAACTCCTGGCCTGATTCATCCACCTTGGCCTCCCAAAGTGCTGAGATACAGGCATGAGCCACCGCACCCGACTATTTTTAAATTAAAAGTGTTTTCAAGGGTTACTGAGGTGTAATTGATAAATAAAGTGTATATGAGTGCACAATGTCTTAAGCCTGTAATCTCAGCACTTTGGGAGGCCAAGGCAGGAGGATCTCTTGAGGCCAGGAGTTTGAGACCAGCCTGGGCAACATGGCACTACTCCGTCCCTACAAAAAAACGAAAATATTAAGTGTGGTGGCACATGCCTATAGTATATTACTAGCCACTCATGTGGCTGAGGCGGGAGGATCACTTGAGCCTGGGAGGTCGAGGCTGCAGTGAGCTGTGATTGTGCCACTGCACTCCAGCCTGGGCAACAGAACAAGACACTGTCTCAAAGAAAAAACAAAAACAAGCCAGGCACAGTGGCTCATGCCTGTAATGCCAGGCCTAGGCAGATCACCTGAGGTCAGGAGTTCGAGACCATCCTGGCCAACATGGTGAAACCCCATCTCTACTAAAAATACAAAAATTAACCAGGCATTGTGGTGCATGCCTATAGTCCCTGTTACTCTGGGGGCTAAGGTGGGAGAATTGCTTGAACCTGGGAGGTGGAGGTTGCAGTGAGCCAAGATAGCGCCACTGCACTCCAGCCTGGGTGATAAAGCGAGACTCCATCTCAAAAAAAAAGTCATATTGTGAATAATACAGACAATTTTTTTCTTCTTCTTAGAGATAGGGTCTCCCAGGGTGGGCATGTTGGTGGCTTGTGTTTGTAATCCCAGCACTTTGGGAGGCTGAGACAGGCAGATCACCTGGGGTCAGGAGTTGAAGACCAGCCTGGCCAATGTGGCAAAACCCCATCTCTACTAAAAATACAAAAATTAGCCAAGTATGGTGGCACAAGCCTATGGTCCCAGCTACTCAGGAGGCTGAGACAGGAGAATCACTTGAACCCGGGACATGGAGGTTGCAGTGAGCCAAGTGCCCACTGCACTCCAGCCTGGGCGACAGAGGGAGACTCTGTCAAAAAAAAAAAAAAAAAAAGAAAGAAAGAAAGAGATAAGGTGTCCCTCTGTTGCCCAACCTGGAGTACAGTGGCACAATCATAGCTCACTGCAGCCTCTACCTCCCTGGAGTAGCTGGGACTACAGGTGTACACCACCATGCCTGACTAACAACACAACATTTTGATATACCTATACGTTGTAAGATAATTACCACATCTGTTGGTCACGGTGGCTCATGTCTGTAATCCCAGCACTTTGGGAGGCTGAGGCGGGTGGATTGCTTCAGCCTGGGAGTTTAAGACCAGCCTTGGCAACATGGCAAAATCCTGTTTCTACAAAAAATACAAAAATTAGCCGAGCTTTGGGAGGCCAATGCGGGCGGATCACGAGGTCAGGAGATTGAGACCATCCTGGCTAACACGATGAAACCCCGTCTCTACTAAAAATACAAAAAATTAGCCAGACGTGGTGGTGGGCGCCTGTAGTCCCAGCTACTCAGGAGGCTGAGGCAGGAGAATGGCGTGAACCTGCACCATTGCACTCCAGCCTGAGCGACAGAGCAAGAATCCATCTCAAAAAAAAAAAAAAAAATTAGCTGGGCATGGTGGCATGCACCTGTAGTCCCAGCTACTTGGGAGGCTGAGGCAGGAGGATTGGTGGAGCCTGGGAGGTTGAGGCTGCAGTGAGCAGGGTTTGCACCACTGCATTTCAATCTGTGTGACAAAGTGAAACCCTGTCTCAAAAAAAGAAAAAAAAGATAATCACCACATCAAGCTAATGAACATATTAATCACTTCACATAGTTAACTTTTTGCTTTTTGTGTGTGTGAGAACATTTAAGATCTACTCTCAGGGCTGGGCATGGTGGCTCACACCTGTAATCCCAGCACTTTGGGAGGCTGAGACGGGTGGATCACGAGGTCAGGAGATCGAGACTATTCTGGCTAACATGGTGAAACCGCATCTCTACTAAAAATAGAAAAAATTAGCTGGGCGTGGTGGCGGGCGCCTGTAGTCCCAGCTACTTGGGAGGCTGAGGCAGAAGAATGGCGAGAACCCCGGAGGTGGAGCTTGCAGTGAGCCGAGATCACACCACTGCACTCCAGCCTGGGCGACAGAGTGAGACTCCGTCACAAAAAAAAAACAGATTTACTCTCGGCCGGGCGCAGTGGCTCATGCCTGTAATCCCAACAGTTTTGGAGGCCAAGGTGGGCAGATCACGAGGTCAAGAGATCGAAACTATCCTGGCCAAGATGGTGAAACCCCGTCTCTACTAAAAATACAAAAAATTAGCTGGGTGTGGTGGCGCATGCCTGTAGTCGCAGCTACTTAGGAGGCTGAGGCAGGAGGATCGCTTGAACCACGGGAGGTGGGGGTTGCAGTGAGCCAAGATTGTGCCACTGCACTCCAGCCTGGCGACAGAGCGAGACTCAGTCCATCCCCCACCCCCCCAAAAAAAAACTACTATCTTAGCAAATTTCAACTATACAATACAGTATTATTAACTATAATTGCCATATGTTAGATCTCCAGAACTTACTCATCTTGTATGAGTAAAACAGCTCTATAATAACTGACCAGTCTCCTCATTTCCTCCACCCACCAGTCCCTAGCCGCTATCATTCTACACTCTGCTTCTATGAGTTCAGCTTTTTAAGATTCCACATATAAGTGATATCTTTATCATGCAATATTTGTCTTTTTATTTTCACCTAACATAATGGCTTATTTCACTTATTATGGTTTATTGCACTTAGCATAATGTCCTCCAACTTCATCCGTGTTGTTCCAAATGACCACATTTCCTTCCTTTTTGAGGCTCTATGGTATTCCATTCTCTGGATACACCACATTTTTAATATTCATTTATCCTTCCACAAACACTTAGGTTGATTTCATATCTTGGCTATTGTGAATAATGCTGCAATGAACATGGAAGTGCAGATACCGCTTCAACATACTGATTTCATTTTCTATGGATATATACCCAGAAGTGGGATTACTGGATCATATGGTAGTTCTTTTGTTTTTTTGAGATGGGTCTCACTCTGTCACCCAGGCTGGTGTGGTGGCTGAAACATAGCTCACTGCATGCAGCCTTGAACTCCCAGGCTCAAGCAATCCTTCTACTTCAGCCTCCCGAGGAGCTAGGACTACAGGTGCGGCCACCAGGCCTTGCTAATTTTTTATTTTTTGTAGAGATAGGGTCTCACTATGATTCCCAGGCTGGTCTCAAACTCCTGGACTCAAGCAATCCTTCTGCCTTGGCCTCCCAAAATGCTGGGATTACAGCTATGAGCCACCATGCCCAGCTTGTGGTTCTATTTTTAATTTTTCAAGGAACCACCATAACTGTTTTCCATAACAGCTCTACCAACTCATAATCCCTCCAACAGTGTACAAGCGTTCCCATTTCTCCACATGTTGTTATCTTTTGTCTCTTTGATCATAGCCATTTTAACAAGTGTGAGTGATATCTTACTGTGCTTTTGATTTGCATTTCCCTGATGAGTGGTGATGTATTTTTCTTTTTTTTTTTTAAGATGGAGTCTTGCTCTCTCGCCAGGCTGGACTGCAGTGGCATAGTCTCGGCTAACTGCAAACTCCGCCTCTCGGGTTCAAGCAATTCTCCTGCCTCAGCCTCCAGAGTAGCTGGGACTACAGGCATGTGCCACCACGCCCAGCTAATTTTTGTATTTTTAGTAGAGACGGGGTTTCACCATGTTGGCCAGGATGGTCTCTATCTCTTGACTTCATGATCCACCTGCCTTGGCCTCCCAAAGTGCTGGGACTACAGGCGTGAGCCACCATGCCCGGCCAATGTTGAATATTTTTTCATACACCTATTGGCCATTTATATATCTTCTTTTGAGGTATATCTGTTTGGGTCCTTTGCCCGTTAAATTTTTTATTTTTATTTTTTTAGAGATGAGGTCTCGCTATGTTGCCTGGGCTAGCCTCAAACTCGTGGGCTCAAGCAATCCTCTCACCTCAGCTTCCTAAGTAGGAGGGACTACAGGTAGACACCACTGCACCTGGCTGTTTGCCTTTTTTTTTTTCTTTCTTGTTTTGAGATGGAGTTTCACTCTTGTTGCCCAGGCTAGAGTGCAATGGTGCAATCTTGGCTCACTGCAACCTCCACCTCCTGGGTTCAAATGATTCTCCTGCCTCAGCCTCCCGAGTAGTTGGGATTACAGGCATGTGCCACCACGTCCAGCTACTTTTGTATGTTTAGTAGAAACAGGGTTTCACCATGTTGGTCAGGCTGGTCTCAAACTCCTGACCTCAGGTGATCCATCCACCTCCGCCTCCGAAAATGCTGAGATTACAGGCGTGAGCCACCATGGCTGGCCTCTTTGCTCATTTTTTGATTGGGTTATTTGTTTTCTTGCTGTCGAACTACTTCAATTCCTTATATATCTTAGATATTAACTCTTATCAGATGTGTGGTTTGCACATATTTTCTCCCATGCTATAGGTTCTCTTCAACTCTGTTGTTGGTTTCCTTTGCTGTGCAGAAGCTTTTTAGTTTGATGCAATCCCATTTGTCTATTTTTGCTTTTGTTGCCTGTGGTTTTGGGGTTATACCCAAAAAAATCATTGTCCAGACCAATGTGAATAAGCTTTTTCCCTGTTTCTTCTTAGTAGTTTTGCAGTTTTTGGTTTTATATTTTAAGTCTTTAATCTACTTTTAGTTGATTTTTGTGTGTGCTGTAAAGGTCCAATCTCATTCTTCTGCCTGTAAACATTCACTTTTCCCAACACAATTTATTGAAGAGACTGTCCTTTTCCCATTGTGTGATCTTGGCACCTTTGTTGCAGATTAATTGAGCATAAATACATGGATCTATATCTGGGCTTTATATTGTGTTCCATTGATCTGTGTATCTGTTGTATGCCAATACCATGCTGTTTTAATTACTACAGTTTTGCAGTGTATTTTGAAAGCAGGTAGTGTGATGCTTCCAGGTTTGTTCTTGTTGCTCAAGATTGTGGCCAGGAGCAGTGGCTCACACCTGTAATCCCAGGTTTGGGAGGCTGAGGCAGGCAGATCACTTGAGGTCAGGAGTTTGAGAACAGCCTGGCCAACATGGTAAAACCCCATCTCTACTAAAAATACAAAAATTAGCTGGGCATGGTGGTGCACATCTGTAATCCCAGCTACTTGGGAGGCTGAGGCAGGGGAATCACTTGAACGCAGGAGGCAGAGGTGGCAGTGAGCCAAAATTGCACCACTGCACTCCAGCCTGGGCAACAGAGCAAGACTTCATCTCAAAAATGAAAAAGAAAAAAAAGAGATGAAAATGGAACCTAGTGCTCAAAATTAAATGAGATAGTACTTTTAAAACAAAGCCAGAGGCATCATACTACCCCGCTTCAAACAGTACTACAAGGTTACAGTAACCAAAACAGTGTCGTACTGGTACAAAAACAGACACGTAGACCATTGGAACAGAATAGAAAACCCAGAAATAAAGCTGCACATCTACAACTATCTGATCTTCGACAAAGTTGATAATAACAAGCAATAGGAAAGGACTCCCCATTCAATAAATAGTGCTGGGATAACTGCTTAGCCATATGCATGAGTGAAAATGGATCCCTTCCTTCTCAACTCAAGATGGATTAAAGACTTAAATGTAAAACCCAAAACTATAAACACCCTAGAAGAAAACCTAGGAAATACCATTGTGAACACAGGCCTTAGTAAAGATTTCATGCCAAAGACTCCAAAAGCAATTGCAACAAAAACAAAAGTTGACAAGTGGGACCTAATTAGACCAAAGAGCTTCTGCACACAGAACAAACTATCACACAGTAAACAGATAATCTACAGAATGGAAGAAAATATTTGCAAACTATGCATCTGACAAAGATCTAATATCCAGAACCTATAAGGAACCGAAACAAATCAACAAGCAAAACACAAACAACCCCATTAAAAAATTGACAAAGGACATGAACAGACAGTTCTCAAAAGAAGACATATATATGGCAAACAAGAATTAAAAAATGTTCAACATCACTAATCATTAGAGAAATGCAAATCAAAGCCACAGTGTGATACCATCTCACATCGATCAAAATGGCTACTATTAAAAAGTAAAAAAATAGGGCCAGGCACGGTGGCTCACGCCTGTAATCCCAGCACTTTGAGAGGCCGAGGTGGACGGATCATGAGGTCAGGAAATCGAGACCATCCTGGCTAACACGGTGAAACCCTGTCTCTACTAAAAATACAAGCTGAGTGCCCAGCTACTCAGAAGGCTGAGGCAGGAGAATGCCATGAACCCGGGAAATGGAGCTTGCAGTGAGCTGAGATCACGCCACTGCACTCCAGCCTGGGTGACAGAGGGAGACTCGGTCTCAAAAATAAATAAATAAATAAATAAATAAATAAATAAATAAATAAAATCACAGATGTTAGGCTGTAATGGTGGCTCATGCCTGTAGTCCCAGTACTTTGGGGGGCCGAGGAGGGCAGATCACTTGAGCCCAGGAGTATGGGACTAACATGGGCAACATGGCAAAGCCCCCTCTCTACAAAAAATACAAAAATTGCTGGGCATGGTGGGTCATGCCTGTAATCCCACCACTTTGGGAGGTTGAGGTGGGGGGATCACTTGAGGCCAGGAGTTCAAGACCAGCCTGGGAAACATGGTGAAACTCCATCTCTACAAAAAAACACAAAAAATTAGCTGGGCGTGGTGGCCCACATGTATAGTCTCAGCTAGTAGGGGGCTGAGGTGAGAGGATCACTTGAGCCCGAGAAGTTGAGGCTACAGTGAGACTTGATCATGCCACAGCACTTCAGCCTGGGCAACAAAGCAAGACTCTGTCTGAAAAACAAAAACCAAAAAAACCTGGTTGGGAGTGGTGGCTCATGCCTGTAATCCCAACACTTTGGGAGGCCAAGGTGGGTGGATCACTTTAGGTCAGGAGTTCAAGACCAGCCTGGCCAACATGGTGAAACCCCGTCTCTACTAAAAATACAAAAATTAGCTGAGTGTGGTGGTGCACGCCTGTAATCCCAGCTACTCGGGAGGCTGAGGCAGGAGAATCGCTTGAACCCGGGAGGCGGAGGTTGCAGTGAGCCAAGATCGCGCCATTGCACTCCAGCCTAGGGGACAAGAGCAAGACTTTGTCTCAAAAAACAAAACAAAACAAAACAAAACTAACTCAAAGTCCACTGCTTTTCCAGAATGCTGGGTCAGAAGTTGTTTTTCCTCCTTGCCACCTCCCAACTTTGCTGCACTTAAGCTAGTCCTCTCTTCTGAAATTAGCTGTTGGGGTAGACTGTTGTAATCGTGGCCCCCGATTTGTGCACGCCTCCCTGTATGCTTGCCTTTTGACTGTGACCTCTCACCATGACTCTGGGAAGGGCCACATGATGTGCTTTGGCCAATGGAACAATAGCAAACATGACACAAGCAGAAGAGAAGGAGGAGCTTGCCTTCTTGCTGCTATTCAACCTATGTGATCACCTGGGCTACTTTGCTGGAGGATGAAAGACATGTGGCTCAGTTACCTCCGTCTCCCCACAGACAGCTGGCCAACTAACAACTATGTGAGTGAGACCCTGCAGGAACAGCCATCCACCAGCCTGCTTGCCAACTGCCCAGAGAAGTTATTTGCCTGAGGTTACACAGTGAGGAAATGAGGCAATAAGTGAATTCATTCAATGAGTATTTATTGAGCACCTACCATATACCAGGCTTTGGGAAAGCAGCAGTGAACAAAACAGTCCCTGCCTTGAAGGTGGAGACAGACAATGCACATGTAAATGAATGTGGAGCAGATTAGCCTTTTGTGATCAACGCTGTAAAGCAAAGCACAGCAAAGCCATGCTGGGTGTGGGGACAGTGATAGAGTTGAGTGTGCTATTTTTGGATGGAGAGGTTAAGGAAGGCCTGTCTGAAGAGATGACATCTGAGTAGAAACCAGAATAAGGTGAAAGATATCTATGTAGATATCTAGGGGAGAAGAGTAACAGAAAGAGGGAACCACAAATTAAAACACCCTGAGGTGTGAATATGATAGATTCCTTTGAGAAACAGCAATGTTGCCAGTGAAAGAATGGAATGAACAGAGGGGTAAACTGGCAGGAAGTAAGGTCAGATATAAAGTCAGGGGTTTGATTATACAGGGCCTTATAAGTCCAAGTTAGAACTTTGGATTTTCTTCTGGGTGATAAGAAGCCAATAGAAGATTAAGATCAAGGCAGTCTATGATATCATTTAAGTGTTTTTGTTTGTTGTGGGTGTTTTTCTCTTTTTGAGACGGAGTCTTGCTCTTATCGCCCAGGCTGGAGTGCAATGGCGTGATCTTGGCTTACCGCAACCTCCGCCTCTTGAGTTCAAGCGATTCTCCTGCCTCAGCCTCCCGAGTAGCTGGGATTACAGGTGCCCGCCACCACGCCCGGCTAATTTTTATATTTTTAGTAGAGACAGGGTTTCACCATGTTGGCCAGGCTGGTCTTAAACTCCTGACCTCAGGTGATCTGCCTGCCTCGGCCTCCCAAAGTGCTGGGATTACAGGCATAAGCCACCACACCTGGCCTGTTTGTGGGTTTTTATTGTTGTTTTTTTGAGACAGGGTCTCACTTTGTCTTCCAGGCTGGAGTGCAGTGGCACAATTCACTGCAGCCTCCACCTCCCAGGTTCAAGCAATCCTCCTGCTTCAGCCCCGCCAAGTAGCTGAGACTACAGGCATGAGTCACCATGCCCAGCTAATTTTTGTATTTTTAGTAGAGACAGGGTTTCACCATGTTGCACAGGCTGGTCTTGAACTCCTGATCTCAAGTGATCCATCTGCCTCGGTTTCCCAAAGTGGTAGGATTACAGGCATGAGCTACCATGTCCAGCCATGATTTATGTTTTATAAGGATCACTCTGGCTACTGTGTAGAGAATAGATGGTGAGGGTGCCTAGGAGGGATGGAGTGGAATCACTGAGGCAGATGGATGGTAATTATAGCTTGGACCAGGGTGTTAGCAGTAGAGGTTGTGAGGGGTGCTCAAATTCAAGATAACGTATTTTGTGGACTCAAAGACTCCACTAATTTTAAGATACGCTGTGGCAGTTCTAAAACATAGCCCCAAATTCTTTGACACTCTTCTTATGGAGAGGTCAGGGGTCTGTGTGCCTTCCCCTAAAATTTGGGTGGGCTTATGACTGCTTCAAGCAGCAGAGTACAGTGGAAGTGACGCGATGTGACTTCGGAGGCAAACTTTCGTCTTGCTCACTGGGCGCTATGATCTGAATGTTTGTGTGTCTCCACAAAATTCATATGTTGAAATCCTAACCCCCAAGGTGATGGTATTAGGAGGTAGGAGGTGGGGCCTTTGGGAGGTGATGGGTCATCAGAATGGAGCCCTCATGATGAATGAGTGCCTTTATAAGAGACCCCAGGGAGATCCCTCACCCCTTCTACCCTGTGAGGTTACAATGAAAACATGCCTTCTTTTTTTTTTTTTTTTTTTTTGAGTTGGAGTCTCACTCTGTCGCCCAGGCTGGAGTGCAATGCAATGCGCGCGATCTTGGCTCACTGCAACCTCTGCCTCCCGGGTTCAAGCAATTCTCCTGCCTCAGCCTCCTGAGTAGCTGGGATTACAGGCGCGTGCCGCCACACCCAGCTAATTTTTGGATTTTTTAATAGAGACGGGGTTTCATCATGTTGGTCAGGCTGGTCTCAAACTCCTGACCTCGTGATCCACCCACCTCAGCCTCCCAAAGTGCTGGGATTACATGCGTGGGCCCCCACGCCCAGCGAGAAGATGCCCTCTATGAAGAAACAGGCCCTTACCAGAAACCAAATCTACTGGTACCTTATCTTCAATTTCCTAGCCTTCAGAAAGGTAAACTGTTGTTTACAGGCTACTTAGTCTATGGTACTTTATTATAGCAGTCCAATCAGAATAAGAAGCTGGGACACTGGCCCTCAGAACCATGAGCTGCCATAATAGAGAGGCCATGTGGAGAGTCCACATGGAGAAGTTCCGAGAATATATAACAATATATGATAGACAGATAGCCAGCCAGCCAGTGAGCCCCCAGCTATTCTTGTCATCCCAACCAAGGAGCCAGACATGTCAGTGACTCCTCTCCAGATGACTCTAGCCTCCAGCCCTTAGTCATCCCAGCTATCAGCTAAGACTCCAGGCATTGTGAAGCTGAGACAAATATTTCTTGCTGTGCCTTCTCTCAATTCCAGACCCCCAAAATCGGTGAGCAAGGTAAAATGGTGATTGTTTTATGCAGCTCAGTTCTCAAGTGGTTTGTTAAGCAGCAATAAATAATTGAAGCATATACCATTATTACCACCACACAAGGAAAAACTCCACTAGTTTAATGCTCTGAAAACTTCATCCCAGCTTCAGAAATGTCAAGTGAAAAATGTGCCTCTTCGCTGGGCGCAGTGGCTCACGCCTGTAATCCCAGCACTTTGGGAGGCCGAGGCGGGCGGATCACAAGGTCAGGAGATTGAGACCATCCTGGCTAACATGGTGAAACCCCCGTCTCTACTAAAAATACACAAAATTTGCTGGGCGTGGTGGTGGGTGCCTGTAATCCCGGCTACTTGGGAGGCTGAGGCAGGAGAATGGTGTGAACCCGGGAGGCGGAGCTTGCAGTGAGCTGAGATCGCGCCACTGCACTCCAGCCTGGGCGACAGAGTGAGACTCCATCTCAAAAAAAAAAAAAAAGAAAAAGAAAAATGTGCCTTTTCAGACTGATGAAATACACAATGGTTTTAAAGTAGAGCCCTTGCGGGGCTCTGTGGCTCATGCTTGTAATCCCAGCACTTTGGGAGGCCGAGGCGGGTCGATCATGAGGTCAGGAGATTGAGACAATCCTGGCCAACATGGTGAAACCATGTCTCTACTAAAAATACAAAAATTGGCTGGGCGCCGTGGTTTACGCCTGTAATCCCAGCACTTTGGGAGGCCCGAGGCAGGCAGATCAGGAAGGCTGAGTAGCTTGAACCTGGGAGGCGGAGGTTGTAGTGAGTTGAGATCGCGCTGCTGCACTCCAGCCTGGGCAACAAGAGCAAAACTCGGTCTCAAAAAAATAGAAAAATAAAAAATAACAATACAAAAATTAGCTGGGCATGGTGGTGCATCCCTGTAATTTCAGCTACTGGGGAGGCTGAGGCAGGAGATTCGCTTGTGTCAGGCCTCTGAGCCCAAGCCTGCATGTATTTGTCCAGATGGCCTGAAGCAAGTGAAGAATCACAAAAGAAGTGAAAATGGCCGGTTCTTTCCTTAACTGATGACATTCCACCATTGTGATTTATTCCTGCCCCACCTTAACTGAGGGATTAACCTTGTGAAATTCCTTCTCCTGGCTCAGAACCTCCCCCACTGAGCACCGTGTGACCCCTGCCCCTGCCCGTAAGAGAAAAACCCCCTTTGACTGTAATTTTCCACTACCCACCCAAATCCTATAAAATGGCCCCACCCCTATCTTCCTTGGCTGAGTCTTTCCGGACTCAGCTCGCCTGCACCCAGGTGAAATAAGTAGCCTTGTTGCTCACACAAAGCCTGTTTGGTGGTCTCTTCATATGGACGCGTGTGACATTTGGTGCCGAAGACCTGGGACAGGAGGACTCCTTCGGGAGACCAGTCCCCTGTCCTCACCCTCACTCCGTGAGGAGATCTACCTCGGGTCCTCAGACCAAACCAGCCCAAGGAACATCTCACCAATTTCAAATCGGGTAAGCGGTCTTTTCACTCTCTTCTCCAGCCTCTGTTGCTACCCTTCAGTCTCCCTGTCCTTCCAATTCCAGTTCTTTTTCCTCTGTAGTAGAGACAAGGGAGACACATTTTATCTGTGGACCCAAAACTCCGGCGCCGGTCACGGACTCGGGAAGACAGTTTTCCCTTGGTGTTTAATCACTGCGGGGACCCCTGCCTGATTATTCACCCACACTGTATTGGTGTCTGATTACCACGGGGACGCCTGCCTTGGTCATTCACCCACATTCTCTTGGTGGCAAGTCAATGGTGGGGATGCCTGTGTTGGCTGCTCACCCACATTGCAGCCCAGGGCTGCTCACTAACCCCCCTTCTCTGTGTCTCTACCCTCTCTTTTCTGTGGACTTGCCTCCTTCACTATGGGCAACCTTCCACCCTCCATTCCTCCTTCTTCTCCCTTAGCCTGTGTTCTCAAAAACTTAAAACCTCTTCAACTCTCACCTGACCTAAAACCTAAGCGTCTTATTTTCTTCTGCAACACTGCTTGGCCCCAGTACAAACTCGATAATGGTTCTAAATAGCAAGAAAATGGCACTTTTGATTTCTCCATTTTACAAGCCACTGCACTCCAGCCTGGCAACAGAGCGAGGCGCCATCTCAAAACAACAACAAAAACCAAAAACCAAAAAACAAAATAAAGTGGAGCCCTTAGGATTTGTTGATGGGTTGGATGAAAGACAGAAGTCAAAAGGTGAGAGTGGGGTTGACTCCAGAGTTTTTACCTGAGCACCTGGATGTATGATGGTACCATTTCCTGAGCCAAAGAACACTGGGGGATTGAATAAGTCAGTGCTGATACATGGACAGAAAAGACTGCCCAATTTATGTGCGGGACTGAAAACAGCTCCCATATGGACTGCTTCTGGGTCTGGGTGCCCTCAGATCCATTCCCAGCCCTTCCCCTGCTCTGTCCTAGATCACAGCGAGGCTGATCCTCAGTTATACTCCCTCAGTTCCTATGTCAGTTGGCTTTGGCTGGGTTTAGCCAATAGGAGGTTGGCAGTTGACAAGAGGATGAGAAGGGAAAAGCCAGGGTATTCTCTCCTCCCTCTGCCTTGGTAGCAACTCCCGCCTTCATTAGTGGCTGCATCTCTTCCATGGCTCCAGTTCCAGGCCTGTTGTGGCTTCGGCTTCCAGCAGGTGACCTCAACCCTTGGGTTCAGGTAACATCACTTCCTCCCTTGACCCTCCAGCCTAGGAGTGGCAGCGGCTTCCTGCTCTAGCTGACCTCTTAATTCCCTCACCTGTCCAACAAAATCCCCCCACTAAATTTCTCTGTTACAAATATGTATAGTCATTTCTGTTTTCCTGGGTTGACCCTGACCATGGGACTATAGGCTGAGGCCTCATGTGAAAGCCTGCAGGCTCAGGTGAGAAGCAAACACCTTGCACAACCCCACCTTGTGCAGACTCCCAGGCTCCAGAGTGTTTACCGTCCCCTTAGCCTTGGGATTTGCTCATTCCTGACCTGTGTGCTCATTCCCTCTGTTTGTCTATAATACGTGGTTTTCACGAATCCTTGGCAGTCTCCTTCTTCAAATCCTAGCTCAGAAACTCTAGCCTCCTCTAAGCCTTTCAGCCATGACTCGCCTGTCCAGCCTCCTGCCTGATGCTTTTCAGCACCCACTTTGCTTAATGTGCCTTTGTGACTTGGCTGTTGCATACTGTCTCCTATCTCTGTGCTTTGCAGACTGTCTCCTCTACCAAGGCTCACAACTCCCTTCTCTGACTCCTACTCAGCCTTCAAAACCTGCTTTCAGTGTCACATCTTCTGAGAAGTAAGTTGTTTCCGGCAGGTTCCCTCCCCAGACTGAGGTGCACACTCCCACATTCATGCTACCGTCACAATTCTTGTGGACACTGCAATAATTTTGTGTGTGTTAGTCTCTTGCATAAAACTGCCAGCTCCTTGGAGGCAGGAGCTAAGTCACAAACTCTGGCCTGGGCACCAAAGGTCTTTAGTAACTCTTTGTTGAATGATGGCTCCTGGATACATGGATGACCACAGGTTTTCAATTACTGCAAGTGCCTTAGGTCTTCCGAGTTTGGTTACAAACCTCTTTGGGGTGATTCTTAATTCTTGTGTAGCCTGTTAGCACCTGTCTTGATACATTATGGGGCAAGAGGAAATAAAAAAAGTCACAGATTGTTTCTTTCCTTATCTACCTCCTTTTTGTTTCTTTTTTTCTTTTAAGGTTTCTTTTCATTTATTTATTTGTTTATTATTTATTTATTCATTTATTTTTTTGAGATGGAATCTCACTCTGTCACCCAGGCTGGAGTGCAGTGGCACGATCTCAGCTCACTGCAACCTCCGCCTCCCTGGTTCAAGCGATTCTTCTGCCTCAGCCTCCCGAGTAGCTGGGACTACAGGCACCTGCCACAATGCCCAGCTAATTTTGTGTATTTTTAATAGAGATGGGGTTTCACCGTCTTAGCCAGGATAGTCTCGATCTCCTGACCTTGTGATCTGCCCACCTCGCCCTCCCAATGTGTTGGGATTACAGGCGGCGAGCCACTCCCCCAGCCTGTTTGTTTATTTATTTAATAGAGATGAGGTCTCACTATATTGACCAGGCTGGTCTTGAACTCCTGGCCTCAAATGATCCTCCTGCCTCAGCCTCCGGAAGTGCTGGGATTACAGGCATGAGCCACCATGACTGGCTCTTTTTTAAAGCTTTTATCTCTTCTTAAATTTATTTAGTTTTACTTATTTTTATATTAGCTTACCTTGTATTTTGAAATAATTTCAAATTTAGAGAAAAATTGTAATAGTACAAAGAACTCCAATATATCCTTAACCTAGAGTCCCCAAATATTAACACTTTGCCCAATTTGCATTATCACTTCTTCTCTCCCATATATTTACATATATATTACTATATCTATATATTATATACATGTATTACATGTACACGGTATGTATATGTTGGGATATGTACATATGTGTCTATTATAAGTGGAGTATATATATCTATACACACGTATACTATTTTTCTTGAACCATCTGGGAGTAAAGTTGTGGATATGATGCCCTTCTATTTCTCGAACTCATGACCTCACGTGATCCGCCCACCTCAGCCTCCCAAAGTGCTGGGATTACAGGCGTGAACCAGAACTCCTGGTGATGCCCCTCTATGTCTAATCACTTCCTTGTGCATTTCCTAAGACCATGGTCATTATCTTACACAACAAAAGTACAGTTCTCAAAGTCAGGAAATTAAATGTTGATATAGTACCATTATCTAATCCATAGACTGGATTCATGTTTCACCAGTTGTCCCAAATCTGTCCTTTCTGGGCAAATTTGTTTCTCCCTTCCCAGGATCCAATCCATGATCACATGCTACATTCAGTTGTCAAGTCTCCTCAGTTTCCTTTTTGTTTGTTTTTTGTTTTGAGACGAAGTCTCACTCTGTCACACAGGCTGGGGTGCAGTGGTGCAATCTTGGCTCACTGCAACCTCTGCCTCCCAGGTTCAAGCAATTCTTGGCCTCAGCCTCCTGAGTAGCTGGGATTACAGGTGCCGGCCACCAGGGCTGGCTAATTTTTTTGTATTTTTAGTAGAGATGGGGTTTCACCATGTTGGCTAGGCTGGTCTTGAACTCCTGACCTCATGATTCACCTGCCTTGGCCTCCCAAAGTGCTGGGATTACAGGCGTGAGCCACTGTGCCCAGCCCAGTTTCCTTTCACCTGTGGCAGTTCTCTGGCCTTCCTTTGTCTTTAAGGACCCTGGCTTTTTTTTTTTTTTAGATGGAGTCTTGCTCTGTCACCCAGGCTGGAGTGCAATGGCACGATCTGGGCTCACTGCAACCTCTACCTCCTGGGTTCTAAGTGTTTCTCCTGCCTCAGCCTTCCGAGTAGCTGGGATTACAGGTGTGTGCCATCACGCCCAGCTAATTTCTGTATTTTTAGTAGAGACGGGGGTTGCCATGTTGGCCAGGCTGGTTTCGAACTTCTGACCTCAGAAGATCAACCCGCCTCGGCCTCCCAAAGTGCTGGGATTACAGGCGTGAGCCACCGCACCCTGCCATAAAGTGTTTAAGCGCCCGGCCAGGACCCTGATATTTTTGAAGCATCTAGGCCAGTTTTGTTTCCTCCCAGGTCTAAAAATGCCCCCCTAAGATTTTAGCTCTCACCACGTTTTTACAAACTCTCTTCTCCTCCAGACTTAGGGGAGGGACTCTTTGCAGGGCCTTGTAAAACCTTAAATAAACTACACGAACAAATTCCACTTTGACCACTATCTTGTTAAAATTCCTTGAAAAAGTTAACTCATTGGGCCCAAAGTACCTTAACAAAAGCCAGGCTGTACTTCTCCTAGTATTCAGTCTTCCTCAAAGGATTTTATGTGCTGTTTAATGATTTTTCACAAATAGTTTTTCTTGCCCTTAAAGTTGGATTAATTGAATTTTAATTCAGCAGGATCACTCTCTAAAGAAAGAAACACTGACCAAGCAGGTCGAGTTAGGGCCGCTAGACCTCATTAAGACCTTTTTCAAGCAGAAGGGATTCTGAGGGGTGAAAAATGCAGCTGTACGGCACCCTAAACTCACCTCTATTTTAGATCAAAAATTTAAAAGCCACTCTTCCTTCCCAGCAAAGGAAAACCTAGTTGGCCTAAGAAAGGAAATCTACCACTTTGGCTTTGTCTGGCTTGAGCTCCTCACTCTCTCCAGTTTGATTCTTGTGCCTTTGACTCAGTGGGCCTAAGAACAGTTCGCTGTGCCCCAAGTCCCCCGTTAGCTTCATTTTCTTCCATTTGTTCCTGACCCTTTCAGAACTTCACTCCCACTTAAAACAAAACACAGAAAAAACTCAGCTATTAAAAGTTTTCATGAACAGCCAAACCTGGTTAGAATTTTCAAAAGAAAAAAAAAGTCTAGGCCTAATCTCTTGAATTTTGGCCTCAATTTCACCATGTTTACCTGTTTCTGCTGAATCCTTTTTTTTTCCAAAGGGAGTTTTGCTCTTGTTGCCCAGGCTGGAGTGCAATGGTGTGATCTCGGCTCACTGCAACCTCTGCCTTCCAGGTTCAAGCAATTCTCCTGCCTCAGTCTCCTGAGTAGCTGGGATTACAGGATGCACCACCACACCCGGCTAATTTTGTATTTTTATTTTTAGTAGAGACGGGGCTTCTCCATGTTGGTCAGGCTGGTCTTGAACTCCCGACCTCAGGTGATCTGCCCGCCTTGGCCTCCCAAAGTGCTTTTTGTTTTTTCGAGATGGAGTTTCACTTTTGTCGCCCAGGCTGGAGTGCAATGGCGGGATGTCAGCTCACTGCAACCTCCGCCTCCTGGATTCAAGTGATTGTCTTGCCTCAGCCTCCCGAGTAGCTGGGATTACAGTTGCCCGCCACCATGCCCAGCTAATTTTTGTATTTTTAGTAGAGATGGGGTTTCTCCATGTTGGCCAGGCTGGTCTCAAACTTCTGACCTCAAGTGATCCACCCGCCTCAGCCTCCCAAAGTGCTGGGATTACAGGCGTGAGCCACCTCGCCCAGCCTTGAATCCTTTTGTTCTATGAATTTTACTGCAGGAATCAGTGAAGCAGGGACCACAGCTTGTCATCTCCTCCAAGAATCCTGTTCTCTATTTTAATGATTAGTCTAGCCTGGATTGTAGTAAAAAATGATAGATGATAGACAGATAGATAGACAGACAGATAAAATCCATACTCAGAGTTCTATAGAGCATCAGACTCTAAGTTGAAGGGGCAATTGTCATAGCAATACTGGGCTCCACAACAGCTGCCCCAATTTTGGGGCCTGTGAGGGGCTTACAGGCCAAATGAGGGGCTGCATGTGACTTCAGGTTTTTGATCACAAAATCCTGTGATTTTCAAAGTTTTTCACACTGTTCTTTTTTTTTTTTTTTTTGAGACAGAGTCTTGCTCTGTCACCAGGCTGGAGTGCAGTGGTGTGATCTTGGCTCACTGCAACCTCCGCCTCCCGGTATCAAGCAATTTTCCTGCCTCAGCTTCCAGAATAGGTGGGACTACAGGCACCTGCCTCCACACCCAGCTAATTTTTGTATTTTTAGTAGAGATGGGGTTTCACCATGTTGGCCAGGATGGTCTCAATCTCTTTTTTTTTTTGAGATGGAGTCTCGCTCTGTCGCCCAGGCTGGAGTGCAGTAGCATGATCTTGGCTCACTGCAAGCTCCGCCTCCTGGGTTCACGCCATTCTTCTGCCTCAGCCTCCCGAGTAGCTGGAACTACAGGTGCCCACCACCACGCCCGGCTAATTTTTTATATTTTCAGTAGAGACGGGGGTTTCACCGTGTTAGCCAGGATGGTCTCAATCTCCAGACCTTGTGATTCGCCCGCCTCGGCCTCCCAAAGTGCTGGGATTACAGGCGTGAGCCACTGCACCCGGCTGGTCTCAATGTCTTGATCTTTTTTTTTTTTTTTTTTTTTTTTTGAGATGGAGTTTTGCTCTTGTTTCCCAGGCTGGAGTGCAGTGGCACAATCTCGGCTCACTGCAACCTCTGCCTCCCGGGCTCAAGTGATTCTCCTGCCTCAGCCTTCCGAGTAGCTGGGATTACAGGCATGCACCACCATACCCAGCTAATTTTGTATTTTTAGTAGAGATGGGGTTTCTCCATGTTGGTCAGGCTGGTTTTGAACTCCTGACCTCAGGTGATCCACCCACCTCGGCCTCCCAAAGTGCTGGGATTACAGGCGTGAGCCACTGTGCCCAGCCAATGTCTTGATCTTGTGATCCGCCCACCTCGGCCTCCCAAAGTGCTGGGATTACAGGCGTGAGCCACCACACTCGGCCACACTGCTCTTATGAAAAGCCAGAAGGAAGAAAAAGCCTATTTTTTCCCCTATTCTGGGAAAGAAGGCCTGGAAACTTCAGGGGATCCAGGGAAAGGATAGGCCAGGGAAGTTCCCCTCTTATCCACTCCTACACCTGTGGCAGCTGCCATCTCTAGTGGACTGGATTTTCATAGGCAAAAAACAGAAAACCTCAGGAACCACTCTGACAACAGCAGAGGCCGTTTACTGTGTAGCCTTAGCTAAGGAAGCTCTTTTCCTTACCACTGCCCTGCAAAGTGAGCATTATTTTCATTTTACAGGTGTTGAGACTGAGGTTCAGAGGCCAAGAAGCTTACACATGCTCACACAGCCAGGGAGTAGCAGAGCTGGGATTTGAATCCAGGAGTGTCTAATCCCAACGTCCAAGACTTTTCCATGAACCCATCCTGCTTCCCTTCCAAGTCTGCAAGGGAGGTCCGGATACAGGAGCTCTACAGGGCATTGATGGTAGCTTCTGCATTTACTTAATTTATGTAACTTTCACTGATCTAGTATAATACTAGGGACTGACTGTTTCTTGAGCTTTACAAATACAACCTCATTTAAGCTTCATTAACAGGTCTATGAGGTCTGTATCATTATCATCCTATTTTACAAATAAGGAAATTGGCTGGATGCAGTGGCTCACGCTTATAATCCCAGCACTTTGGGAGGCTGAGGCAGGCAGATTGCCTGAGTTGAGGAGTTCGAGACCACCCTGGGCAACATGGCAAAACCCATCTCTACTAAAAATACAAAAATTAGCTGGGTGTGGTGGTGCATGCCTGTAATCCCAGCTACTTGGGAGGCTGAGGCATGAGAATTGCTTGAACCCGGGAGGTGGAGGTTGCAGTGGGCCAAGATAGCAAGCACCACTGCACTCCAGCCTGGGAGACAGCAAGACTGTCTCAAAAAAAAGGAAACTGCAGCACAGAGAGGTAAAGTAACTTGCTCTAGGTCACACAGGAAGTAGTAGGGCTGGGAATTGGACCTCAGTAGTTTGGTTCCCAGTATATGTTTCCCACCTTCCTTGAAGTGCTATCCAGGAGGAGGAGGAGGAAGCATACAAGTGGATGCATCACAAAGAAATTAGAAAGCAGCAAAGTGAAAATCCAAAGTCCGTGGAAAAGAACCCACCTTTTGCCTGACTTGAGTGATAGGAGCCTGTGTTGGTGGGACTCAGGACTCACATGCCTGGTGGTGTCATCACTGGGCCTGTGGCTAGTGTTGCTCTTCTCAGGGGGACAGCAGGAATCTTGTCCAAGTAGGCTCCTTGACCCAACCACTTAGTGTGGCACGGGAAGAAGACTTCTTTCTTTTTTTCTTTTCTTTCTTTTTTCTGAGACAGAGTCTCACTCTGTCGCCCAGGATGGAGTGCAATGGTGCGATCTCGGCTAACTGCAACCTCTGCCTCCCAGGTTCAAGTAATTCTCTCACCTCTGCCTCCTGAGTAGCCGGGACTACAGGCACGCACCACCATGCCTGGCTAATTTTTGTATTTTTAGTAGAGATGGGGTTTCACCATGTTGGCAAGGCTGGTCTTGAACTCCTGACCTCAAGTGATCCGCCCACCTCGGCCTCCCAAAGTGCTGGGATTACAGACGTGAGCCACCGCGCCTGGCGGAAGACTTCTTTGTTTACAACCTCTCCCATCTATACTCCTTTCCCGCCGTGCCATTAAACCCTATCTGAGATAGAGGACCTTAAAAACCTGCCCCCACCAGATGATGATGGATTAATCCCCACCTCAGGACTGCTGTCCACCCTGCATTTCACCAGATGTGAGTCAAGCAAGAGCAGCCACACTAACCACTTCTCAACACTGTGCTGCATCTCCTCATCCTAACAGGGCTCCTCTAACCAGTGTTTTGGCCATTGCCTGCATCTGCAGCCATCTCCCAAATCTCCCAGATTCCTCCCTTTCTGGTGTTCAGCGCTAATGAAAGTCACAACGATTAAATGGAAATCGGAGTTTCTCAACCTAGAAAACATGCCATTTTTACAAAGGGAAATTTGGATGTCGTTGTGGTTTCCTTATTGGATTGTTTTGGAAGCAGTGTGGGGATAGGAGTGCTGGGAGCTAAATACACAGAAAAGCAAGAGCAAACTATTTTTTTTTTTTTTTTGAGACGGAGTCTCGCTCTGCCGCCCAGGCTGCAGTGCAGTGGCGCGATCTTGGCTCACTGCAAGCTCTGCCTCCCGGGTTCACGCCATTCTGCCTCAGCCTCCCGAGTAGCTGGGACTACAGGTGCCCACCGCCACGCCCGGCAAGAGTTTGCAAGAGCAAACTTTGAAAGAAACCAGCTGGGCGCAGTGGCTCACACCTGTAATCCCAGCACTTGTGGGAGGCCAAGGTGGGTGGATCACTTGAGTCCAGGAGTTTGAGACCAGCCTGGCCAACCTCGTCTCTACTAAGAATACAAAAATTAGTTGGGTGAGCGGCCGGGCGCGGTGGCTCATGCCTGTAATTCCAGCACTTTGGGAGGCTGAGGCGGGCGGATCATGAGGTCAGGAGATCAAGACCATCCTGGGTAATGTGGTGAAACCTCGTCTCTACTAAAAATACAAAAAAAAAAAAAAAAAAAAAATTGGGCGTGGTGATGCACGCCTGTAATCCCAGCTACTCGGGAGGCTGAGGCAGGAGAATCGCTTGAACTCAGGATGCGGAGGTTGCAGTGAGCCGAGATTGTGCCAATGCCCTCCAGCCTGGGCGACAGAGTGAGACCCTGTCTCAAAAAAAAAAAAAAAAAAAAAGAAAAGAAAAGAAAAGAAAATAAAGAAACCAGTCCTCCTGGCCCTCTCTCCTGGCTAAGTGAGGACACAGGGAGAAGGCAGCCATCTATAAGCCAGGAAGAGAGCCCCATTAGAACCTGACCATGCTGGCACCTTGATCTTGACTTGTGGCCTTCAGAACTAGCGAAGATATACAACAGCAAATCATCAGGAAGGCATTCCATTTGGTATCTAAGAGAAATGAAAATGTTTGTAATTTCCTAGAAGGGGGATTTTGATATTAGTCTTTTTTTGCGGAGTCTTGCTCTCGCCCAGGCTGGAATGCAGTGGCGCGATACTGGCTCACCGCAAGCTCCGCCTCCCGGGTTCTCGCCATTCTCCCGCCTCAGCCTCCCGAGTAGCTGGGACTACACGCACCCGCCACCACGCCCGGCTAATTTTTTTGTATTTTTAGTAGAGACGGGGTTTCACTGTGTTAAGCCAGGATGGTCTCAATCTCCTGACCTCGTCATCTGCCCACCTTGGCCTCCCAAAGTGCTGGGATTACAGGCGTGAGCCACCGGGCCCGGCTTTTTTTTTTATGCTGAAAAGATATATATATATATATTTAGAATTAGGCAACTGGACTCAGTTTAGATGATCCCAATTTTGTTGGCAACATCCAAAGCATCGTAATCAGGAGCCAGTCAAACATACACCTTCTTCTCTCCATCAGGCCGAATCAGGGTGTTGACCTTGACCACATCTTTGTCATAGAGCTTCTTCACAGCCTGTTTAATCTGGTGCTTGTTGGCTTTAACATCCACAATGAACACAAGTGTGTTATTGTCTTCTATCTTCTTCATGGCAGACTCAGTGGTCAGCAGAAACTTGATGATAGCATAGTGGTCAAGCTTGTTTCTCCTAGGAGCGCTCTTCCGAGGATATTTGGGCTGTCTCCGGAGTCGCGGTGTCTTGGGCCGCCGTAAGGTGGGTGACGTGCGGATCTTCTTTTTTTTGTGGCTGCGGACACCTTTCAACACTGCCTTCTTGGCCTTTAAAGACTTCGCTTTGGCTTCGGCTTTAGGAGGGACGGGAACTTCCTTCTTCGCTTTCCGCGCTATCTTGTGACAAGGCTTTTTTTTTTTTCTTAAGACAGGGTCTCCCTCTCTTCACCAGGCTGGAGTACAGTGGCACCATCTCGATTCCCTGAAACTTCTGCCTCCTGGGTTCAAGTGATCCTCCCACTTCAGTCTCCTGAGTAGCTGGGAGTACAGGCGAGCGCCACCATGCCTGGCTAATTTTATTTTATTTTTATATTTTTGGTAGAGACAGAGTTTCACCATGTTTCCCAGGCTGGACTTGAACTCTTGAGCTCAAGTGATCTGCCCATCTAAGCCTCCCAAAATGCTGAGATTACAGGCGTGAGCCATTATGCCTGGCCTCAATTTTTTTTTTTTTTTTTTTTTTTGAGAGGGAGTGTCGCTGTGTGTCGCCCAGGCTGGAGTGCAGTTGTGCGATCTGGGCTCACTGCAACCTCTGCCGCCTGGGTTATAGCGATTCTCCTGCCTCAGCCTCCCAAGTAGCTGTGATTATAGGAGCCGGCCACCTCACCCGGCTTTTTGTATTTTTAGTAGAGATGGGGTTTCACCCTGTTGACCGGGCTAGTCTCCAACTCCTGACCTCAGGTGATCCACCTGCCTCAGTCTCCCAAAGTGTTTGCTCACGCCTGTAATCCCAGGACTTTGGGAGGCTGAGGCAGGCTGATCGCCTGAGGTCGGGAGTTCAAGACCAGCCTGGCCAGCATGGTGAAACCACCCCGTCTGTACTAAAAATACAAAAATTAGCCGCGCATTGTGGCGGGTGCCTGTAATCCCAGCTACTTGGGAAGCTGAGGCAGGACACCTGTAATCCCAGCTACTCAGGAAGCTGAGGCAGGAGAATCACTTGAACCTGGGAGGTGGAGGTTGCAGTGAGCCGAGATTGTGCCACTGCACTCGAGCCTGGGCAACAGAACCAGACTCCGTCTCAAAAAAAACAAAACAAAACAAACAAAACAAAAAAAGTTCAGCAGGGGCTGGGGGCAGTGGTGCGCCTGTAATCCCAGCACTTTGGAAGGCTGAGACAGGTGGATCATCTGAGGTCAGGGTTCAAGATCAGCCTGGCCAAGATGGAGAAACCCTGTCTCTACTAAAACTACAAAATTAGCCGGGCATGGTGTCACATGCCTGTAATCCCAGACACTTGGGAGGCTGAGGCAGGAGAATCGCTTGAACCTGGGAGGCAGAGGTTGCAGTGAGCCAAGATCGTGCCATTGCACTCCAGCCTGGGCAACGAAAGCAAGACTCCGTCTCAAAAAAAAAAGAAAAAAAAAAAAAAGTTCAGTAGGCCAGGGGTGGTGGCTGATGCCTGTAATCCCAGCACTCTGGGAGGCTTGAGGCCTTTGGGAGGCTGAGGCGGGTGGATCACCTGAGGTCAGGAGTTCGAGACCAGCCTGGCCAACATGGTGAAACCCGGTCTCTACTAAAAATACAAAATTAAGGCCGGGCACGGTGGCTCATGCCTGTCATCTCAGCATGACTTTGGGAGACTGAGGCAAGTGAATTGCCTGAGCTCAGGAGTTCCACACCAGCCTGGGCAACATGGTGAAACCCAGTCTCTACTAATATACAAAAAATTAGCTGGGCGTGGCAGTGTGTGCCTGCAGTCCCAGCTAGTCGGGAGGCTGAGGCAGGAGAATTGCTTGAGCCCGGGAGGTGGAGGTTGCATTGAGCTGAGATCGCACCACTGTACTTCCAGCCTGGGCGACAGAGCGAGACTCTGTCTCTAAAAAAAAAATGAGGCCAGTCGTGGTGGCTCACGCCTGTAATCCCAGCACTTTGGGAGGCTGAGGCAGGCGGATCACCTGAGGTCAGGAGTTCGAGACCACCCTGGTCAACATAGTGAAACCCCATCTCTACCAAAAATACAAAAATTAGCCAGGTGTGGTGGTGCGCGCCTGTAATCCCAGCTACTCGGGAGACTGAGGCAGGAGAATCGTTTGAACCCCGGAGGTGGAGGTTGCAGTGAGCTGAGATTGCGCCATTGCACTCCAGCTTGGGCAACAAAAATGAAACTCCGTCTCAAAAAAAAAAAAAAAAAATTAGCCTGCCGTGGTGGCACATGCCTGTAGTCCCAGCTACTCAGGAGGCTGAGGCAGGAGAATCACTTGAAGTCAGGAGGCAGAGGTTGCAGAGAGCTGAGATCGTCCACCGCACTCCAGCGTGGGTGACAGAAGGAGACCCGTCTCCAAAAAAAAAAAAAAATTCAGTAAAAAAAGATAGATAGATGCATACATACAGGTTTGTGTGTGTGTGTTTGTGTGTGTGTGTGTGTGTGAGAGAGAGAGAGAGAGAGGAAGCATGCTAGAGTAAATGCTGGCAAAGAATCAGTTGGTGGATTTAGGACATAAAGTTTCATTAAGCGACTTTTCCATCCTTTTTTTTTGAGACAGATTCTTGCTCAGTCGCCCAGGCTGGAGTGCAAATGTGTGATCTCGGCTAACTGCAACCTCTGCCTCTGGGGTTCAAGCAATTCTCCTGTCTCAGACTCCTGAGTGGCTGGGATTACAGGCACCCACCATCATGCCCAGCTACTTTTTGTATTTTTGTAGAGATGAGGTTTCGCCATGTTGGCCAGGCTGGTCTTGAACTCCTGATCTCAGGTGATTCGCCAACCTCGGCCTCCCAAAGTGTTGGGATTACAGGCGTGAGCCACCGGGCCCGGACATCCATCTTTTCTACATACTTAATATTTTTCAAAATTAAAGATTGGGGGAAAATAAGGTGAATATTCAGAAATGCAATTCATTGTGCTTTCTAGAGAACTGATAGCAAATAAATAGGGAATCATCTTCCCCTATCCTCAAAATAATACATAACACACATCATACTGTATGGGGAGCGGATGTCACAACCTTGAAGGCCCTCCCATGGAAACCACAGAACCATCAGGGCCCAGGCCTGAGACTTTCCTGGCCTAACTCAAATTGCAGACAGCTCGCTCCAGCACAAGAGACTCTCCACAGTGTGACGGAACTCTTCCTTGTATTGATATGGAACATGGCCCCTATTATTCAGGCACGGCCCCTATTATCCAGGCACATGAAGCAGCTTCCTATCCCTTTGTATCTGCCCACCTGAAATGACACCTCCTCCATGGAGCCTGGTTTGAATTATTGGGTCTTTGTTGTTTGTCAGTTTGGCTTGGGGCTCTTGAGCCTAGGACTATGTTGTCATCTCCTCTTTTCTGCCCTGTACACTGGGCAAGTTATCTTGCCTAGAGCAGGCAGCTGGAAGGGGTTTAAAAAAATATGATTGAGGCCGGCAGGGCGCAGTGGTTTAGGCCTGTAATCCCAGCACTTTGGGAGGCCGAGGAGGGTGGGTCACCTGAGGTCAGGAGTTCGAGACCAGCCTGGCCAACATGGTGGAAACTCCGTCTCCACTAAAAACACAAAAATTAGCTAGGTGTAGTGGCGCACGACTGTAATCCCAGGTACTCAGGAGGCTGAGGCAGGAGAATCGCTTGAACCCAGGAGGCAGAGGTTGCAGTGAGCCAAGATCGCGCCACTACACTCCAGCCTGGGCGACAAAGCGAGACTCTGTCTCAAAAAACAACAACAACAACAATAACAACAACGAAAAATAAGACAAAAAAGGTATCCGCCCTTTCCCTTCACTCACAAATAAAGTAGTGAAACAAATAATTAAATACTGAGACAGAATAAAATTAAATAATGGGGAAAACAGAATTAATGAAGTAAAATTAATGAAGTAAAACCATAAACCAAATAAAATATTGAAGTGAAATAAGTGAAATAAAATAAAATGAAATAAATAAAAATAAAAGAAATAAAATAAGTCACATGAAACGGAGTTAATGAAGCAAGCTCCGCGGTGGCAGAAGGAGACGTGCGGGTACCTGCCGGCCGGGCTTCGGCGTTTCCGCGGCGCTCTGGGCCCCGGATGTGGGCCACAGCTGAGGGTCAGCTGGAGGGCGGGTGGGGCTCCTCGCCGAAGTGCCCCTGGGCTTGACAGCGTTCCCCGCCCTTCTGGGGCCTGCTGCGCCGACCGTGCCGCCGGTAGGTGGTGCTCTGGGTCCCGAGCCTCGCGCTGCGCCCGCGATTAAGTCCGCCCGGCGCCGCCGCGCCGGCCGCTGGGTCAGTCCGCGCATTTGCGCTCCGGGCGCCTGTGCTCAAGAGAGGGACCCCGGTGGCCCCTCAACTCTGGGTTGTGTCTTCTTCCGTAAAACGTGCATGAAATACCCTTACCCCTTCGGCCCCGCCACCTGCGGTCGCTTGGATGCCACTGAAGACGAACCACGTAATGGGTAGTTTGGAGCCCCTAGTGTCACGCCAAACACAGCGTGTTCGCCACAGGACATAAATGTGACGCTGTAGTGGGGCATGGCTCAGCCAACGCCGTGCCCTTCCTCGCTGGAACAGAGGTTGTTCCAGATACAACTCTCTTTGTCAAGTGTCTCAAGTATGGAGTAAAAAATGTTCACCTGCCCGGCTCCCCAGGGGAAAGGCTATCCATTCAGAAAGTAGCTATTTGTGGCTTTAACCGGGATGAAATAAATGACGGCAGAGGACGTTTGAAGGCGGCCCCGGCCCGAGGACAGAAGTCCCCGGCCAGCCGTGCTGGGGTGGGGGAGGGCCGAGGGTGGGGACGGGGATCTGGGGCCGCTCACATGCAAATGCGCCGGGACAATCCGGCCGGGCGCCTCTGCGCCTCCGGGAGGCCGAGGCAGGAACAAAGCATTAGCATTTTCTACATGTGAAAGGCCTGCATTCCTGGGCGGGGAGGCCCCCGGGGCGCCGCCCCCCTCTTCCCATTCACACTCGGGACCACACAGAGCGCCTCTCGCGCCAAAAGCTCCGAGGTTCGTTTCAGCTTTTCTTTTCATCCGAGCGATGCATACGAAATGTAGATATTTCCCTAAACGCCGGCTTTGACATTTAATGCGATCCTAAGTAGTCTGAAATGTGGACGGGATTAGGAGGAGGCTGGGGGCCCACAGGGACACTTGGCCAAATCCCCCTAAATCCTCCAGGACAATTGTTTGTCACCACACGGATTCCTATTGCCCCAAATGAGGGGGCTAATGAACTTCGCTGCCTCCTCCCGTCGCAGCCCCACTCCCACCCTGGAGCCTGCATTTCTGCCCAGTCCTTTCTAGGAAGAAAGGGAAGATGAATTTTTAAATTGCAAGTTTTCTGCATGGGTTTGGTTACTTTAGTCCAGGCCAAGTTGACTTGGAGGATTGACTTTGACCAGTAACTAACCCACCCGTCCCGGGCTACTATTTAACTCTCACTCCATAAAGGCGCAGAGGTCAAGGATGCTGAGGCCCTGTGAATCTTGGGCTTATGTTAATAGGCCTTCACCACCTTGAAAGAAGTAGGCCCTGGGTGTCGTTGCCAGGCCTAGAAAGGACATGTCACCAAAAATTCTGTTTAGCAGGCTTTATTGTTCACCTAGAACAATCCACACACTGTATAATGCACAGCCTGTCTTCAAAGGTACTTACAATCCAGTAGGGGAAAGAAAATGGTCAACAAAGAACACGTCATGAAAGACATGCGCTTGCAGATTTGCCTAGTTACTATGGGGCTGAAACAAAAAAGCTTCTGGGACCAGAGCATGCCCTCAGTAAGCATGTGTGAAATGAAGAGTGGGGGCATAAGAGGAAATCCCTTGGAGGAGGATAGGGCTATGGAGAGGCAGTGTGGGATGCCCAGGATGTTGACACATTAAAACTGGAAGGGAGAAAATTTTAGGCAGCAGAAGAGACTGAAGCAAAGCTCTGAGGGTAGGAAATGGTGACTCCTTTTAGGGGATGGCAGAGAATCCAGTGGTGGAACAAATGGGGCATAAGGGAGGGATTAATAGTAGCTAAACTGGGTGTGGTGGCTCATGCCTGTAATTCCAGCACTTTGGGAGGTGGGAGGATCACTTGAGGCCACGAGTTTGAGACCAGCCTGGGCAACATAGTGAGACATTGTCTCTGCTTTAAAAAAAGAAAAAGGCTAAGTAGGAAGGGCAGAAAGAGACCTTCAGGTATCCCTGAAGCAACCCCTAGGCAGGAGCCAGAGCTGTGCTATAGGAAGTTACAGGCTGTGGTGAGGAAGAAAGGGTGGGAGAAGGAATCTGAGGCAAGGAGACCGGGTACCTCTTGTCATCACAAGATGAGGTCCTGGGCAAGGCAGGAAAGAATAGGATGAGAACACAGGATGCCACTAGGTGTTGAGCAAATCAAAAGTGAAGGAGGACTGGGTGCAGTGGTTTGCACTTGTAGTCCCAGCTACTAGGGAAACTGAGGTGGGAAGATCATTTGAACCCAGGAGTCTGAGGCCAGCCTGGACAACATAGTGAGACTCCGTCTCAGAAAAAAAGTGAAGGAGGTGGTAATTTATCTCAAGGAGTCCCCCTCCATTCCCCACTGTCCAGCCTCAGTGCTGTTATATAATCTTTGCTTTGATATCACTTTTACATGATACAGTGAAAATTATGGTGTTCCCTTTCAAACATTTGGGAGTTCAAGGCACATTCAGCAATGGTACAATGGCCGCACCCTTAAACATCATTCTAATCCTATGAATTAGTATCCCCATTTTACAGATGAAGAAACTCAGGCACAAAGAAGCAAAGCAACTTGTTTCATATCAAAATTGTTCCAGAGAGAGAACCAAGATTTGAAGCCAGTCGGGCTAGAGGGTCCATGATGTCATCAGTCACTTTTCTCCAGGTGGCTTCCAAGAACAGGGAGGAATGAGAGAGACTCAGAGGTAGCACTGAGATGAAGGAAGTACAGAGGGAGACTGGGCTGAGCAGGCCCTTTCGGTAACAAGAGGGATAAGTGAACTCACCTGTATTAAGTGTCCACCAGGCACACTTTGCATGCATCATCTCATTTTAATCCTCACACTAGGCCCTGAAGAAAAGCATTTTACAAACTGGTCAAAAAACCTCAAGAGAGATGAAGTCATTTGCTCAAAGTCACTTAGATTGAGTAAGGGCAGAGCTGTCAGAAAACTAGTCAGAAAGGGACTATGAGAGGTGACACTCTGATATGAAAGAGGAGGCGGAGGGTGCATAGTTTCCACATGCAGGCAGATGGCAGTGCATTGGGCAAGGCCATGCAAGGTTGCTGGCCTGTGTTCCAGTCAAGGGCATGGCTTTAACAGAGCTCTGCAGGAGGCTGTTAAGGGCCGGAGGGCACAAGGGAAGACTACTACAGCTGTTCTGAGGGTTCATGCCATGTGGTTTGGGAGACACTTGCAACAACATCCTCCTGGGTCCATGAAGAAATTCATGAGGTCGATTTTGTCCCGTATTGTAGATGATGCAGCTGAATGAGTGGTAGAGCTTCAATAGACCTAATGGCTCTCAGAATTCAAAACCCCAGCAAAGGCCAGGCACGGTGGCTGATGCCTGTAATCCCAGCACTTTGGGGGGCTGAGGCAGGTGGATAGCTTGAGCTCAGGAGTT
The DNA here is from genome assembly GCF_000001405.40 of Homo sapiens. Taxonomy (NCBI): domain Eukaryota; kingdom Metazoa; phylum Chordata; class Mammalia; order Primates; family Hominidae; genus Homo; species Homo sapiens. The sequence goes on along the minus strand of NW_025791770.1, from coordinate 146,464 downwards.
TGAGATCAGCCTGGGCAACATAGCGAAAACCCGCTTCTACAAAAAATACAAAACTGGGCATGGTGGCTCTTGCCTGTAGTCCCAGCTACTCGGGAGACTGAGGTGGGAGGACCACTTGAGCCCAGGAGGTCCAGGTTGCACTGAGCCTTGATAGAGCCACTGCAACATTTGCCTGGGCAACAAAGCAAGACCATAGAACAACAACAACAACAAAACCCAAAAACCTAAAAACGTAAACCCCAGCAAATAAGTTGCCATATTTTGAGACTGATGCCTATGGTTCTCATATCTGCTAAATTCCAGAAAACCATATACCATAGAAGAAACTGTATTTACCAGGGAAGATACAAAGGGGGAAGAAACTGGGAACAACCAGGAAAAACTTTAGTAAGTGACATTTAAATCCTTTTTTTTTTTTTTTTTTAGACAAGAGTCTTGCCCTGTCACCCAGGCTGGAGTGTAGTGGCACGATCCTGGCTCACTGGAACCTCCATCTACCAGGTTCAAGTGCTTCTCCTGCCTCAGCCTCCCGAGTAGCTGGGATTACAGGCACCCGCCACCACGCCCAGTTAATTTTTATATTTTAGTAGAGACGGGGATTTCGCCATATTAGCCAGGTTGGTCTCGAACTCCTGACTTCAAATGATCCACCCGCCTTGGCCTCCCAGAGTGCTGGGATGACAGGCGTAAACCACCAAACATGGCCAAAAGCCTTTTTGTATAGATAGGGTTGTTACTAGAAAGGGGTCCCGATCTAGACTCCAAGAGAATTCAGAAAGACTTCAGCGTAAGTCTGTAAAGTGAAAGCAAGTTTATTAAGAAAGTAAAGGAATAAAGAATGGCTACTACACAGGCAGAACAGCCCTGAGAGCTGCTGGTTGCCCATTTTTATGGTTATTTCTTGATGATGTGCTAAACAATGGGTGGATTATTCATGTTTCCCCTTTTTAGACCATATAGAGTAACTTCCCAATGTTGCCATGGCATTTGTAAACTGTTATGGCGCTGGTGGGAGTGTAGCAGTGAGGATGTCACTCTCATCACCATCTTGGTTTTGGTGGGTCTTAGCTGGCTTCTTTACTGCAACCTGTTTTATCAGCAAGGTCTTTATGACCTGTATCTTGTGCTGCCCTATCTCATCCTGTGACTTAGAATGCCTTAAGCCTTAACCACATGGGAATGCAGCCCAGTAGCTTTCAGCCTTATTTTACCCAGCTCCCATTTAAGATGGAGTTGCTCTGGTTCAAACCCCTCTGACAGAGTTACCTCAGTTAGCAGAGGTGGCTTTAACAAAATGGGGCAGGAAAAATAGGTGGGAAGAAGCCTTCCTGGCTATGGGAACCAGTATGAGTCCAGACACAGAGGTGAAGAACTTATATTTAATTTGCTGGGCTCTGCTGACAGTAGGCAGTGGAAGGAAAAGCTGAGCTGCTGGAACATTAATCTGAAAAACACTGAATTGGCCTCCCTTAGGATGTGCAGGGCTATGCCAGCAACTGCAGCAGGCATGGTTATGACATCTTTGCCAGGCTTCCCTGCAGCTTAGGATGGCTCCATGACATGATGTGACAAAAGAGATGTTAAGCTCAAGGCTGCTGAGGTTTCTAAGAAAGTTTTGTTCCAGATAGTCTCCCATCAAGATTAGCTAGTTTTTGCCCTGTTTTTCTTGCCTTCAATGTTGATGTGATACTGGAATATCTTGTGACTATGGAAACAAATGCCCAAATGCTGAGGACAGTGGCATGGAAAAACAGAGCTGAGTCCTGGATGGCATCACGGGACACTAGAACCCAGGCCAGCAGCTGCCTTCATATCCCCTTCTCAAGTGAGAGAAAAATAATCTTTAAGTCACAGACCTATTTTTTGCTACTTGCAGCCAAATATAGTCTTATTTAATATAGGACCTGCCCTACCCTTACTAGGTATTGCCTGCTTTCCCATAAACAAACCAGCATGCAGAGAAAGTTCTAATTTCTTGATTTCTCTAAAGATGTGTTTTTTTGAAGTACAATTATAGGGCTTTTCCCCTTCATACTACCATGACTATGTGAGTTCCTAGCGATTTATGAAGTCTGTGGACTCACTCTCCAGAAAATTCCCAGGCAAAGCAATTCTGCTCATTTGAGTGGGTCTCACAGTACTGCTGTCGGTCTGGAGTATGGGAAAGCAGAGACGGCAGACTTAAACCAACAGCAGTGCAGATTACGGGTCCTATGGTCCTACTTAGAAGGGGCTTCAAGAGGTCCAAGGAAGCTAGGCTATCTCTGCTTTCTGTGTCCACCTGTAAAAATCTACTCTGTGTACAAAACAACTACAATGTGGCACTCGATCAATGGAGCCCCTACATCCATCCATCCATGTTTAAAAAGAGGAGGATATTCTCCCCTTCTTTGAGTCTGTTGGCAATGCCTATCTCAGTCACAAATATTCAGTTCTAGTATATATCATTACCTGAGTTCCGCTTCCTGTCAGCAACAGAATAATTCAGATAGGCTGGGCTCGATGGCTCACGCCTGTAATCCCAGCATGTTGGGAGGCTGAGGCGGGCGGATCACCTGAGGTCCGGAGTTCGAGACCAGCCTGACTAACGTGGAGAAACCCCCATCTCTACTAAAAATACAAAATTAGCCAGACATGGTGGCGCATGCCTGTAATCCCAGCTACTCTGGAGGCTGAGGCAGGAGAATCACTTGAATCTGGGAGGCGGAGGTTGCGATGAGCCGAGATCGTGCCATTGTACTTCAGCCTGGGCAACAAGAGCAAAACTCCGTCTCAAAAAAAAAAAAACGGCCAGGTGCAGTGGCTCACACCTGTAATCCTAGCACTTTGGGAGGCTGAGGCGGGTGGATCACAAGGTCAGGAGTTCCAGACCAGCCTGACCAACATGGTGAAACCCCATCTCCACTAAAAATACAACAATTAGCCAGGCGTGGTGGCGGGCACCTGAAATCCCAGCTACTCAGGAGGGTGAGGCAGGAGAATCACTTGAACTCAGGAGGCAGAGGTTGCAGTGAGCCGAGATTGTGCCACTGCACTCCAGCCTGGGAGACAGAGCAAGACTCCGTCTCAAAGGAAAAAAAAAAAGAATAATTCAGATAAAGTTTCAGATAAATCAGTACTTATCCACACACTTGTCTCTCTAGTTCTGAAACTGAGGTAACATGTAGATTCAGCTAATGTGTCTCCAAACTAGGGAAGTGAAGCATTGTGACGTTAAGGGATATTCCTAAATGGCAAGCTTTGATGAATCTACCAAACACCATCTTAACTAGGGGGACACCCAATTTACTAGAGCAAATCCACATTGTCTTTTGTTTGTTTGAGACAGGGTCTCACTCTGTCACTTAGGCTGGAGTGCAGTGGTGCCATCATAGCTCACTGCAGTCTTGAATTCCTAGGCTCAAACAATCCTCCCACCTCAGCCTCCAGAATAGTTAGGACTACTGGCATGGGCCACCATGTCCAGCTTTTAAAAATGTTTCAGAGACAGAGTCTTGCTATGTTGCTCAGGCTGGTCTTGAACTCCTCAAGTGATCCTCCCGCCTTGGTCTCCCAAAACATTGGGATTACAGATGTGAGCCACTGCACCCACTTGTATTGTTTTTTCCCCCTACTTAATGTTAGTGTATATACATCCTATTGGCAAATTTTGTCAACGTCAATCCCACAACACATAACTGTCTCTTGGGAAGAAGCTATTAAATTCTTGTTTGCATTTGCAAAAGGGTTAGTAATGAACCTTGAACTGCCTGCCAGCAGACTCCAGAACCTAGGAGAGTGAACAAGGCCAGTACACTGAACCCTGTTGTATTTGCACTTTTTAAGCAAATGATTCCTAACAGATCAGTTGTGTCTTCTTTTTTGAGGCAGTCTTGTTCTGTCGCCCAGGCTGGAGTGCAATGGTGCAATCTCGGCTAACCGCAACCTCGACCTCCTAGGTTCAAGCGATTCTCCTGCCTCAGCCTCCTGAGTAGCTGGGACTACAGGTGTGTGCCACCATGCTTGGCTAATTTTTGTATTTTTAGTAGAGACGGGGTTTCACCATGTTGGCCAGGCTGGTCTCAAACTCCTGACCTCAAGTGATCTGCCCACCTCAGCCTCCCAAAGTGCTGGGATTATAGGGATGAGCCACTGTGCCTGGCCCAGTTGTATCTTCTTAACCTACTTTCTCAACACATTTTCTGGTCTTTTCAGTCATAACTAGACATAAAACACGTCAACTCTCTTTCCCTCCCCTTCACCCCCAGGTCAGCTTCTGAACTGGCTATTTCATCTACTGCTGATGTTCTTTGTCAATTTTTGAACGTTAACACAAAACCTCAGATGCTAAAATAATCTAATAGTCAATAAAAGTGTAAAAGACTTCTGATAAAATTATGTTTTAATTGCCTATGGCATATATTACATAATGGCTCAAAATTAATAGTCTGGCTGAAATTAAGAAAAACAGCTGATGATGACTTAGTAAATCCTTAATTTTAAGTAAGCTTTTGGCCAAATGTCAGGGGTAGAATTGACTCAAAATTAACAGCCTTCACCATCTTTTATTCATTCTGCTGTGATACAACTAAAATGGCCAGTAAATTCTCCCCTGGGTCTCAGGTAACAGTTTTCCAAAAGTGAAGTATCACTTTCTCTGCACAGTGGTGAAAGCCGGCATTTGGATGGGCTGGATCGGGTGGACAGGCTGAAACACTGGCTTCTTTCTCACTTCAGAGTGTGTTTTCACTGCAGGGAGCAGCTGATTCCTTTTGATGATCTGTAAGGCCAGCTGAGTATTACCTATAAAAACACTTCCCGTTAAAAAACAAAGCACAGAACAATACTGCCACACACAAAGCAAGACATGAAAATCCTGCTGGGGAGGTAAAAGATGATCTAGAAGAGCTGTCATCTGCAGCCTTGGCTGTATACTGGAATCCCATAAAGCCTCCATCTTATCCCCAGAAATTCTGATTTAAGCGATGTAGGGCATGGCCCAGGCAATGGAATTTTAAAAAGCTTCCCAGTGATTCTAAGGTATAGCCCAGGTAGAGAACTTGTTATAGGTGGGCTGTATAAAAGAAACAATCATCTGGGAGGGTTGGTTCATGCCTGTAACCCTAGTACTTTGGGAGGCCAAGGTGGGCAGATCGCCTGAGCTCAGGAGTTCGAGACCAGCTTGGGTACCATGGTGAAACCCCGTCTCTACAAAAAAATACAAAAATTAGCTGGGCATGGTGGTGCATGCCTGTAGTCCCAGCTACTTGGGGGGCTGAGGCAGGAGGGCTGCTTGAACCTGGGAGGTCAAGGCTGCAGTGAGCCAAGATCACGCCACTACATTCCAGCCTGGGTGACAAAGTGAGACCCTGTCTCAAGACAAACAAAAAACAATGAAACAATCTAGGGCAATGCACTAACCCTAATCACATCTTTAAGGAGGCTAAGGCCCGCTGGGTGCCAGGCACTAAAGACCCCTTCTTCAGCTATTAAAAAAAAGGGAGCCTTGTAAGAGTTCCCAAGGTCAACAAGGAGTTATGCCTTAGAACATTGGGTTTTTTTTGAGACAGAGTCTTGTTCTGTGGCCCAGGCTAGAGTGCAGTGGGGCGATTACGGCTCACTGCAACCTCCATCTCCCAGATTCAAGCAATTCTCCTGCCTCAGCCTCCAGAGTAGCTGGGATTACGGGCATGAGCTACTGTGCCCAGCCTTTTTAAAATTTTTTATTTTTTAAAAAAGAGACAGGGTCTCACTATATTGCCCAGGCTGGAGTGCAGTGACTGTTCACAGGAGCAATACTGCACACTATAGCCTTGAACTCTTGGCCTTAAGCAATCCTCCCGCCTCAGCCTCCAGAGTAGCTAGGACTCCATGCTTGGCTGTGACTTCATTTATGTCCCTTTTTTTTTTTGAGACGGAGTCTCGCTCTGTCGTTCAGACTGGAGTGCAGTGGCACGATCTCGGCTCAGTGCAACCTCCGCCTCCGGATTCAAGCAATTCTCCTGCCTCAGCCTGCTGAGTAGCTGGAACTACAACTGTATGCCAACACGCCCAGCTAATTTTGTGTATTTTTAGTAGAGACAGGGTTTCACCATGTTAGCCAGGATGGTCTCGATCTCCTGACCTCATGATCTGCCCGCCTCGGCCTCCCAAAGTGTTGGGATTACATGCATGAGCCACCGCACCTGGCCTATTTCTGTCCCTTCTAATCTCTCTCATTCATGTCTCTTTTCTACTTCATGCTATCTCATATTTAGAGCCAACAGCCTTTCTTCTAGTGAGATACATCTTGGAGATCGTATATGCCCTAGAGGCATGACCTGAATTTATGTTTGAATAAATAATTCTCAGCAAGAACTGGCTTACTGTAAAACTTGTTAATATGTGTTCAAAATACTATGGTGTATAACTCAAAGCAACTGCATTCTAACTCATGTTCTCAGTCATTTAGCTGCCTAGGAGAAAGGTTAATTAATAGTGATTAATTATAATTAAGTGTCTGAAGTTATGATTCTGTATTTTCTCAGATAAAAGGAGATAAGCTTAACTTGTAAGGAGTATTTGTAGGATACCAAAAACTCCCTAACTATATCTATCAATTTATCTATTTATCTATCTATCTATCTAGATAGATATAGGTATTTATTATTATTATTATTTGAGACAGGGTTTCACTCTGTCGCCCAGATTGGAGTGCAGTGGTGTGTCTCGGCTCACTGCAACCTCCCACCTCCCAGGCTCAAGCGATTCTCCTGCTTCAGCCTCCTAAGTACCTGGATTACAGGCATGCGCCACCACGCCTGGCTAATTTTTGTATTTTCAGTAAAGATGGGGTTTTACCATGTTGGCTAGGCTGGTTTCGAACTCCTGACCTCAAATGATCCACCCGTGTCGGCCTCCCAAAGTGCTGGGATTATAGGCGTGAGCCACTGTGCCCGGCCTATTATTATTTTTTTAGACAAGGTCTTATTCTGGCATGATCTCAGTTCACTGCAGCCTCAACCTCCAGGGCTCAAGTGATCCTCCAATCTCAGCCTTCCCAGTAGCTGGAACTACAGGCGCACACCACCACACCCAGCTAATTTTTGTATTTTTTGTAGAGATGGGGTTTTGCCATGTTGCCCAGGCTGGTCTTGAACTCCTGAACTCTGGTGATCAGCCCACCTCAGCCTCCCAAAGTGCTGGGATTATAGGCATGTGCCACTGCGCCCAGCTCCTAACTATATTTTTATGTAGAAGAATTTGATGGGTCGTCGCTCTGGCTCACGCCTATAATCCCAGCACTTTAAGAGGCCGAGGCAGGCAGATCACCTGAGGTCAGAAGTTCAAGACCAGCTTGGCCAACGTGGTGAACCCGGTCTCTACTAAAAATACAAAAATTAACCAGGCATGTTGGTGGGTGCCTGTAATCCCAGCTACTTGAGAGGCTGAGACAGGAGAATCTCTTGAACCTTGAACCCGGGAGGCGGAGGTTGCAGTGAGCTGAGATAGTGCCACTGCACTCCAGCCTGGGTGACAGAGCGAGACTCCATCTCAAAAAAGAAAAAAAAAAAAGAATTTGATGGGTCACCTATCTTCAAGGAAGGCAAATTTCTGACTCTGAAGAGAAAAAACAGACATTAAAAATCTCAGCCTTGCCGGGTGCGGTGGCTCACGCCTGTAATCCAAGCACTTTGGGAGGCCGAGGTGGGCAGATCATGAGGTCAGGAGATCGAGACCATCGTGGCCAACACGGTGAAACCCTGTCTCTACTAAAAATACACAAAATTAGGTGGGCGTGGTGGCGGGCGCCTGTAGTCCTAGCTACTCAGGAGGCTGAGGCAGGAGAATGGCATGAACCCGGGAGGCGGAACTTGCAGTGAGCCGAGATCGCGCCACTGCACTCCAGCCTGGGCTACAGAGCAAGACTCTGTCTCAAAAAAAAAAAAAAAAAAAAAAAAAATCTCAGCCTTGGCTGAGCATGGTGGCTTATGCTTGTCATCCCAGCTACTAGGGAGGGTAAGATGGGAGGACTGCTTGAGCCCATGAGTTTGAGAGCAGCCTGGGCAACAAAGCGAGACCACATCTCTAAAAAAAATTTAAAAAATTAGTTGGGCTCAGTGGCGTGCACCTGTAGTCCCAGCTACCTGGAAGGCTGAGGTGGGAAGGCTGCTTGAGCCTAGGAGTTTGGAGGCTGCAGTGAGCTCTGATGGTACCACTGCACTCCAGCCTGGGCAACACAGTGAGACCCTGTCTCCCAACCAAAAAATCTCAGGCTCTTTCAAGGGATAAAGTCCTAAACAGAGAGAATTACTCACCATTCTGCAGTTCAAGGTAGACTGCCAGCAAGATGGCCTCAGGGGGCACCTCTTTAGGATGGATCATTGAAGCCGCCTTTGCTCAAAACAGAAAGATGCCCGTGAAAAAACAAAAGCTTAAGATACACACTCCAAGTACATCTGCCAACCAACAAGGTAACAAACTTATTCAAGCTCATTCCCACGTGACTTCCTAGGGACTACCTGTTGTTCTGCTCTGATGAGCCTCAGTTCCTTTTGTCTTAAAACCTAACAATTAAGCTAGACATGTAATACTCTGGGTTTTGAGATGGGTGACTGGACACCCCGATACTACAGTCAACCATCCAATTCTGCTGGTGGCTTTCACAACAGACACATACAGTTGCAATTACATCAAAATCTGCATGCCCATTTGTTTTCCTAAGTAACACTTCAGTATTACAAACTGTAAGTTGTCAATGTCAGGAATAATAATTCAAACTTATAGTAATACAGAAAAAACGTACCACGTAGCATGTTTGAGGTCTCCATTCTTAAGGACTGAAACACACTTCAATTTAGTCCAATAAAATAATTTACTAGTTTAGGCAACATGCTGCCCTTAGATCTGAGTAAGAGCCATAGCATCGGCCAGCAGTTTCTCTCTGATCCAGTCCTGAAGAAGGAAGCCTGGACTGCTCTGGACAGAAGTGCTGAAATTACAGGTTTATTTCCTCAGTCTGGGCCTCTTTGAGCTACAGCCAAAATATTCCTCACCTTATTATCAACTTGTACTTCCCCATCTAGTTTTAGTTGCTCATTGCTTCCAGACAGCTCTGCCTCTTCTCTTAATCTAATCAGATAATAGACTTCTACAAATACTTATTGAACAGAGGTGGGTATGGAGATAAGACAGGGACTTCCCCTGATAACAAACAAGCATGCAAATAACTAACAATAATCCAAACACAGTTACGTAAATGCCAGGGAGAAAGGCAGTGAATGTGCTGTGAATATGGAGAGAAAGGAAGAAGTTTCTTTCAAACAGAGCTTTGGGGTAAGGGAGGCCTGCTTTAGTCCTTGCAGGGTAGATATCTCACAGGTAGAAAATGGGGAGAAATGGTACTGAAGGTAGCAGCTTGAACGTGGGAGATGTTGGGGAAGACCAGAAACGTGTACTAGGTTGGTTTCTGGCAGCATTAGGAGAAATCTCAGACTAGCGGGGCATGTTGCCCAGAGCATGTGCTTCTAAGAAGTTCCTCATGAATGAGGTGGGGAGGCTTTTATTCCTCTCGCCACAACACTGAGGTATAACAACTCTTTTCAGAAAATGAGATTTTATATATCTAAGCCTAGCTTTCTAGGCAAGCTGTATAGGCAAGATCGTCTTTATACCATTTTGTGGATTTTTTTTTTTTGAGACGGAGTTTTGCTCTTGTTGCCCAGGCTGGAGTGCAATTGCACGATCTAGGCTCACTGCAACCTCCGCCTCCTGGGTTCAAGCGATTCTTCTGCCTCAGCCTCCCAAGTAGCTGGGATTACAGGCTCCTGCCACCACGCCCAGCTAATTTCTTGTATTTTTAGTATAGACGGGGTTTCATCATGTTGTCCAGGCTAGTCTTGAACTCCTCACCTCAGATGATCCACCCGCCTTGGCCTCCCAAAGTGCTGGGATTACAGATGTGAGCCACTGTGCCCGGCCCATTTTGTGGATAGTAAAATCTCTGTTTTCCATCCAAGTGGCTAGTAACACATTTTATTTACTGTTTTTTTCAATGACCACAGTCTGAAGCTTTTTTTAAAATACAAGAATTCAAGGCAACATCTTTATGATACTTAATGGCATTTTGCTTACTGGCTGTTCAGAATGGTTAGTGGTGGGCAGGCAACCTTGGAAACATCTACTCGGAGCCCTTTCCAACTCTTCACATCACTGTTCTTCCCTCCCAGGCAGGGTGGGCCTCCCAATTAACAAAGGTCCAGCCATTGGATTAACCTAAAAACCAAGGGACCAAAACAAAACCCCCTTCAGACCCCAAACCAGGCCTGACCCCATCTGTCTCTCCCAGCGTGGCAGCAGCCATGGCCACCTGCTGTACGAGAACCTCAGCTGGACTGTACACACTGTAACTTTAGATCAAAAGCTCTGTTTGCTGCAGTGACTGAGGTCTGGGGGCACTTTGAGAGGGGCTGCTCAACACCCTAGCCTTGTTACTGAGAAGAGTGAAACATTTTAACTCTTACTGGTTTAACTCATACACTCAATGCCTAGATAATATCAAACATGTTACCCTGGACAGCCTGTCACTTAACTTTTCTGATCTGGGATCAGAAATGCTGACCAGATGCCACTAAGTTGACTAAATAGAATTTGTAGTTATTTTTCACATGGTAAAGCATCATCACTTCTAGGCACAACAAGGCTGCTCACATAAGCAGGAACCTATGTGAAAGCCACATAGGCTTTTTTTTTTTTTTTTTTGAGACAGAGTTTCGCTCTTGTTGCCCAGGCTGTAGTGCAATGGCGCGATCTCGGCTCACCACAACCTCCACCTCCTGCGTTCAAGCAATTATCCTGCCTCAGCCTCCCGAGTATCTGGGGTTACAGGCATGTGCTACCACGCCCAGCTACTTTTTGCATTTTTAGTAGAGATAGGATTTCTCCATGTTGGTAAGGCTGGTCTCGAACTCCTGACCTCAGGTGATCTGCCTGCCTCGGCCTCCCAAAGTGTTGGGATTACAGGTGTGAGCCACTGCGCCCGGCTGAAAGCCACCCTATCTCCTGAGAAGAGGTTTAATATCAACTTTAGTTGCTGTGGCAAGCATGTGGGGATGTGGGCCTTCTCATCTGCTGCTGGAGAATGTACCATTTGATACAAACTTTCTATATCAGAAGTCTTAAAATCCTGCATATCCTCTGACCATGCAATTCCCTTTTTAGGAAGGTGTCTCCTAACTGCAAAGGTCTACAAGCAAGGGCAAGATTGTAGTATGTCTGCTTATGTGCAGTCTTATTCCCATGGCTTAGCTCAGAAGTAAGTGCTCAACAGATATCTGCTGGATGAATGTCCTTTTGAGGAACTATTTCTAATTTTGTGAGATTCCTCTGGGGCTGCCAATGGTGGTACCCAGTCCCCTACTACAGGTATGGCTCAATGCCCATGATTGGTCCAGGGATTGGCAGGTGACCTACTAAAGAGATCCAATCAAAATCTTCCTTGAAGCTTCATGATGCACCATTTCAGTGGTAGAATTCAGAGGTTTATTTTAGTTATATATTGCCAGTAGCTTTCTTTAGTGTGTATGGAGTTTCTCTAGTATTGGCTTTCTGAAAGGTGGATTTATAATTCACTTTTTTTTTTTTTTTTTGAGACAGAGTCCCGCTCTGTTGCCCGGGCTGGAGTGCAGTGGCGCGATCTTGGCTCACTGCAAGCTCCACCTCCCGGGTTCATGCCATTCTCCTGCCTCAGCCGCCCGAGTAGCTGGGACTACAGGCACATGCCACCACGCCTGGCTAATTTTTTTGTATTTTTAGTAGAGACAGGGTTTCACCGTGTTAGCCAGGATGGTCTTGATCTCCTGACCTCATGATCCGCCCACCTCGGCCTCCCAAAGTGCTGGGATTACAGGCATGAGCCACCGTGCCTGGCCTATAATTCACATTTTGAAAAAAGATTTACACAATTCAAAATTTAAAAGCACCTGGGCACGGTGGCTCACACCTGTAATCCCAGCACTTTGGGAGGCTGAGGCGGGTGGATCACCTGAGGCCAGGAGTTCGAGACCAGCCTCAACATGGAGAAACCCCGTCTCTATTAAAAATACAAAATTAGCCGGGCGTGGTGGTACATGCCTGTAATCCCAGCTACTTGGGAGGCTGACGCAGGAGAAGTGTTTGAACCCGGGAGGCGGAGGTTGCAGTGAGCCGAGATTGCGCCATTGCACTCCAGTCTGGGCAACAAGAGCGAAACTCCGTCTCAAAAAAAAAAAAAAAAAAATTAAAAGCATAACAGTATACAGTGAAAAGTCTCCCATTCTACTGCTCCAGCCATGTAGTATTCGTCCTGCCACCCCAACAACTAATGTTTGCAGTTTCTTGGTGTGTCCTTTCAGAGATCTTTTATGCATGTATACAGGGTTATACAGAAACTGTTTCACACCTTGCTGTTTTCATTTAGTATGTCTTGGACATCTTTCCATTTTAGTACCTAGAGTTTATAGCTGCATTGTCTTCAACTGTACAGATGCACTATTATTTATATAAGTGATCTTTTAGACAGTTTTCCATCTTTTGGAATTTTAATAATTAAAACTGTCAACTTACTTCTTTTGTCTTTTTTTTTTGGGGGGACAGGGTCTCACTCCAGTTGCCCAGGCTGGAGTGCAGTGGCATGATCTTGGCTGACTACAGCCTCAACCTCCCAGGCTCAGGTAATCCTCCTACCTCTGTCTCCTAAGTATCTGGGACTACAGGAATGCACCACCATGCCTGGCTAATTTTTGGTATTTTTAGTAGAGACAGGGTCTCATTATGTTGCCCAGGCTGGTCTCAAACCCCTGGACTCAAGTGATCTGCCTGTCTCAGCCTCCCAGAGTGTGGGATTACAGATGTGAGCCACTGTGCCCGGCCCCAAGTTGCTTTTTATTCTGCTGATTTGAAATTTAAACATCTTTTTTTTTTTTTGAGACGGAGTCTCGCTCTGTTGCCCAGGCTGGAGTACAGTGGCACAATCTTGGCTCACTGCAACCTCCGCCTCCCGGATTCAAGCGATTCTCCTGCTTCAGCCTCCCGAGTAGCTGGGACTACAGGTGCGTGCCACCAACCTGGCTAATTTTTGTATTTTTAGTAGAGATGGGGTTTCACCATATTGGCCAGGCTGGTCTCAAACTCCTGACCTCATGATCCGCCTGCCTCGGCCTCCCAAAGTGCTGGGAGGCATGAGCCACTGTGCCTGGCAAAAAAAAATTTTTTTTAAAATAAAATCATCAAGAAGAACTTTCCTTTAAGTGTCTAGGTTCATTTACAATGCTGATTAGTTGTTTACCTTGCAAGAATATTTTTATATCTGGGAAAGTGATATTCCAATATTTAACAAACTGATCAGATGCTTCAAACAAAGTAACAAAAAATATAAACCTCAAACTTGTGTTGGCTGCTTTACAAGGTTCAGTTCCTCCCACTCTGGACTCACCTGGTGGAGACACTTTCGGGCTTTGTCATATTCGCTCCTCAGGCAGTAAGCGCTGCCAAGGTTGAACAGCATCACAGTCCTGGCAGAGTTGACGGAACTGGGGTAGCACTGAGGGGCCCGCTTACCAGCTGGGGAAAAAGAGTGTAGACACTGGTGAAGAGGCCGTGCCAACAGCAAGGAAGCAACCCAATCTATCGCCTTGAGGAGCCACTTGGCACAGCAGTATTCCTCAGGCAGAAAAACGAACACAGAAGATTTAGAATCTAAATTTTTGGGATGCAGGCCAGGCTACTTAAGTATCACAAAACTTCTTACTTACAGGATTCCATTGCTTCATTTTCACCTTTGTCTGATCCTACAAAAACACGAAAATAAATCTGAGGGGCAGAACAACAGAGCATATTTTCTTTCTTTTCTCCTCGGGCTCAGAAGGTAGAGGGCATATTTTCTTTTCTTTTCTTTTTTTTTTTTTTGAGATGGAGCCTCGCTCTGTTGCCCAGGCTGGAGTGCAGGGGCATGATCTCGGCTCACTGCAACCTCCGCCTCCTGGATTCAAGCGATTCTCCTGCCTCAGCCTCCTGAGTAGCTGGGATTACAGGCATGTGCCACCATCCCTGGCTAGTTTTTGTATTTTTAGTAGAGACGGGGTTTCACCATGTTGGTCAGGCTGGTTTTTTTTTTGGAGATGGAGTTTTGCTCTTGTTGCCGCCCAGGCTGGAGTGCAATGGCACGACTCACTGCAACCTCCGCCTCTTGAGTTCAAGTGATTCTCTGGCCTCAGCCTCCTGAGTAGCTGGGATTACAGGGGCATACCACCATGCCTGGCTAATTTTGTATTTTTAGTAGAGACAGGGTTTCACCATGTTGGTCAGGCTGGTCTTGAACTCCTGACCTTAGGTGATCCACCCACCACAGCCTCCCAAAGTGCTGGGATTACAGGTGTGAGCCACTGTGGCCAGCTGAGAGCATATTTTCTAAAAACCTAACTTTCTTTATGAAATGGAAATTTAATATAAAGCAATTTATTTACTTTTCATGTAGTGGAGATTCCATTAAAAAATGCCAGAATGCTACCACCCACCACCATCTCAAACCTGAGCACTAGTCTTGAGTAAAATGAATGTCACATAGCTTTAATTATTTAATTTTTTTTTTTTCTTCAGACAGAGTCTTGCTCTGTCACCCAGGCTGGAGTGCAGTGGCGTGATCTTGGCTCACTGCAACCTCCACCTCTCAGGTGCAAGCGATTCTCCTGTCTCAGCCTCCTGAGTAGGTGAGATTACAGGCTTGCACCACCACGCCCTACTAATTTTGTATTTTTGGTAGAGACGGGGTTTCACTATGTTGGCCAGGCTGGTCTTGAACTCCTGACCTCAGGTGATCCACCTGCCTCGGCCTCCCAAAGTGTTGGGATTACAGGTGTGAGCCACCGCACCCGACAATTATTTAGAAATTTAGCAATGACTTAAAACAAACTTTTTTTTCTTTCCTTATTTTTAAAATAGAGACAGGGTCTCACCAGGTTGCCCAGGCTGGTCTTGAACTCTTGGGCTCAAGTGACCCTCCTGCTACAGCCTCCCAAAGTGCTGGGATTACAGGCGTGAGCCACCACGCCTGGACTAAAACTGACTCTTGAATGCAATATTTTTACTCCCCTATGGATTTTAGAATCACTCCAAAGGAAAACAAATAAATAGTATCAGAACCAAAATTAACCATTCTAACAGTACCAGCCTTTCAAAAGTGAGAATTTAGATGATGTGATCATTAACTCTCAGGTCTACTTAGCAAACAACTGCTACAAAGTAAGTACAGACAAAAATGTGGAAAGCCAACCTAAAACTTTCTTCTCATTACCACCATGCCTAAATTTCCACACATCCTGAATTATGACAGGAGGGAAATGGAAACAGTGACCAGTTCTGATCAAAGATGTCCTCATTAACCTTGGTCCTGCTCATTTGAAGAGATCCCTAAGGAGACATCAGTGACATTCTCCGGGTTCAAGTGAGTAATGGCATCAGATATTCTGTCGAGAGAGATGAGGGCTTCTGCAGCATATAAATGTCCCAAAAACCTAAAATGAAAAAACAGATTCCAAACTGAAAAGTACAACGTCACAAAAATACCCAATGTAAAATAATGCTGGGTATATTATGTTATTATACATTGGATATAGGTCTCATATTTCATGTCCTTAAATTGAAATCTAAATTTATTTAGGTAAAACGAATCAACTGCCTGGGTGTAGTGGCTCATGCCTTTAATCTCAACACTTCAAGAAGCCTAGGTGGGTGGACTGCTGAGTCCAGGAGTTTGAGAACAGCGTGGGCAACATGGCAAAACCCTGTCTCTACAAAAAAAATACAAAAATTAGCTGGGCGTGGTGGCATACACCTGTAGTCTCAGCTACTCAGGAGGCTGAGGTGGGAGAATCACTTAAGCATGGGAGACTGAGGCTGCAGTGAGCAGTGATCATGCCACTGCACCTCAGCCTGAATGACAGAGTGAGACGCCATCTCAAAAAAAATAAAAATAAAAATTAAGATCGATCTCCTGATCTCGTGATCCGCCCGTCTTGGCCTCCCAAAGTGTTGGTATTACAGGCGTGAGCCACCATGCCCAGCTTTTTTTTTTTTTTTTAACTGGGGACCTTTTGATCTGCTCAAAATCTTAATGACTTTCTACACAAGAACAACACCACCACAAACTAAACTTTTATAGTTTTAAAACTCTCCAGGTTGAGCATGGTGGCTCATGCCTGTAATCCCAGCACTTTGGGAGGCCAAGATGGCAGATCACCTGAGGTCGGGAGTTCGAGACCAGCCTGACCAACATGGAGAAACCCCATCTCTACTAAAAATACAAAATTAGCCGGGCGTGGTGGTGCATGCCTGTAATCCCAGCTACTTGGGAGGCTGAGGCAGGAGAATCGCTTGAACCCGGGAGATGGAAGCTGTGATGAGCCGAGATCACGCCATTGCACTCCAGCCTGGGCAATAAGAGCAAATACAAAAAGTAGCCAGGTGCGGTGGCTCATGCCTGTGAAACTCCGTTTCAAAAAAAGAAAAAAAAAAAAAAAAGAAATTAGTAGGGCATAGTGGCGTGCACCTGTAATCCCAGCTACGCAGGAGGCTGAGGCAGGAGAATCCCTTGAACTGGGGAGGCAGAGGTTGCAGTGAGCTGAGATCATGCCACTGCACTCCAGCCTGGGCAACAGAGTGAAACTGTCTCAGAAAAAGAAAAAAAATTAGCCGGGTGTGGTGGTGGGCTCCTGTAATCCCAGCTACTCGGGAGGCTGAGGCAGGAGAATCGCCTGAACCCAGACAGTGGAGGTTGCAGTGAGTTGAGATTGTGCTACTGCACTCTAGTGTGGGTGACCCAGACAGACTCAGTCACACACAAACACACAAAGTCCAGTTCTCTCATAATGGCCGTATACACCACAATCTGAACACCAGCATCAGCTGCAATTCCCAACATTGGCATTTTGAGTTGGGCAATGATAAGGACGGAAGGTACTTTAGAGGCAACCCAAATGCCTTGAACTGAAAATTAGGATCTTCCCCATCTCCAGGCCTGAATATTGGACAAGATTTTCTTGCAGAAGAGCAGGAGCTCCCTTATATTTGAATTGTGACAAAGTCTCTTATATAGTTGAATGATTTATTACTTTTTTTTGAGATGGAGTCTCACTCTGTCACCCAGTTTGGAATGCAGTGGTACAATCTTGGCTCACTGCAGCTTCTGCCTCCCAGGCTCAAGCAATTCTCGTGCCTCAGCCTCCCGAGTAGCTGGGATTACAGGAGTGTGCCCCCATGCCCGGCTAATTTTCATATTTTCAGTAGAGATGGGGTTTCACCATATTGGCAGGGCTGGTCTCCAACTCCTGACCTCAAATGATTTGCCCAGGTAGGCCTCCCAAAGTGCTGGGATTACAGGTGTGAGCCACAGCGCCTGGCCTTAATTACTTAAAAAAAAAACAAAAACACTAGGTATGTTTGGGGATCACTAAAAAGCCAAAGAGTAAGTAGTTATATTTTGGCATTTGTAAGTATACACCTATACGATGAATGAAAGAACTGTTCTAATGTTGTGCAGAATACTCGTGGCTTTTGATAAAATTTCCAGGATCAGCACCATACAAAAATTCAAGCTGTATTTTATTTTTATTTTTTGAGAGGGAGTCTTGCTGTGTCACTCCGCCTGGAGTGCAATGGTGCAACCGTGGCTCACCGCAACGTCCGCCCCCCAGGCTCAAGTGATTCTCCTGTTTCAACTTCCCGAGTAGCTGGAATTATGGATGCCTGCCACCATGCCTGGCTAATTTTTGTATTTTTAGTAGAGATGGGGTTTTACCACGTTGGCTGGGCTGGTCTCAGACTCCCGACCTCAAATGATCTGCCTACCTCAGCCTCCCAAAGTGCTGGGATTACAGGCATGAGCCACCACACCTGGCCTGTATTTTACTCAATTTTGGTAAAAGAAAAGATAATGTGCTTTGGAAAATTTTAGAATGACAATGATATTAATGAAGAAGTATTTGCAGTTTGACTAAAACTAGCTGATTCTGGAATGATACAGTAGCTTGGAAAGATTTTTCAAATTCTTGTCTATTTTTTTTTTTTTTGAGACAGAGTCTTGCTCTGTAGCCTAGACTGGAGTGCAGTGGTGCAGAGATCTCACTGCAACCTCTGACTCCTGGGTTCAAGCGATTCTCCTGCCTCAGCCTCCTGAGTAGCTGGGATTACAGGTGCCCGCCACTACGCCCAGCTAATTTTTTGTATTTTTAGTAGAGGCAGGGTTTCACCATGTTGGCCAGGCTGGTCTTGAACTCCTGACCTCGTGATTTGCCTGCCTCGGCCTCCCAAAGTGCTGGGATTACAGGCGTGAGCCACCGTGCCTGGTCCCTCAAAGTAGATTTATCACATTGACCACACTCCTTTTTTTGTAGGTCTTCTCTCTGAGGACTTGACTTATTTGGAGAATTAAAGTGCTGCAGTGAAGCCTAGAAGTGGACACTAGAGTCCGAAGTTTTTGTCTCCTAACGCTCAGTACAGCACAAGTGAAAACATTTTCACTGCCGAGGCATGGGTTAAAAAACGTTCTTTTAAACAGTTGCTTTCCTTACAAATATATATTCCACTGGAGGAGTCAAAAGAAGCAACATAAACCACAAACCAAGGAGAAACCTCAAAACTAAAGAAACCAGGGACACACAGGGCAAGTCACACTTACTTAAGAGATCCTGACAGCTTGGGCTGCTGAAGAAGTTTATCTGCATGATTCAAAGCCATGAGGTTATCACCCAAAGCCAGAGCCACGTAGGCACTGCAAGCAAGTATGGAGCACCTATAACACAAAAGGGAAGGGGCCGAAAATCTCATTTTAAACATTGATAATGGTTATATTTGCTAAATAGGAAGAAATGCCCTTTAGCTGTGACAATCTGGACACCAGGAAAGAGGAGAGGAAGCCACGGTACTAATGGTAAGAATTAGATTGATGTATAAAACAATTCTGAAACACAGTTTGGCTATTTACATAAGTCATCTTTAGCTTTCATCCAATTGACCCACATCCCCAACAAAATAACCAATGGATTACAATACATAGCCTGTATGTATGTATGTATGTATATATGTATAGATAAATACACACACACACACACACACACACTATATATATATAGCCTAATGAGAACTAACTTCCATAGAAGTTTGCTTTTAATAACCTAGGAATAAAGCTATAGAATGAGATCTTATTCTTTCTACATATATTTGTGATATGCTAAGAAATAATTAACTTACTAAAGCATTCATTTACTTTAAATGTTCTTTTCTCAACCAATTAAGTCTACAGTTCTTGCTAAACCATAGTATCAAGAGTAACTAAAAAGTTTTATTCACACAGTTACTATTCTTCTAAAGGAATACTGAAGGAAAAAAAACAGGTTAAACAAACATATGTGAAGACAACGTTTAAGTTACATTGATTTCGCTAAGTTGGATTGGAAATCTAAGTTTCTATAATATTTGGTTTTCTACTTCACAGACAGCTCATTTAAAACAAGTCTGGTTAAAGACTTAATACTAATAGATCACTTGAATGTTAAACAACTGCTCCACAAAGCAATCTTAAAATAAACCCTTGTCAAATAGAAATGAAGTCTGAATGGCTAACCACAAATGACCTCACTCAGATACAGGGTTTTGAGTTATGTTTACAAATTACAATACACATATGTATCATTAAGTGCATTCAGGTTGTAATTTTAGTCTAAGGAAGAATGTAACCAGTATATCACCACAGAGTTTTGAAATGTTCTGAAATCCTCTGACTAGAAATGGCTCTTCCTATAAAAAGCACAGCTGGGCAAATTCAAAAGTATTCTGTTTCCTCTTCACTTGCTAACTTTTGGTTCCTAGAATCTTAGAAAACTACCCTAGAATTTGGTTCCTAGAATCTTAGAAAGGCAGCCCCTCAACTCTTAACAACACAGAAAAGTAGAGTGGTCCTTGAGAAGCATAACGAAATTGAGGTTTATGCCTTATACTACCATGGGAGGGCTGAAAGACTGTCTAGTGTGGTTCCTTGTTTAACTGATGTGGAAACAGAGACTCAAAGTGAGTAAACATAATCTTTAGCTTAGTGTGTGATTAGTTAGGTCTAATATTTGACATTGTAGACTCCCAATCCGCTGTTCTTCCCATCCAATCACATTGCTTCTTTATTAACTCACAAGACCACTTACAAAAAACACAACAGAAAAGATTCTTGTACATTATAATTTTCTAAGTTCTAGGCATACACAACATAGGTATTCTAACTTGTCTTTTTAAACAGGTAGAAAAAGTTTAATCCAAACATAAGTTTATATTTTGTCCCTGAGTATGTAATTTTAAATCTGACCCTTATTACAGAGGATAGTAATTTGAGAGCCAGCAAGTAGTGCCACTTTCAAAGGAATTTTCCTGGCAAGCCTACTATCAATATTTCTGGCTCTTCAACAGCTGGCTTTACCAGCAAGGTTGTCCCATGGCCACAGTCCCTACAATGAACCCTCCCCATGAAGGAAGACTCAGGGACCAGAGGCAGGAGGCTAGTTATCTCTCATCTTCAGAAGAATGTTAGTAGTTAGGTCTGTGTGGCAAGACTGGTGACTTAATTTCTCCTTTTGGCTTATTTGTATTTTTAATTTTAAAATGGCAATGACATTCATTCATTCAAGAAGTATACTGAGTAACTACAACATATCAGATATGTACTACTTATGAACAAAAAAAGACTATTAAAGGTCCGGTCTCCGGAGGCTCAAGAAGACCATTAGTGGCTGGGTGCGGTGGCTCATGCCTGTAATCCCAGCACTTTGGGAGGCTGAGACAGGCTGATCACCTGAGGTTGGGAGTTCGAGACCAGCTTGACCAACATGGAGAAACCCCATCTCTACTAAAAATACAAAATTGGCTGGGTGTGGTGGCGCATGCCTGTAATCCCAGCTACTTGGGAGGCTGAGGCAGGAGAATCGCTTGAACCTGGAAGGTGGAGGTTGCGGTAAGCTGAGATCACGCCATTGCGCTCCAGCCTGGGCAACAAGAGTGAAACTCCGTCACAAAAAAAAAAAAAAAAAAAAAAAAAATTAGTTCAGGGCCTATGTGAATGACAGTTACAAAATTTAGTATCTTTTTTTTTTTTTTTTCTTTTGAGACGGAGTCTTGCTCTGTTGCCTGGGCTGGAGTGCAGTGGTGCAATCTCGGCTGACTGCAACCTCTGCCTCCTCGGTTCAAGCTATTCTCCTGCCTCAGCCTCCCAAGTAGCTGGGATTACAGGTGCCCGCCACCATGCCCAGCTAATTTTTTTGTATTTTTTTATAGAGATGGGGTTTCACTATGTTGGCCAGGCTGGAAACTCCTGACCTTGTGATCTGCCCGCCTCGGCCTCCCAAAGTGCTGGGATTATAGGCGTGAGCCACTGCACCCGGCCCGATATCCATTTTCATATGTGACTCTGCCAAAGGTCAGTGTAAAACATAAGCTTCTTAAAAGCAGAAGCACACATCTGTGGTTTCCTACACAGACTAGAGCAATATCTCACATAGGCAGTAGGTGCTTAATAAGTATTTGTTAAAGAAACACAGCTTTCAACATTTTAAATCTGCTTCTCCAGACCCCCACCTTTCCTGTTGGTAGGTCACTTTGCTAATGAAGCCAACTCTTTTCCAGCTCCCACAAATGGGACTTTTCCTGCATGATCTAGGTCCTAGAGTCTAGGACAAGACCCACTTCAGGCAGGCTTGCTGGGAAATGCCTGCCCTGGCCTCTCCCGACAGTAGGTGGGCTATTACTGCTCCAGCCCACTGTCAAACCCACTTTGGGTCCAGAAATCAGTCATGTAAGATTTGCAGCAGGATTCTGTTTCCCAGGAAGCCCAAACTATAATTACGTAGAATATAAAAATCTGCTTTCTTCAAATTCTAAATCAAAACAGGGTAAAAGACTATAAAAAATAATCATTCAATTAAAAGTTCTCAACTGTGAATATGAAACTTTAGGGCTGACATTCTGATTAAGAGCCATCAGGATTAAGCAAGTTTCATTGCCCGAAACTCAAACCAACATTTATGCTCCCTTCTCTTGGTGCATTACAATCCATCCCAACTCACCTCTCATCACTCTCACACTCATCCTCCTTTTCCTCTTAGAAAACACCGCACTCTGCACAATTCCTGCAGACTGCTAACGCTAGAAGCACACATGGCTCTACTGAGCCCCCAGAGAATCACTTTACTTTTGATAGTTACTACTTAAAATATTGTCCCCACCCCCACTTCCTCGAGTCACTGTCCAATCTGCTTTACCAATCACTCAGTGGATCTGACAGTTCATCAGACTGGAAGAACTATACCTCAAGGGAAGAGACACTAGCTTTTCCCCCCTGTGGAGGATCTGACAAAACCCCACTCTCCCCTTCACATGCTGAAGGAACTAGCTCTAGGTCCCCAGAATGCCCATCCTTGGAAAAGAAGATAAAAAAAGAAGAAAAAAAAAAAAAAGGAAAGGAAAAGAAAGGAGTAAACATTTTCTTCAAGCACCAAGTTACAACAAGCTATGCAAGACTAGGCATTAAAATTTGTCAAGCCATAGATCCTGTGAGTTAAAGAAATCTAAACCAAATATCTGAAATAGTTTAACCCTTATTAAAAAAGGCTAAAATGAGGATAAATCCAGTCAGTCACCATTTGTCAAAGGAAAATAAATTTACAAAGTAGCCTCACAGCAAACATTTGAAAAATTGGCTTAAAAAATCCAATAATGATACAAAAAGTTACACAGGCGTGGTGGCACATGCCTGTGATCCAAGCTACTTGGGAGGCTGAGGCAGGAGAATTGCTTGAACCTGGGAGGCAAAGGTTGCAGTGAGCTGAGATCATGCCATTGCACTCCAGCCTGGGCAACAAGAGCGAAACTCTGTCTCAAAAAAAAAAAAAAAAGAAAAAGAAAAAGAAAAAAGAAAATAAAAATAAAAAATCTAATAATGTAATTTCTTTTCTTTCTTTTTTTTTTGATATGGAGTTTCGCTCTTGTCACCCAGGCTAGAGTGCAATGGCATGATCTCTGCTCACCACAACCTCCACTTCCCGGTTGCAAGTGATTCTCCTGTCTCAGCCTCCCGAGTAGCTGGGACTACAGGCGTGCACCACCACACCCACCTAATTTTGTATTTTTAGTAGAGATGAGGTTTCACCATATTGGCCAGGCTGGTCTCGAACTCCTGACCACAGGTGATCCGCCTGCCTTGGACTCCCAAAGTGCTGGGATTACAGTCGTGAGCCACCATGCCCGGTTAATGTAATTTCTTTCAACAAACTGAATATGGGAAAGTACACACTAAATATCTATTTTTTTTTTTTTTGTAATGGTCCTTGGAGAACAGGGCTACCCCACAGGCAGTATGCCCAGAGTAGCTGAGATTTTTAAATTTCAAAAGAGGCCAGGCACGGTGGCTCATGCCTGTAATCCCAGAACTATGGGAGGCCGAGGCAGGCTGATCACCTGAGATTAGGAGTTTGAGACCAGCCTGACTAACATGGCGAAACCCCGTCTCTACCAAAAATACAAAAATTAGCTGGGCGTGGTAGCGCATGCCCCTGTAGTCCCAGCTACTCAGGAGGTCGAGGCAGAAGAATTGCTTGAACCCGGGAGGCAGAGGTTGCAGTGAGCAGAGATCACACCACTGCACTCCAGCGTGGAAAACAGAGCAAGACTCCGTCTCAAAAAAAAAAAAAAAAAAAGTAAAATAAATATATATATATATATGTATTTTTTTTTTTTTTGAGACGGAGTCTTGCTCTGTCGCCCAGGCTGGAGTGCAGTGGCACGATCTTGGCTCACTGCAAGCTCCGCCTCCCAGGTTCATGCCATTCTCCTGCCTCAGCCTCCCGAGTAGCTGGGACTACAGGTGCCCGCCACCATGCCCAGCTAATTTTTTGTATTTTTAGTAGAGATGGGGTTTCACCATGTTAGCCAGGATGGCCTCGATCTCCTGACCTCATGATCCTCCCACCTCAGCCTCCCAAAGTGCTGGGATTACAGGCGTGAGCCACTGCACCTGGCCAATAAATAAAATTTCTAAAGAAAAAAATATTAATGCCAATTTGTCTACAATAATCCAAAAAATGTTAAACTTGTCAACCTTCAACTTTTTTTTGAGACAGAGTTTTTTGCTCTTGTTGCCCAGGCTGGAGTGCAATGGCATGATCTTGGCTCACTGCAACCTCCGCCTCCTGGGTTCAAGCAATTCTCCTGCCTTGGTGGCCTTCCCAGTAACTGGGATTACAAGCATGCACCTCCATGCCCAGCTAATTTTTATATTTTGTGTGTGTGTGTGTGTGAGAGCAAATTAATTTATTTAGTACTTTTTCCATTCCATATCATCAGGATTGATTTCAACTTTCCTTTTACCTACATCAGACCAGCTGGTACTCAAAACTGTACCATCAGACTCCCATAAAGGATCTGTTCATGGCACATTTCACTTCATCAGAACCATCTGAATAGATCTGCTGAAATAATCTGTTTAAAGCTGCATCTCCCTCCAACTTTTCATTATTTTCTTCTTCTTTGATTTTACCCACTAATTTATCCCAATTTCTTGTATAAGGAGATGATGATGGATGTAGGTGCTTTACACCTGCTATGAATTGTTTTGGTGTAGGCACATCTCCTTGCTCCTCTAGCTTTTCCCATCTCACAGCCTCTGGCTTTTTCAGTTTAATTTCAATCTTGGTTGAAACTACTTTAAATGTGCTCTGTTCTGGTATTATAGGATGAAGTTCCAGTTTCAAATTGTAATCCTCTCCAGAAGGAAGTTTAACCAAAGCAGACAATTCCTTTTCTGAAAATTCCACATTTACATCATTCTTTGAACATTCTTGATCGTAAGTGTAATGACTACTTGCGATTCTGTTTGATACCAGTCATACCTGATTTTTGACTGATGAGTCCACACATCAGATTCTGGGCCATTCTGAGCTTCTTGACATCTTTTAATCCAGACACTGAAATTAGCATCTGCACTATCTAATTTTTGTCCTTCTGTAAAAATTTCTAGGGCAGCAGCATAGTTTTTTTCATAGTATTCACATGTTCCTTTTCTCAACATAGTGGTGGAATTATTTGGATTGAATTCGAGAGACTTCTTTGCATCAGCAACAGCAACACAGTAATTACAAGAATGTGACAATAAGCTCTTTGACACTAATATTATGCATCATTTGGTTTCTGTTCCAAAGCCTTAGTCAGCTCCTCTAATGCCGCCTGGGGGTCCTCGTCGATTAGAGTATCCAAGAAGCTCTGGAAAAACCTCTGGGAAGTTGCAGGTCCTGCTGCAGCTTCCGCCATCCTCGTAGTCACTGCTGCTGCCGCCGGAGCTGCTACTGTCGTAGTTACCACCTCCGCCACTGCCCAAGGGGGAAACTTCTCAATTTTTGTATTTTTAGTAGAGAAGGGGTTTCTCCATGTTGGTCAGGCTGGTCTCCAACTCCCGACCTCAGGTGATCCGCCCACCTCGGCCTCCCAAAGTGCTGGGATTACAGGCATGAGCCACCACACTCAGCCAACTTTCAACTGTTAAAGTTGAAGTTTAGTTGTTCAATTAGTTTTTAATTTTATCTTCTGTAAACATTTTGCTAATAACAGTTCTGTGCAAAAAGAATCTTATTGACAAACATAGTCCAAATCCAACAGAAATAGAAGTACAACACAAAAAGCTAAAGAAGTTTTATCTTTATCAAATCTGGCATCCCAAAGAACCCAGTCTTATCCTGGGCAGCAAATAAAATATAAAGTCACAGAGACTTAGCATTTTACACATGGACGGGATCTTAAGATCACCTAAACCAATTGCTTTATTTGATAGAAAAGGAAAAGGCAGCCCACAGGGGTTAAATGATTTATCCACATTAGTGGCCCTGTGGGGTTTCCACAGAGTGGCAGACCACTGAAGAATTTTTTTTTTTTTTGAGACGGAGTTTCGCTCTTGTTGCCCAGGCTGGAGTACAATGGCGTGATCTCGGCTCACCACAATCTCTGCCTCCTGGGTTCAAAAGATGCTCCTGCCTCAGCCTTCTTGACTAGCTGGGATTAATGGCATGCACCACCACTCCTGGCTAATTTTGTATTTTTAGTAGAGATGGGGTTTCTCTATGTTGGTCAGGCTGGTCCCGAAATCCCAACCTCAGGTGATCCACCTGCCTCGAACTTCCGAAGTGCTGGGATTACAGTGAGCCATTCCACCTGGCCTGAAGAATTATTTTAACCCTGGTTTGTGATCAATCTGATCACCAGTTCATCTAAATGAGATCCTTGGAGGCAGATGTGAATCATGCCAACGTGAACACAAATTGCTGATAGTGTGAAGGAAATGTCACACAGGTAGGATCCTTCTACGGTAGAGTTCGTTAGATGAACAAGTTTCAGGAGGACCACACTCAGTCGTAAGACTGAAATGGGGCTGGATCTCTAGCAAAAGCAATATAAGATTCAAAAGATTATTAGCCATAATCCTCTTTTAGTTATGTCTTATGGGCTACAATATCACCACTGGGCTAACAAAAGAAGAAATATGGTTTCTTAAGCACACTAAAACTGTCTATAATATTTATGTTATCAACCATTTGTTTGATTCATCTTCTTTTATAGACACTGGACCACAGGAGGTCCCTTTTAACTGAATGGAAAATAATTCACTGACTGTCACATTAGAGTCTGAAAGAACTAATTAAGCTTTATAATTTACACTTGTGGAATAACTGGGCTTAATTAAATTTGCTCCAAACATTTCCTTTTATCCCTTTTGTGGCCTCCCATTTTAGAAATGACCAATTAAATTAAAATTTCATTTTCAGGCCAGGTGCTGTAGCTCACGCTTATAATCTCAGCACATTGGGAGGCTGATGTGGGAGAATTGCTTGAGCTCAGCAGTTTGAGACCAGCCTGGGCGATACAGTGAGACTCTGTCTCTACAAAAAAAAAAAATTAAAAATTAGCAGAGCATGGTGGTGCACATCTGTAGTCCCAGCTACTTGGGACGCAGA
This sequence comes from Homo sapiens, assembly GCF_000001405.40. Taxonomy (NCBI): domain Eukaryota; kingdom Metazoa; phylum Chordata; class Mammalia; order Primates; family Hominidae; genus Homo; species Homo sapiens. The sequence continues at coordinate 119,441 of NW_025791770.1, read as the reverse complement.
GGTGGGAGGGCTGCTTGAACCTGGGAAGTAGAGGCTGCAATGAGCCAAGATTGTGCCACTGCACTCTAGCCTGGGCGACAGAGCAAGACCCTGTCTCAAAAAAAATTTTTTTTTCATTGAAATTTTGTATGCTTTGATTTTAATTTCTTGTACAGACATCTCCCATGTTGGCTCCAACATTATTTCCTACCTTTTTCAGTTCTGTTACACTCTTTATCAGACTCTTGAATAGCCTCCATTAAGTTCAGCTAATATCACAATCTCAGAACGAATAACAAAGATGTTCTATAATAAGCAACATGTAAGAGTCAGTTCATACCCATGACAGTTATTAAACCACTATGCAACAATGAAATATTGTTATATAGCTGGGCCCGGTGGCTCACGCCTGTAATCCCAGCACTCTGGGAGGCTGAGGTAGGCAGATCACGAGGTCAGGAGTTCGAGACCAGCCTGACCAACATGGTGAAACCCAGTCTCTGCTAAAAATACAAAAATTAGCCGGGCCTGGTGGTGCATGCCTATAATCCCAGCTACTCAGGAGGCTGAGACAGGAGAATCGCTTGAACCCAGGAGGCGGAGGTTGGAGGAGCCAAGATTGCGCCAGTGCACTCCAGCCTGGGCAACAGAGTGAGACTCTGTCTCAAAAAAAAAGAAAAAGAAAAAAGAAATATTGTTATATGACTAAATCTATGAAATTACTTCTTTACTCTTTTTTGTTTTTGAGATGGAGTCTTGCTCTGTCGCTCAGGGTGGAGTGCAGTGGTGCGATCTTGGCTCACTGCAACTTCGGCCTCCGGGGTTCAAGCAATTCTGTCTTAGCCTCCTGAGTAGCTGAGACTATAGGCACACAACACCGCACCTGGCTAATTTTTATATTTTTAGTAGAGATGGGGTTTCACCATATTGGTCAGATTGGTCTCGAACTCCTGACCTCAGGTGATCCACCCACCTTGGCCTCCCACAGTGCTGGGATTACAGGCATGAGTCACTGTGCCCAGGCCTTACTTTTTTGACACAGTGTCTAGCTCTTGTCATCCAGGCTGGTGTGATCTCGGCTCACTGCAGCCTCTATCTTCTGGGCCCAAGCGATCCTCCCACCTCAGTCTCCCAAGTAGCTAGGAATACAGGCACGCGCTATCATGACCAGACTAAATTTTTTGTAGAGACAAGGTCTCACTATGTAGGCCAGGCTGATCTTGAACTCCTGGACTCAAGGGATCCTCCCACTTTAGCCTCTCAAAGTGCTGGGATCACAAGCATGAGCCACCACACCCAGTTATTTCCTTTCTTCCTCCTTCCCTCCTTTCCTTCCTTCCTTCATTTTATTTCCATAGGTATGTGGGGGAACAGGTATTTGGTTACACAAGTTCTTTAGTGGTGATGTGTGAAATTTTGGTGCACCCATCACCCGATATTTCTCTACTATTAACAAGATCGTAGTATGCAAAAAAAAATGAAGTTGAGCCTTATCTTTCCTCATCTATAAAAATCAACTCAAAATAAGGCAGGCCGCAGTGGCTCATGCCTGTAATCCCAGCACTTTGGGAGGCCGAGGCAGGCAGATCACCGAAAGTTGGGTGTTCGAGACCAGCATGACCAACATGGGGAAATCCTGTCTCTACTAAAAATACAAAATTAGCCAGGTGTGGTGGCACATTCCTATAATCCTAGCTACTTGGGAGGCTTGAGGCAGGAGAATCACTTGAACCCAAGAGGTGGAGGTTGAGGTGAGCCGAGATCATGCCACTGCACTCTGGCCTGGGCAATAAGAGCAAAACTCAGTCTCAAAAAAAAAAAAAAAAAAAAATTAACTCAACATGGATCAAAGACCTAAATGTAAGTGCTAAAACTTAGAATTCTTATAGGAAGACATGGTAAATCCTCATGATCTTGGATTTAGTGAAGAAGTCTTAGAAATGGCATGAAAAGCACAAGCAACAACAAAAATAAGAATTAACTTTCATCAAAATGAAAAACGTTTATGCTTCAAAGGGCACCTTCAAAAAAGTGAAAAGACAACCCTCAGAATGTGAGAAAATAACTACAAGTCATATATCTGATAGTTGTATCTAGGACATATAAAGAACTCTTGGCCGGATGCGTTGGCTCATGCCTGTAATCCCAGCACTTTGGGAGGCCGAGGCAGGTGGATCACCTGAGGTCAGGAGTTCGAGACGAGCCTGGCCAAGATGGTGAAACCCCATCTCTACTAAAAATACAAAAATTAGCTGGGTGTGGTTATGCATGTCTGTAATCCCAGCTACTCGGGAGGCTGAGACAGGAGAATTGCTTGAACCCGGAGGTGGGTGAGCAAAGACTGTGCCACTGCACTCCAGCCTGGGCGGCAGAGCAAGACTCCCTCTCAAAAAACAAAAACAAAAAAACCACAAAAACAAAAACAGGCCGGGCATGGTGGCTCACACCTGTAATCCCAGCACTTCGGAAGGCAGAGGTGGGCAGGTCACTTGAGGTCACGTGTTTTTGAGATCAGCCTGGCCAAAATGGTGAAACACCGTCTCTACAAAAAATACAAAAATTAGTCGGGTGTGGTGGGCAGCTGTAATCCCAGCTACTCGGGAGGCTGAGGCAGGAGAATAATTTGAACCCGGAAGGCAGGGGTTGCAGTGAGCCAAGACTGCGCTACTGCACTCCAGCCTGGGCCACAGAGTGAGACTCCATCTCTAAATAAATAAATATCAAAAAACATATCAGAAGAAAAATACATTATTCTATTGCGATCAATCATTGTTATTTCAAAAACCTATCGTCTCCCAAATGTATGCAGCAAACATTCACATCTAAATCAAAGAATATAGCCAAAATATCAATCCTGCCCAAGAAACTGTGTTCTAAGATTCCTTTGGGTATTAGGCCTTTTAACAAAAAAAAATTTTCTAAAGAGAAATAATTCAGTTAAAATTTGTGGTACAAAAAACTGTGACATAGTAACAACATTCACACACGTAAAAATCATGTTATAGCATACAAACATTCGAACACACTTGTCTTAAAACCTTAGAGCAGCTCTGTTCAAGAGAAATATAATTAGAGCCATAGCCAACTGCAGTGGCTCACACCTGTAATTTCGATGCTTTGGGGGGCCAAGGTGGGAAGACTGCTTCAGCCTAGGAGTTTCACTTCAGCCCAGGAGTGTTAGGACTAGATTGGTTAACACAGTGGGACCCTGGCTCTACAAAAAATAAAAAAGTAGCTGGGCATGGCGGTACATGCCTGCAGTCTTTTTTTTTGGAGGTGGGGGGAGCGTTGGGACGGAGTCTTGCTCTGTCGCTGGGCTGGAGTGCAGTGGCACAATCTCGGTTCACTGCAACCCCTGCCTCCTGCACTCAAGCAATTCTCCCGCCTCAGCCTCCCGAGGAGCTGGGACTACATGGGCGCGCCACTACGCCCAGCTAATTTTTGTATTTTTAGTAGAGACGGGGTTTCACCATGTTGGCCAGGATGGTCTCCATCTCTTGACCTCGTGATCTGCCCGTCTCGGCCTCCCAAAGTGCTGGGATTACAGGCGTGAGCCACCGAGCCCAGCCCATGCCTGTGGTCTTAGTTATCCAGGAGGCTGACGTGGGAGAATTGCTTGAGGCCAGAAGTTTGTGTGTGGTGTAGTGAAAGTTTGTGGTACAGATTTTTTTGTAAAAGACAAAAAAAAAAGGAAGAAATATAATTGAAGCCATAAATGTAATTTAAATTTTTCTAACAGACACGTTTAAAAAATAACATTAAAAGAAACACGTAAAATTATTTTTATTTTATTTATTTATTTATTTATTTATTGAGACGGAGTTTCACTCTTGTTGCCCAGGCTGGAGTGCAATGGCACCATCTGGGCTCACTGCAACCTCCACCTCCACCTCCTGGGTTCAAGCGATTCTCCTGCTTCAGCCTCCTAATAGCTGGGATTACAGGCATGCGCCAGTACACCCGCTTAATTTTTTTGCATTTTTAGTAGAGACAGAGTTTCACCATGGTGGCCAGGCTGATCTCGAACTCTTGACCTCAGGTGATCCACCTGCCTTGGCCTCCCAAAGTGCTGGGATTACAGGTGTGAGCCACCTGCCAAGCCTATTATATTGATTTTTTTGAGACAGAGTCTTGCTCTGTCGCCCAGGCTAGAGTGCAGTGGCACAATCTCGGCTCACCACAACCTCCGCCTCCCGGGTTCAAGTGATTCTCCTGCCTCAGCCCCCCGTGTAGCTGGGATTACAGGTGCCTGCCACCACACCTATATTTACAGCTATATTCATCTATATTTACAGCTGCTCCCATGACTTGCATTACTGCCTGAGCTCTGCCTCCTGTCAGATCAGCAGCAGCATTAGATTCTCATAGGAGTGCATATCTTTTTTTTTTTTTTTTTTTTTGAGACGGAGTCTCGCTCTGTCGCCCAGGCTGGAGTGCAGTGGTGCAATCTTGGCTCACTGCAAGCTCCGCCTCCTGGGTACACACCATTCTCCTGCCTCAGCCTCCCGAGTAGCTGGGACTACAGGCGCCTGCCACCACGCCTGGCTAATTTTTTTGTATTTTTAGTAGAGACGGGGTTTCACCATGTTAGCCAGGATGGTCTCAATCTCCTGACCTCATGATCTGCCCACCTCGGCCTCCCAAAGTGCTGGGATTACAGGCGAGAGCCACTGCACCCGGCAGGAGTGCATATCTTATCGTGAACTGCGCCTGCAAGGAATTTAGGTTGTGTGCTCCGTATGAGAATCTAATGCCTGATGATCTGTCACTGTCTCCCATCACCCCCACATGGGACCATCTAGTTGTAGGAAAACAAGCTCAGGGCTCCCACTGATTCTACATTATGGTGAGTTGTATAACTATTTCATTATATATTACAATGTAATAATAATAGAAATACAGTGCACAATAAATGTAATGTTTTTGAATCATCCTGAAACCACCTCCCCTGCAACCCTGTCCACAGAAAAATAGTCTACCATGATCCTGGTCCCTGGTGCCAAAAAGGCTGGGGTCTGCTGCTTAAATTGATGCGTTTATATTTCTTTCCAGTCAATTCCCGCAACCACTGTTCTGATTTCTAGCAACATAAATTAGTTTTGTCTATTCATAAAGTTTTGTTTGTCATATAAATGGTATAAATGGAATCACACAGTAGATACCTTATGCGAAGGAAAAGAAAAAACAGGAAAATGTTTTGAGATTCATCCATGTTAACTTGTGCATTAGTAATTGGTTTTGGTTTGAGACAGGGTCTCACTTTGTCACCCAGGTTGGAGTGCATTGGTGCAACCTCAGCTCACTGCAGCCTCAAACCTACAGGGCTCAGGTGATCCTCCCACCTCAGCCTCCCGAGCAGCTGGAGCTACAGGTGTGCAGCACCATGCCTGGCCAATTTTTTGTACAGACAGGGTTTCACCATGTTGCCCACACTCGTCTCAAATTCCTGGACTCAAGCAATTTGCCTGCCTGGACCTCCCAAAGCGTCGGGATTACAGGCATGAGCCACTGTGCCCGACCTCACTGGTTCTTCCTTATAGCTGACTAGTATTCCAAAATACAAGTGTAATACAACTTAGTTATCCATTCTTCTACTGATGAATACCTGGGCTATGTCTAGGTTTTGTCTACCAGGAGTAAAGCTGCTATAAAATTCTTTTATGGACAAGTTTCTGTTTCTCTTTGGTAAACATCTAGGAACACAATCACCTTAAAATTTCAAAGTCATAGCATTTATTTAATTCCAGGGCACAGAATGTTTATTCAATCCTTAATTGAATAAAACTTATGGCTTCATACAGCATTGAGTGGTTCAGAAACTGAAGCAAATTTCTAAAAGTGTCATTATGTGTACAGTTGGTGCTTGGAATCCACAGGTTCCAAATCTGTAGATTCAACCAACTATAAATAGAAAATATTCTAAAATATAATAATAAAAAAAACTACAATAATTTTTTAAAAATTAAAAACCAATACAGTATGACAACTGTTTATATAGCATATATAGTGCACTAGGTATTATAAGTACTCTAAAGATGACTTAAAGTATATGAGAGAAGGCTGGATGCAGTGGCTCATGCCTGTAATCCCAGCACTTTGGGAGGCCAAGATGGGCGGATCGCTTGAGGCCAGGAGTTCAATACCAGCCTGGCCAACATGGTGAAACCCCGTCTCTACTAATAATACAAAAATTAGCCAGGCATTGTGGCACACGCCTGTAATCCCAGCTACTTGGAAGGCAGAAGCAGGAGAATCACTTGAACCCAGGAGGCGGAGGTTGCAGTGAGCCAAGATTGAGCCACTGCACTCCAGCCCGGGTGACAAGAGCAAAACTATGTCTCAAAAAAATAAATAAAATAAAATAAAAATAAGTAAAGTATATGAGAGGATGTGCACAGGTTATCTGCAATTACTACACCATTTTATGTAAGGAATTTTATATCTGAGGATTGTGGTATCTGTTGGGGGCCCTAGAACCAATCCCTCAAGGATACCAAAGGATGACTATATAACTTTCTTGATCCATTATATTAGTATCTCTAAGTTCATCCAAACCTTAACAGTTAAACTAGTTAGTTGATTTCTGAGACGTTTTCCTAATTTGGGGCCACATTTTAATTTCAATTGTGAGAATATTTTTCTGAAAACTACCTTGATTTAATATACAATCTCACAACTTCTTTAATTATTATCTGCCTTCTAAAAATATACTTGGTAAATTGGTTAGAATGAAATTTTTTGGACTTACCTTAATTTATGTACAAATGAAAAAAACCGAAAATACTCAAGGGGCTATAAACCCGTATCATAAAAAGTGGCCATTGGAAAAGTCATGATAATTTACTGCATATTAGTTATGCTGGAAACAGAAAATGGGGCTTTGCATTGGTGTCTTGGGTATTATTGAACACAAGGGGTCAAATATGATAGTCCATAAAAGCTAAACTATATACTAGTCACATTTTCAATAATCTAAAAGAGTTCAGGTCAGAAATAGATGAAATCTCAAAGAATTTCACAATCTTAAAACACAGTGCTCAGGCTCCTTAGATAGAAGACAGCTGGCTCCTGCCACAGAATTGCCCTTTAACACACCCAACTGCATTGTGAGCTTTATGGCTTTGAAAATTACGACACAATTCTTTTACGACTCCTCCCCTTCACCATTTGTGTCCACATTACCATTGCTACTGTCTGGCATAGCAGTCCTTTTTATAAATCTACCCTAAGGCTCCTTCCATCTTGTACTGTTTCCTTTCTCCCTCCCATCTGCTCCAGAAGAAAAAAATATATATATACTACAGAATCCACCCTTGCCTCACTTTATGATGACGGCATTCCCTATGGAAGCCCTATGCTCCTTTTCACACACAAAAAAAATGGAAGTAATATTATTTTCTTTGAAAATCATCAATCCTCCTACTATGACATATGGAAAGCAAACAGCTGTACCCACGAAAGGTACAAAACTCTGAGAGGAATCCCATCCTGTATGTACACTTCTCTTTAATGACATTCTCAGAAGGTAAAGTTAAATTACACAACTCTGCAGATGTTTAACCACCGTAAGACAATATACTACTTTTTGTGCGTGTGTGTATGTGAGACAGAGTCTCAGTCTGTCTCCCAGGCTGGAGTATAGTGGCACGATCTCGGCTCACTGCAACCTCTGCCTTCTGGGTTCAAGCAATTCTCCTGCCTCAGCCTCCCGTGTAGCTGGGACTGCAGGTGTGTGCCACCATGCCCAGCTAATTTTTTTTTGTATTTTTAGTAGAGACAGGTTTTCACCATGGTGGCCAGGCTGATCTCGAACTCTTGACCTCAGGCGATTTGCCTGCCTTGGCCTCCCAAAGTGCTGGGATTACAGGCGTGAGCCACCACACCTGGCAGAAACAATATACTTCTTAAATTGCACACAAAAATAGAGCAATCCTAAGATTAGTACTCATTAAGCTGGGTGGGTGGCTCATGCCTGTAATGCCAGCACTTTGGGAAGCTAAGGCGGATGGATCACCTGCGGTCAGGAGTTCGAGACTAGCCTGACCAACATGGTGAAACCCCACCTCTACTAAAAATATAAAAAATTAGCTGGGCATGGTGGCGTATGCCTGTAATTCCAGCTACTTGGGAGGCTGAGGCAGGAGAACTGCTTGAACTCAGGAGGCGGATGTTGCAGTGAGCCAAGACACACCATTGCACTCCAGCCTGGGGAACAAGGGCAAAAATCTATCTCAAAAAAAAAAAAAAAAAAAGATTAGTATTCATTCAAGTAAACTTGTAAAACTTAAATCAAGTTTGAAAAACTGTTTCAAATGTCTTCTTCATTAAGGATTCCCTTTAAATGTGTATAACCATATTCACTGCAGCATTATTTGTAACAGCAAAAGCTGAAAACATTATAAACAGCTCAATAAAAAGCAATGTTAGATAAATTAGATCATATCCACAAAATGCAACTCTAGGCACCCATGAGAAAGAGTGAAACAAAGGTTTGTGCTGATATGGGAACAAAGTAAGGTACAGAGCAGTTTACAGACTACAAAATTACTGGTAAAGGACAGATGCGGTGGCTCACGCCTATGATCTCAGCACTGTGGGAGGCTGAGGCGGGCAGATCACTTGAGCTCAGGAGTTTGAGACCGGCCTGACCAACATGGTGACACCCCATCTCTACCAAAAATACAAAAATTAGCCGGGTGTGGTGGCACATGCCTGTAATCTCAGCTACTCAGGAGGCTGAGGCATGAGAGTCGCTTGCACCTGGGAGGCGGAGGTTGCAGTGAGCTGAGTTCCTTCCATTGCACTCCAGCCTGGGCAACACAGCAAGACTGTCTCAGAACAACGGCAACAATGACAACACACCAAAACAAAACAAAAAGCTATACCACATGAAAAGAAGTTCATTAGAGAAATGCAAATAAAAATCACAATGAGATAGCACTACACATCTTACTTCCCTATTAGAATGAGTAAAGTAAAAAGTGCCTATAACAGGCCAGGTGCTGGGATGCCTGTAATCCCAGCACTTTGGGAGGCCGGGGTCGGTGGATCACGAGGTCAAGAGACTATCCTGGCCAACATGGTGAAACCCCGTCTCTACTAAAAATACAAAAATTAGCTGGACGTGGTGGTACACATCTGTAGTCCTAGCTACTCGGGAGGCTGAGGCAGGAGAACTGCTTGAACCCAGGAGGCGGAGGTTGCAGTGAGCCGAGGTCATGCCATTGCACTCCAGCCTGGCAAAAAAATAAAATAAAATAAAATAAAAAATAAAATAAAAACCTACAACACACACAAATATCAAAACAAGTATGTGATGAAAAAATAAATTTTTTTAAAAAAGAAAATAAGAAATATTGTGGTAAAGAAACTGGATCACTCATACATCACTGGTGGGAATGTAAAATGGTATAGTCACTCTGTTAAAAGAGTTTGGCAGTTTCTTTTCTTCTGTTTTTTTTTTTTTTTGAGACGGAGTCTCGCTCTGTCGCCCAGGCTGGGGGGCAGTGGCACGATTTCGGCTCACCACAACCTCTGCCTCCTGGGTTCAAACGATTCTCCTGCCTCAGCCTCCAGAGTAGCTGGGACTACAGGTGCACGCCACCATGCCTGGCTAATTTTTTGTATTTTTAGTATAGACAGGGTTTCACTATGTTGGCCAGGCTGGTCTTGAACTCCTGACCTCGTGATCCGCTCGCCTCGGCCGCCCTAAGTGCTGGGATTACAGACGTGAGCCACCACGCCTGGCCTTGGCAGTTTCTTAAAATATTAGACATGTAACTCCCCTACTATGCAGCACTGTTGGACGTTCATCCTGAGAGACAAAGATTTATGTGCACATAAATACCTGTGAATATTTCTAGCAGCTTTATTTGTAACAGCCCCAAACTGGAATGGAATAAAGCTAGATGTCCTACAAAAGGTGAATGATTAAACTGAGGTACAATCATACCATGGAATAATACTCACCAATAAAAAGGAACAACAATTGATTTACTCAGCAAACTTAAATGAATTTTCCAAGAATTATACTGAATGAAAAAAATCAATCCCAAAAGGTTACATGCTGTATGATTCCATTTATATAACATTTTTGAAAGACAAAATTATAGAAATTAAAAAGAGATTAGTCGTAACCAAGGGTTAAATAAGGGGCAGGAGCAGGAGTGGAAGTGGGTATGGCTATAAGAGGGCAATATGAGGGATCTTTCGTAGTAATAAAAATGTTCTGGGTTAGGCACGGTGGCTCACAACTATAATCCCAGTGCTTTGGGAGGCCAAGGTGGGAGGATTGCTTGAGGCCAGAAGTTTGAGATCAGCTTGGGCAGGACATCAAGACCCCACACCTACACAAATTTTTTTTTTTTTTTTTTTTAAGACGGAGTCTCGCTCTGTCGTCCAGGCTGGAGTGCAGTGGTGCGATCTCGGCTTATTGCAAGCTCCGTCTCCCAGGTTCACGCCATTCTCCTGGCTCAGCCTCCCGCGTAGCTGGGACTACAGGCGCCCGCCACCACGCCCGGCTAATTTTTTGTATTTTTAATAGAGACAGGGTTTCACCGTGTTAGCTAGGATGGTCTCGATCTCCTGACCTTGTGATCCACCCGCCTCGGCCTCCCAAAGTGCTGGGATTGCAGGCATGAGCCACCGCGCCCAGCCACAAAATTTTAAAAAAATTTTAAGAAATTGAATGTAATGAAAATATTGTAAAACAAAAAAAGTTCTGTATCTTTACTGTATCAATGTCAATATCTTGACTGTGATATTGTACTAAAGTTCTTTTTTTGTTTTGAGACAGAGTCTGTTGTCTAGGCAATAGCACGATCTTGGCTCACTGCAACCTCCCTCCGCCTCCCCGGTTGAAGCGATTCCCCTGCTTCAGCCTCTCGAATAGCTGGGACTACAGGCACACGCCACCACACTCAGCTAATTTTTGTATTTTTAGTAGAGATGGGGTTTCACCATATTGGTCAGGCTAGTCTTGAACTCCTGACCTCGTGATCCGCCCACCTCGGCCTCCCAAAGGGCTGGGATTACAGGCATGAGCCACCGCACCCAGCATGTACTAAAGTTCTGTAAGAAGTTGCCTTTGAGAAAACTGGGTAGAGGGTAGATGAGGTCTCTGTATTATTTTTTATTTTTAGAGACAGAGCCTCGATCTGTCATCCTTGCTGGAGTTTGATGGTACAATCACAGCTTACTGCAGCCATGACCTCCAGGGCTTAAAGTGATCCTCCCACCTCAGCCTGCCAGCTACCTGGAACCACAGGCATGCAACATCACGCCCAGATAATTTTTTTTCTTTTTTTCTTTCGAGACGGAGTTTCACTCTTGTTGCCCAGGCTGGAGTGCAACGGCGCGGTCTTGGCTTACTGCAACTTCTGCCTCCTGGGCTCAAGTGATTCTCCAGCCTCAGCCTCCCAAGTAGCTGGAATTACAGGCACCCGCCACCACACCTGGCCAACTTTTGTATTTTTAGGAGAGATGGGGTTTCACCATGTTGGCTAGGCTGATCTCGAACTCCTGACCTCAGCTGATCTGCCTGCCTCTGCAGCCCACCAATGTGCTGGGATCACAGGCATGAGCCACTGCACCTGGCCTAATTTTTTGATTTTTTTAGAGACAGGGTCTCACCATGTTGCCCAGGTATCTGTATTACTTTTTAGACTATTATGTGAATCTACAATCGTCTCTAAATGAAGTTTAATTTTGAAAAAAAAGACACTATGGAGTGAAATAAACAAATAAAACATAACTGTTTGTGGAAGGAAGTCACAGCAGGCTTAAAGGGAACTGTGTAGAAAAGGACCTTTATCTAAAAATCAGTGACCAGCATAAGAAGTTAAAAAAAGAGCAAAATAAACCAGAGTTAGTAGAAGAATAAAATAAAGAGCAGAAACGAAATAGAAAACAGAAAATGAAGTAGAAGTCTATTCTCTGAAAACATCAATCCAATATGTAAATTGCTAGCAGGATTGCTTAGGGAAGAAAGGAGAGAAAGCAAGAGATCCCACAAATATCACAAATGAAAACTGGCCGGGCGCAGTGGCTCATGCCTGTAATCCCAAAACTTTGGGAGGCTGAGGCGGGTGGATCACCTGAGGTCAGGAGTTCGAGACCAGCCTGGCTAACATGGTAAAACCCCGTCTCTACTAAAAACACAAAAATTTAGCCAGGCGTGCTAGCAGGCACCTGTAATCCCAGCTTCTTAGGAAGCTGAGGCAGGAGAATCGCCTGAAACTGGTAGGCAGAGGTTGCAGTGAGCCGAGATCATACCACTGCACTCCACCCTGGGACAGAGAGTAAAACTCCAACTCAAAAAAAAAAAAAAGAAAGAAAATAGAGGTATAACTGCAGATTCTACAGACATTAAAAAGGTAAAAAAAATATTATGAACAATGTTATGCCAATAAATTTGACAACTTAGAAAATTCCTTGAAAAATAAAACTTAACCAAACTGAGATAAGATGAAATACAGGCCGGATGCTGTGGCTCACGCCTGTAAACCCAGCACTTTGGGAGGCCGAGGTGGGTGGATCACGACGTCAGGAGATCGAGACCATCCTGGCTAACACGGTGAAACCCTGTCTCTACTAAAAATACAAAAAATTAGCCCTGTGTGGTGGCAGGCGCCTGTAGTCCCAGCTACTCGGGAGGTTGAGGCAGGAGAATGGTGTGAACCCAGGAGGCGGAGCTTGCAGTGAGCCGAGATCGCGCCACTGCACTCCAGCCTGGGAGACAGAGCGAGAATCCATCTCAAAAAAAAAAAAAAAGAAATATAAAATCTGAAAAAAGTGTTGTTGAACAAGTTGAATTCATTATCAAAAATCTTCCTGCAAAGAAAATCCTAGGCTAGATGGTTTCACTGGTGCATTCTATCAAATACTTAAGGAAGAAGTAATACCTGTCCTTTTTATTAGTTCAGGGCTACATGTGCAGGTTTGTTATATGGTAAACTTGTGTCATGGGGGTTTGTTGTACAGATTATTTTGTCACCCAGGTACTAAGCCTAGTACCCAATAGTTATTTTTTCTGATCCTCTACCACCCTCCACCCTCCAGGAGGCCTTAGCGCCCGTTGTTCCCCTCTTTGTGTCCATGAGTAATACCTATCTTACACAGACTCTTGCAGAAAACAGAGGAAGATGAAGCACTTCTCAACTCATTTATATGGTCAGCATAATCCTGAAACCAAATCTGACAAAATCATTTCTAGGAAAGAAAAGTATGGACCAATCTTCCTCACGGATATAGAAGCACTTATTCCCAACAAAGTATTAACAAATCAAATCTAAAAATTTATACAAAAGAAAATACATTCTGACCAAGTAGGGTTTATCACAAGATTGAAAGATTGGTTTAACATTTGATCAGTGTAATTCATCATATTAACAGTATCAACAAGATAAAAAAGAATGTGTTCTTTTTTTTTTTGAGACAGAGTTGCTCAGGCTAGAGTGCAGTGGCACACTCACTGCAACCTCCGCCTCCCGGGTTCAAGCAATTCTCCTGCCTCAGCCTCCCAAGTAACTGGGATTACAGGCGCCTGCCACCACGCCCGGTTAATTTTTGTATTTTTAGTACAGACAGGGTTTCACTATCTTGGCCAGGCTGGTCTCGAACTCCTGACCTAGTGATCCACCAGCCTCGGCCTCCCAAAGTGCTGGGATTAGAGGTATGAGCCACTGTGCCCAGCCATGAATATGTTCATTTCAATAGATGCAATGCTAATTTTGTTTAGATACTCACTTTAAGTTTTCTAATTCCTGTTTTCTCAATGGAGAAGAAGGTGGAGCTGGAATGAATTTATCTCCATCATGGCTTTTACTGCTAAAATAGAGGTAAGAGTCTTAATTATGAAGAGCAACAAATAAATAATTAAACGTAAAATTTTGTTTCCCTGTCCTTACTCCCAACTTTTTTTTTGAGACAGAGTTTTGCTCGTCGCTCAGGATGGAGTGCAATTGCACGATCTCAACTCACTGCAACCTCTGCCTCCCAGGTTTGAGTGATTCTCCCGCCTCAGCCTCCCAAGTAGCTGGGATTACAGGCGCACACCACCACGCCCAGCTAATTTTTTGTATTTTTAGTAGAAACGGGGTTTCACCATGTTAGCAAGGCTGGTCTCGAACTCCCGACCTCAGGTGATCCACCTGCCTTGGCCTCCCAAAGTGCTAGGATTTACAGAGGTGTCTCACCTCGCCCGGCCTCCCATGTAACTTTTTACAACAAAAGTGTAAAAGAGTTAAACAATGGAAATACTTAGTAATTTGGTAACACTAACATGTTAAAGCTATATTGTATATTAGTTTCTTCCCCCACTGCCCCCACCCCTCCAATACTGCTTTAAAAAATCTCTAACTGAAAACAGTATCTTTACTACAAAAGGGAAATAACTGAATATTTTCGCGCATTTCTCATTATTCTAATTACCCTGACCCCTCAACCCCTGCCTTTTCTTGAGACTGGGTTTTTGAGACTGTTGCCCAGGCTGGAGTGCAGTGTGGCATGATCATAGCTCACTGCAGCTTCAAACTCCTGGGCTCAGGCGATCCTCCTACACCAGCCTCCCAAGTAGCTGGTACTAATGGTGCCTGGCACCACACTCAACTAATTTTTTTATTTCTTGTAGAGATGGGGTCTCATTATGTTGGACAGGCTAGCTTCGAACTCCTAGCTTCAAGCAATCCTTCAGCCTTGGTCTCCCTTAGCACTGGGATTACAGGTGTGAGCCACCATGCCTGGCCCAAATTTTCTATAGTAAATATGTATTGATTGCTATTATAATCAAGAAAAAATGCTGGGATGGGAGATGTAAGTTTAACGATGCCATGTATAAAAAGCAGAATTTCCAGCTGGGTGTAGTGGCTCATGCCTGCAATCTCAGCACTCTGGGAGGCCGAGGAGGGAGGATCACTTGAGGTAAGGAGTTCAAGACCATCCTGGACAACATGGCAAAACCCTATCTCTACTAAAAATACAAAAATTAGCCGGGCATAGTGGCGCTGGGCCTATAATCCCAGCTATTTAGGGGGTTGAGGCAGGAGAATCGCTTGAGCCTGTGAGGTGGAGGTTGCAGTGAGTTGAGATCGTGCCACTGCTTTCCAGCCTGGGTGACAGAGGGAGACTCTGTCTCAAAAACAAACAAACAAACAAAAAACAAAACAAAAAGAAAACAAAAGAAAAGAAAGAAAGAAAAAAGCTGAATTCCCTATATATAATGGTATGTGTTTTGTCCTTACCAAAAGTTCTCCCAATTTCTATAGTCACATAATTTTTATTTACTTATTTTTAATTTTTTTGAAGAGATGGGGTCTTGCTATGCTGCCCAGACTAGACTTGAACTCTTGGCCTCCTCCAGCACCCTGCCTAGATTTGCATAATTTTGAATTTATACTAGAAAACCAGAAATATACAAAAATATTCTGGAGGTTAGTGATTATAGTATATTAAGAGGATAGACAGAGGATAATAAGAAATAAGCAGCTTTAGGAGTCAAGTGTTTATTTTAATAAATTTTCTGTTTTTTTGAGATGGAGTCTCATTCTGTCACCAGGCTGGATGGAGTGCAGTGGCATGATCGTGGCTCACTGCAACCTCTGCCTCCCGGGTTCAAGTAATTCTCTTGCCTCAGCTTTCCCAGTAGTGGGGATTATAGGTGCCCACCACCACGCCCAGCTAATTTTTGTATTTTTAGTAGAGACGGGGTTTCACCATGTTGGCCAGCTGGTCTTGAACTCCTAACCTCAAGTGATCTACCCATCTTGGCCTCCCAAAGTGCTGGGATTACAGGCGTGAGCCCCCACACCTGGCCAAATTTTTTTTAAAGCTGTCTGACAACAGGACTTCTTACAAATATCCCTCTTGTCAATGAAAAGCTGCTACTTTCTTTTTTGAGATGAAGTCTCACTCTGTCGCCAAAGCTGGAGTGCAGTGGCACAATCTCGGCTCGCTGCAACCTCTGCCTCCTGGGTTCAAGCAATTTTCTTGCCTCAGCCTTTTACAGGCAGGCATGAGCCACTGCGTCCGGCCAAAGCTGCTACTTTCTACTTTTCTTTTTCAAGGATCTCTCCTAACTTAGCCTTCACCTTATTTCTCTCTTCCAGAAAGACTCAGAAACATAAATACTTTCCTTTCTTGTTACGCAAAACAGAATTTCAGAAATTCAGGTTGAAGATTTTAGGAATTTACTTAAAGAACAAAGGGTTTACTAAAGAAGTCCTGAAAGGATTTTGCCAAAGGAGGTCACAAGGATTAGAATACCTGCAAGTTTCACTGCTTTCGCTGCTCTCTGTGTTCCCACCTAATTGATTACTATTTTTAGCCCCATTTTCCTGCTTTGGATCTTGCTGTTCTTCAGGTAGCAGCAACAAGGCATTTCTGAGACATATGGCTGCAAACTCCATACTGGCTACAGGAATGGCCGAAGACTGCCCATCACTTAAAAGAACAAAACCAAATTAGCTAAGTGGATAAAATATTTTAAAATAAGGCTCTTTTATTATGAGGAATAAAACCAATTGATTATAAATGAAAGCTATGCCTTTTGATAGGTAGAAATTTTAATATAAGCAGTTATAAAAGCATGCTAAAGAACCCAAATCCTAAGTATAGGTTGTAAATAGTATAAATAATGGATTGCAAGTATATAAATTACATACACTGTGTCTCTAGGAATGAGACCAAGGAGAAGAGATAATTTGATGTATATCACAATGTTAATGTTAACATACTAGAGAAACTGCAGACAAGGGCAACTGTAATGAGGGCAAGGAGAGGTATACTAAGAATGGGACGAAAGGGAAGAAAACAGATTTTCACGTTTGAGCCTTACTTTGGTTGATCCTTGCTTTCAAAAATGCCTCTATACACTTTGAAACACCAACATTACTTTTTGTCTTATAATTTCATTGACATTTTATACAACTTTCTGTTGGTTTGATATACCCAAAGAGAATCTTTACTAGAGAAAAATAAAATTTTGAAAAGTAGTAACAACTTTGAAATTGCTTTAAAACTTTGAAATGCTTTATCATAATAGTTTTAAAAAATATTCTTGCATTATAGTTTAACTAAATTAAGACTAAATTATTGTGTATCAGATATTTTTTAAACTGTGGAAAAACTTTTAAATGGTAGAGAACAATTTTCTTCTTTGACAAAAACAAATTAAGGCAGCTAATTATTTGCAAAGTTTGCCACTTTACAAATAATGGCAATTCCAAATTGTCAAATGAAGATTATACATGTGACAGCTTCTATACTGCTTTGGTTGCTTTATGTTTTAATACACCTTTTTTCTCTGAATAGTAAGAATTCCCTTTCATGTATTTTCAGTCCTAGGGACTATAAGAAAATACCCAAATGAAAAGTATCAATGATAACCAAAAGTACATAAAAAGGAAATACCAAGATGCCCTCTTCTGGACATTCTTAATAATGGCACTGAACAGACTAGGGTTTCCTAGGCCATCAATAATTGCAGCACCCATGGATGTAATAAACCAAAATCATGTTAGATAACATTCACTATGGACCTATACATGAGGGTCTGTTTGTTGAAATAGCAATAAAATCTAGTTACAAAGTGGTTCCTCCTATGCAATGATAAATCCTAATCATACTTTTATATATAAGTAACATTATGTAAACTAGTATTAAATATATATACACTTTTTCTTTGCAAAATACTTACTTATAAACAGTATTCTGTATAGACTGTGATGCCAAAACTATTTTACGATGATAGCCTTGACCAACAATAGACTGTACAATTCCTTTTTTGCTGGGAAGGCCTTTAGTTTCTTGTTCAGAAGTCTACAAAATACAAATAATTTCCAATAAATTTAAGGGAATTGTAAGATGTGGTATAAAAAATGAGGGAATATCTCTCACAATTACTCTAAATTTAAGAAAGTTCTTAAAGTCAATGAGGACTTTTTTTGGTGATAATGGAAACATGTTTGGTATTAGTGGAAAAAGTATATAAGGCTGAAAATCTGGGATATGTGCTACATTTTGTTTACATGAGATTGGAGAAAATTCTACGAACAAAATCCAATTCAATTATGTCCCAATAATTTATTTAGAATCATTTACTTAGAATATTCTAGACCTCCAGTACCATGCTACATGTTACAGGTACTTTGACATCAGAGTAAGGAAAATAAGAGAGCCCAAAATAGTGTAAAAGAAAAAGGAAGTCGCTCCACTTCCTAAACACAGATCATTTCCTTCTTAATTCAAAGTATTAATTACATTGTCAACAATATATAAACTTTAATAAGCTGTACGTGGTAAAAATTTACATGGACACAATACTTGCCTTCTAGGAAATTAAAATCCCCAAACCAAATGAATAAACATTAAACTGAAAATAATAAAAGCTACTTACACATACATAGTACTTTAGGATATTTGATTAAGATGTATTATCTCACTACAGAGCTCACAGTGATAATTTGATTAATGATCCCCCTTCATTCTAAGTCTCTAATTTGGTTGGGTGCAGTGGTTCATGCCCGTAATCCCAGCCCTTTGGGAAGCTAAGGCAGGAGGATCACTTGAAACCAGGAGTGTGAGACCAGCCTGGGCAACATAGTGAGACCCCCCTGTATCTACCTTTTTTTTTTTCCTTTCTTTTTTTTCTTTTTTAAGACAAGGTCTGGCTCTGTTGCCCAGGATGGAGTACAGTGGCATGATCTCGGCTCACTGCAACTTCGGCCTCCTGGGCTCAAGTGATCCTCCTGCTTCAGCCTCCCAAGTAGCTGGGACTACAGGTACAGGTGTGTGCCACCATGACTGGCTAATTTTTCTATTTATTTTTTTTAGAGACAGGGTTTTGCCAAGTTGCTGAGGCTGGAAAATTTTTCTTTAGGCTTGGGTGCAGCGGTGTTGTCTCGGCTCACTGCAACCTTCACCTCCTGAGTTCCAGTGATTCTCTTGCCTCAGCCTCCCGAGTAGCTAGGATTACAGGCGCCTGTCACCACACCTGGCTAATTTTTGTATTTTAGTAGAGATGGGGTTTCACCACATTGGCCAGGCTAGTCTCAAACTCCTGACCTCAAGTGATCCGCCCGCCTCGGCCTCCCAAAGTACTGAGATTACAGGTGTGAGCTACCGCGCCCAGCCAGAAAAAATCTTTTATTTATTTATTTTTTTGAGATGGAGTATCACTCTGTCACCCAGGCAGGAGTGCAGTGGCACAATCTCGGCTCACTGCAACCTCCGCCTCCCAGGTTCAAGCAATTCTCCTGCCTCAGCCTCCTGAGTAGCTGGGACTACAGGTGGGTGCCACAACAACCTGGCTAATTTTTTGTATTTTTAGTAGAGATGGAGTTTCACCATGTTAGCCAGGATGGTCTTGATCTCCTGACCTTCTGATCCACCCGCCTCAGCCTCCCGAAGTGCTGGGAATACAGGCATGAACCACTGCTCTAGGCCAAATCTAAAAAATAAAACTAAGCTGGGCAAGGTGGCTCACACCTGTAATCCTAGAACTTTGGGAGGCTGAGGCGGGTGGATCGCTAGAGCCCAGGAACTTGAGACCAGTGTGGGCAATGTGGTGAAACTCCACCTCTACAAAGAAATACAAAAATTAGCCAAGTGCGGTCATGCATGCCTATAGTCCCAGCTACTAGGGAAGCTGAGGAGGGAAGATCGCTTGACACCAGGGAGGTCGAGACTGCAGTGAGCCATGATCACGCCACTGCACTCAAGCCTGAGTGAAGAGTGAGACTCTGTCTCAAAAATAAAATAAAATAAAACAAGTCTCTAATTTACCTGCAGGTGGAATCCCAAGTAGTTATCTTATAATGACATCCAAATTCTCACATACCAGAACAAACCGGAGTCAATCAATATGAATTTGCAAAACTAATCTCTGCCCTGCAAAAAGTCTTTTCTCTAAACACAAATGTTTCTGTACTGTTACTTATTGCTCCTGAATGTAACTTATTATAGTTGCACTTCCATATATGACTTTTAATAAAGAACATACTACACAGTGCTAAAAAATACAATAAAACTTCTCTGATCAAAACTAATTGTGTATAGAGAAGGCCATGCAATATTAATGAAAAAGTGGATATTTTAAACCATTATTGTGAGGACTTCCGTTCTGACTTCTTTTCCTAGTTGTGGTAATCAATTTACATGGATTCATCCATATTCTCTTCTCTTTTCTTATTGCTAAGGCCATGAAAACTGATCCAAATGGCTAGATACGAAGATGCAACAGATGAAAACAAACTGGCCCACGATGGAATGGAACTAAAAAACGTAGAATAATAATCCATACCTTCAAGCACCGATAGCCAGAAAGTGTGCCAGATAAGTTTTAAGGTAAAAGGATCATACATAATTAAAATATTGGGACTATTTTTGTTTAGCAGATCTTTTCCCATATTTATACACTGCCCAGGTAAATATAAGCCTTGCCTCTGCCAAGTCTGAAATAATATGTACCAGATATTCAGGACAAAATGTCCTCCTTAGCATAAACAAGTTAATTTTTTTAAATCCAAAATGAATTTATTTCTGAAGGTACAAACTACTTTGTTCAGCATACCTCCTGTCCTGACTAAATAAAACAAATTTTATGGAATTTTATTTGGAGTTTACAATTACTCGTATTGGGATTTGTCCTCTGATTTTATTAGTGTTTTGGGCTTGTTTTTACTGTTTTTTAGGTTACCCTAAAGTTTTTTTTTAGGAGGAGGAAAAGCACAAAGATATTACTGGTGGCAAGTTTCCTATTAGCAGCACAAATTGTGTGTGTTCATGAAGTTATGGCAACCGAAAGTCATCTTTACCATTTTTTAAAAATTACAAATTTACAACTTTTCTAGAAAAAAAAACAGGACTGGCAGCATATTAATATGGAAAATACTTATCCTCCCCTCCCGCTCCTTCTCCTCTAGGGGGAGGGGAGGAGACCTTGTAAGCTTAATGGCTTCTGTAGAACACAATCCTAAAAGTACTATTTCTAAAACCAGTTAATTTAAAAAGAAAATATTAAACTTTACAATCTTTCCCTAGTCCCAGAAAAAGGTAACTCCCTGGTTTCCAGTAAATACCAAAGAAAGGCGCCCAACACTTAAATTTATAAACAGATTAAAGAGAATAAGCAATTTCTATTTGCTTCTTTTATCTTTAAGAAGTATAAATTCTGGGCCGGGCGCGGTGGCTCACGCCTGTAATCCCAGCACTTTGGGAGGCCGAGGCGGGCGGATCACGAGGTCAGGAGATCGAGACCATCCCGGCTAAAACGGTGAAACCCCGTCTCTACTAAAAATACAAAAAATTAGCCGGGCGTAGTGGCGGGCGCCTGTAGTCCCAGCTACTTGGGAGGCTGAGGCAGGAGAATGGCGTGAACCCGGGAGGCGGAGCTTGCAGTGAGCCGAGATCCCGCCACTGCACTCCAGCCTGGGCGACAGGGCGAGACTCCGTCTCAAAAAAAAAAAAAAAAAAAAAAAAAAGAAGTATAAATTCTGCCTAGAACTGTTTATCAGTTAAGAATTAACCAATAAGAAAGTTGTCTTTTAAAAAGCAAAGTATAATTAAATCATTAAAGTCTTTCAAAGACAAATCACTCATCTCTTCCTCTGTTGGTATACTCAAATCACAAACTACCTAAGTACCATGTATGAAAACTAGCAAACACACTTCTTTAATCCCCTTAGTTCTTGTACTTCTCAGAAACTGCTGTTCAGCGGGAGGAGAGCCTCAACATCTTATATCACCTATGGTAGGCATGCAAGGTAAAACCTCCAGGTACCATACCTTCCCAATGTCTATACACACCCAAAAAGCACAGCAAGGGCAGGGCATGGGGTAGCAAATGGAAGACACACATATCTGGTAATTCTGACACAACCCGTCTTTCCCCTATCTCCTACTGATCCCTCCCAAATTGAAATTCAAAAGGCTTCCACCAATTGCCATTTAGAGATTATCTAAGCATGGAAATCAATGTAAACTGGCCTATTCCCATAGCTACCATGGGCAATCATGTGTCAGAGAGAAACAGCCTGGTAATCCATAAACTCTGTATCATTTACTGAAACCAAAGTAAAACCCTCAGGCATTGATGGAAATCCAGCTTAATGCAGCTCTTTCCACATTATGTTATCAGAACTTTTTTTTGAGACAGAGTCTCTCTGTCACCCAGGCTGGAGTGCAGTGGCGCGATCTTGGCTAGCTGCAAGCTCCGCCTCCTGGGTTCACGTCATTCTCCTGCCTCACCCTCCCGAGTAGCTGGGACTACAGGCCCACAACGCCCGGCTAATTTTTCGCATTTTTAGTAGAGACGGGGGTTTCACTGTGTTAGCCAGGATGGTCTCGATCTCCTGACCTCGTGATCCACCCGCCTCGGCCTCCCAAAGTGCTGGGATTACAGGCGTGACCACCGCACCTGGCTGTTATCAGACCTTTTCTAATCACCAGGCTACACACTATTCTTACGCCAGCAGATGCATGTATCCTGACCCCTGGAGCAGCTAGCAGACCACTGTTCCAACATACATGACTTTCTCACTGGCTTCAACTCTTTAATGTTGCCATACTTACTTACCAAGAATGAGAATGTTAACAAATGACTTTTTAAATTTTTATTTTTATTTTTTTTGAGACAGGGTCTCGCTCTGTTGCCTAAGGTGGAGTGCAGTGGCTCTATCTGGTCTCACTCCAACCTCCACCTCCCAGGCTCAAACGATCTTCCCGCTTCAGCCTCTTGAATAGCTGGGACTACAGGCGCTCACTGCCACACCCAGTAATTTTTTGTAGAGATGGAGGTCTCACTATGTTGTCCAGACTGGTCTTGGACTCCTGAGCTCAAGTGATCCACCCGCCTCAGCCTCCTAAAGTGCTTGGATTACAGGCGTGAGCCATTGCGCACGGCCAACAAATGACTTTTTGAAACTAATTTCCCCCAGTGGTTAAGAAGAGAAGACTATACATTTCACGCCTGTAATCCCAGCACTTCGGGAGGCTGAGGTGGCTAGATCACATAAGGTCGGGAGTTCAAGACCAGCCTGGGCAACATGGTGAAACCTCGTCTCTACTAAAAATACAAAATTAGCTGGGCGTGGTGGCATGTGCATGTGGTCCCAGCTATTTGGGAGGCTGAGGCAGAAGAATCGCTTGAACCCGGGAGGTGGAGGTTGCAGTGAGCCGAGATCGTAACATTGCACTCCAGCCTGGGCAATAAGAGAGAAACTCCGTCTCAAAAAATAAATAAATAAATAAATAAATAAATAAAAAGAGAAATGTCTTATGTATGTTTCCAAGGTTTTTTTTTTTTTTTTAACCATTCCATGTAGTAAGTGGGGAGAAGACAGGGTTTAAAAAGATACCCAAGTAGCACTCACCCCCTTATTGGCAGCAATGCAGCATTCAGCCAGCCGTAGCCAGAGGCGAGGATTTGCATGATAAACCTGAACAGCTTCAATCAGACATTCGAAGGCAGCAAGAGGCCTTCCAATGTGAAGAAGCTGAATTCCACAGTTATACAGCAACTCATATCTCTTATTGGTTAGTAACGTACACATGGGTCTTCCTGAAAATTTTTTACCTAGTGATAAAAATTAGATAAGAATACATCATTAGATTTACAGTAATAGTAACCTTGAAAACATTTACTCCATTAAGTACTTAGACACTACCATGTTTAACACCAATAATCCTGATCTGAGTTTTAATAGCTCTCGCCAATGGTGGTCTCCATTCTCAACCCCACAAATATTCTCCAGAGTCATCTTAGTTGTCTATGCTAGCAGAGCCAGAGATGTCTCTTCTCATTTGCCAGCTCCTCAGGCAACAACGTTCCAGGAAGGCAAAGATAAGTGATGGGACCCGCTCTCACTCCTTTGCACCTTATACTACTTTTCTACATTTTTACTTTATTCTCTTTTATTTTTTATTTTTATTTTTGTAGAGATGGGGGGGTCTCACTATGTTGCCCAGGCTGGTCTTGAACTCCTGGACTCAAGTGATCCACCTTGGCCTCCCCTAAATGTTGGGATTACAGGCATGAGCCATCTTTCCTAGCCAACATTTTTAGAGTCTATATAAAGTTTCCACTTTTTAAAATTTTCAGCTGGGCACAGTGGCTCACGCCTGTAATCCCAGCACTTTGGGAGGCCAAGGCGGGCAGATCACGAAGTCAGGAGTTCAAAACCAGACTGGCCAAAATAGTGAAACCCCATCTCTACTAAAAATACAAAAATTAGCCGGGCATGGTGGCATGTGCCTGTAGTCCCAGCTACTCGGGAGGCTGAGGCAGGAAAATTGCTTGAACCTGGGACGTGGAGGATGCAGTGAGCCAAGATCACGCCACTGCACTCCAGCTTGGGCAACAGGGTGAGACTTCGTCTCAGGAAAAAAAAAAAAAAAAAAAAAAAAATTCATCTTGGTTAACCATTTTATTGTCATGTGTTCATGACAATAAAACCTATTCAATGTTTCGGTCTACCTTGATTTATAATACATTTGCCATCAATTAAATAGGTTATTATTATTATTATTATTATTATTATTATTATTATGGACAGAGTCTCGCTCTGTCACCCAGGCTGGAGTGCAGTGGCATGATCTCGGCTCACGGCAAGCTCCGCCTCCTGGGTACACGCCATTATCCTGCTTCTGTCTCCCAAGTAGCTGGGGCTACAGGCGCCTGCCACCATGCTCGGCTAATTTTTTTTGTATTTTTAGTAGAGACAGGGTTTCACTGTGCTAGCCAGGATGGTCTCGATCTCCTGACCTCGTGATCTGCCCACCTCGGCCTCCCTAAGTGCTGGGATTACAGGCGTGAGCCACCGCCCCTGGCCTAAATAGGTTATTATTTTTAAAAGCTAAATAATTGTTTGATTTTAGGCATTTCAGATCAAGGATCCATATGATAATGAATATTAAAGGATAAATGTCAGGAATTTGCTTAAAGACCGTCAGATGCTGCCAGTAGTATCACATGTAAAACTCTGCAAAGAATCTATAACAAGCCGGGCACAGTGGCTTATGCTTGTAATTCCAGCACCTTGGAAGACTGAGGTGGGAGGATCACTTAAGCCAGGAGTTCCAGACCAGCCTGGGCAACATGGTGAAACCCTATCTTTACAAAAAACACAAAAATTAGCCAGGTACAGTGGCATGTGTCTGTAGTTCCAGCTACTCAGGAGGCTGAAGTGGGAGGGTCACTTGAGCCCAGGAGGCAGAAGTTGAAATGAGCTGAAATCACACCATTGCACTCCAGCCTGGGTGATAGAGCTAGACTCTGTCTCAAAACAAAACAAAACAAAACAAAACAAAACAAAACTATAATAAACCTAGTTTGGCACAGTCATGTTGTGACTAATCAAACATTCTGGTATATAACATTACCACAGGGAATTACTCATTTTCAAATCAATGAAAAATGGAATGCAACTTAAATTTCTGGATAATTCAAAATTACTCTTAACACCTTGTTATTGCTCTTCAAAGTAGCAATATCTACTAAAAATCCCCAGAGCCAAACTTGTTGGGTAAGATCAGAGTTAACTATATGTAAGTCTACATGGTGGGTATTTTAACCACATTCATGCTTTTTAAATCATGCTTTTCTGAAGTAGTAAATACAAACTGTCCCCCAGTACTGGGCTTACCTGGATCAGTGCTACCTGCACTGAGCTGTGCACAGACATTGTCATTCTCTTGCAGAGCCTTTTTAAAGTAGAATATTCCCAAATTGTGCTTGCTCATGGCAAAATGGATGCAACCAAGGTTATTCCAGAACATGCATCTCAAGCATTCACCTGAAAAAAATGCAAATAAATTTGTCCACAGAAAAATTTTAATGTTGATGTCCCTCAGACAAGAATTGGGCTCATCTTGCACGAGTTAACACTGTTACCATTCCACTTACTCCCTAAAGAACAGTTCACAAGGCATTTGAAATTTAGGAAATATCTGAAAAATTTTAAAACTCCTTTTAAAATCTCTTTTATTAAAGGTGATACAAATTATTTTAAAAAAACCAGTCCTATTTTGTTACTCTAATTTTGTGGATTTTTTTTTCCTTTTTTAAAACAATTTTTAAAATAGGGTCTCACTATATTGCCTACCCTGGTTTCGAACTCCTGGGCTCAAGCAACCCTTTCACCTTGGCTTCCCAAAGTTCTGGGATTACAGGCATGAGCCACCATGCCCAGCTAATTTTTAGTAACTGTAGACAAATGATACAAAAATGCAAAAGACAAAAAGTGTTTATCAGTAATATAATGTATATGCATTGCATCCACTAATGAAATATTATGTAGAAATTAGAAACAAGGAAGCAAGTATGCATGGAAACAACCAAAGCATATTAAGTGAATAGCAAGAATATATAGAAAAGAACAGAGTGAGGCTGGGTACGATGGCTCATGCCTGTAATCCCAGCACTTTGGGAGGCTGAGGCGGGTGGATCACTTGAGGTCAGGAGTTCGAGACTAGCCTGGCCAACATGGTGAAACCCCACCTCCACTAAAAACACAAAAATTAGCCAGGCATTGGGCTGGGCGCAGTGGCTCACGCCTGTAATCCCAGCACTTTGGGAGGCCGAGGTGGGCGGATCACGAGGTCAGGAGATGGAGACCATCCTCGCTAACATGGTGAAACCCCGTCTCTACTAAAAATACAAAAAATTAGCCGGGCGTGGTGGCGGGCGCGTGTAGTCCCAGCTACTCGGGAGGCTGAGGCAGGAGAATGGCGGGAACCCAGGAGGCAGAGCTTGCAGTAAGCCGAGATCGCACCACTGCACTCCAGCCTGAGTGACAGAGCAAGACTCCGTCTCAAAAAAAAAAAAAAAAAATTAGCCGGGCGTAGTGGAGGGCGCCTGTAATCCCAGTTACTCGGGAGGCTGAGGTAGGAGAATTGCTTGGCCCTAGAGGGCAGAGGTTGCAGTGAGCCGAGATCGCACCACTGCATTCCAGCCTGGGTGACAGAATGAGACTGTCTCAAAGAAAAAAAAAAAAAAAAAAGGAACAGAACAGAGTATGTCTATTAAACTGTAAGTCTCCACTGATTTTAATTCACACTTCTTTAAATACCACTGCAGCTAAGCATCTTTTCATGTTTGGGAATTTGTATTTTTCAGCCTGTGTTGCCTCTTGTCTTTCACCCGTATTAATTTTTTTCTTTCTCTGAGACAGGGTCTCATTCCATCGCCCAGCCTACAGTGCAGTGGCATAATTAGGGCTCACTGCAGCATCGACCTCCTGGGCTCAAGCAATCCTCATGCCTCAGCCTCCTGAGTAGCTGGGACTACAGGCACGGGCCACCATGCCCAGCTAATTTTTTAATTTTTTTGCAGAGACAGGGTCCCTGTGTTGCTCAGGCTGGTCGCAAACTCCTGGAATCAAGTGATCCTCCTGCCTCGACCTCCCAAAGTGCTGAGATTACAAGTGTGAGCACCGTTCCTGGCTGATCTATTGCTTTATTTGGTTACAGATGTTTTTTCTGTTGGTTACTAGTTGTTTTACATGTTATAGAAACCTTCTGTCACATCTGTTTCAAATATTCCTGCCCACCTCTGTTTGTCATTTGTTTCGTGACTTGGTTCAGTATGTGTATGTGTGTTTACATTTTGAATCATAAAATGTTTAACATTTTAATGTGATCAAATTTAGCCATGTTTTCTAAATTCTATGGTACTTAGATTTTGGAAAATGTTTACTCAAGCCTTCTCCATCACAAAATTAAAATATTCATCCAAGTTTTATCTTACTGCTTTTATTTATTTTTAAATGTTAATCCTTCATCTCTCTGAATTTTATTTTGGCGTAATGAAAGTAATCTAAGCTTTAATATTCTCTTTTCTTTTTTTTTTTTTTGAGACGGAGTCTCACTCTGTCGCCCAGGCTGGAGTGCAGTGGCGCAATTTCAGCTCACTGCAACCTCTGCCTCCCGGGTTCATGCCATTCTCCTGCTCAGCCTCCTGAGTAGCTGGGACTACAGGCGCCCGCCACCACACCTGGCTAATTTTTTGTATTTTTAGTAGAGACGGGGTTTCACCGTGTTAGTCAGGATGGTCTTTATCTCCTGGCCTTGTGATCTGCCCGCCTCAGCCTCCCAAAGTGCTGAGATTACAGGTGTGAGCCACCGTGCCCGGCCTTTAATATTGTTTTTCTAAATAGCTACCCAAACATTCCAAAACAATGGCCCTTAATGACATAAAATGCCTGACTAGAATGACAAAATTAATAATCAGGATATTTATTGTTTAGCACTTAAAATCTAAAGGTAATCTTCTGACATATTTTTAAATTAAGCAATGACAATATTTAAAAGAGGAAAACTAGACTGAGCTCGGTGGCTCACACCTACAATTCCAGCACTTTGGGATCCTAAGTAGCTGGGAATACAGGCGCATGCCATCACGCCTGGCTAATTTTTGTATTTTGTGTAGAGACGGGGTTTCTCCATGTTGGCCAGCCTGGTCTTGAACTCCTGACCTCAAGTGATCCGTCGGCCTCAGTCTCCCAATGTGCTGGGATTGATTATAGGTGTGAGCCACCACGCCTGGCCATCTTTATTTATTAATTTATTTTTAGAGACAAGGCCTTGTTCTGTTGCCCAGGCTGGAGTGCAGTGGCATGATCATGATTCACTGGAACCTCGAACTCCTGGTCCTCCTGCCTTGGCCTCCCAAAGCATTAGGATTACAGGCATGAGCCACCACTTCCAGCTCCTGCCTTCATTTTAAAGATTGACAATGTCAATACTGACACCTACATGAAGAAAATCCTAAGCAAAATTTTCTCAAAGTATATTATCTTTTTAGTTTGAGGGATCATTGCATGTTGTGTGTTAGTGGACCTCTGAGGAGAAACTATGACAATGAAAACAAAACACTAAAATTGAGCAGAATTAGAAATGGGTATTTAGAACAGAAATAATACCCACAAGAGAATTATAAGGAAAAAGTGCCTTTCTCCATCCTCCATCACTCCTGTGAACTGAAAGGGTAAATAGGGGAAGGTCTCAGTATGTTTGCATGTGTATTCTGTGCGTGTATCTGGGTAGAATCCAAAAAAAACAAGACAAAACATACCAAAATACATATTAATTGTTTGCATTTTAAACTTGAGGCAAAATATACATTTTCAATAGTTTATCCTCATTTCTCGAATAAGTGATTTTCCTTCTCCTGCCCCATCAAATACTGATGATATAAACCTAAATGACAGTCACAATTTTTACTTTCATATTATCATTAGTATCAAAGGATTTGTAAGACTTTTTAGTCTAAATAGAGGCAAGAATATGTAATAGGCCGGGCACGGTGGCTCACGCCTGTAATCCCAGCACTTTGGGAGGCCGAGGCGGGCGGATCACGAGGTCAGGAGATCGAGACCATCCTGGCTAACACGGTGAAACCCTGTCTCTACTAAAAAAAAAAATACAAAAAATTAGCCGGGCGCGGTGGCAGACGCCTGTAGTCTCAGCTACTCGGGAGGCTGAGGCAGGAGAATGTCGCGAACCCAGGAGGCAGAGCTTGCAGTGAGCCGAGATTGTGCCACTGCACTCCAGCCTGGGCGACGGAGGGAGACACTGGCTCAAAAAAAAAAAAAAAAAGAATATGTAATAATACTTATCTTCCTAGCATTATAGAAAGATTTTTGATCTAGGTAATGATCTAAAGAAGTCATATTAATTGGGCAAGTTACTGAAAAAAATTATATTATTAACTGGCTTTATGGCAGAAAAAAGTAAAAACATATTATTTACTTAAAAGGCCTCACTTTTCTGGTATAGATGGTAATTCACTAAAAAAAAAAAAAAAAAAAAAAAAAGATGAAAGAAAAATTAGGTCTCACTTCACAAAGCAAAAGTCCAAGGATCTTACAAAAACAAATGAAAGGGCCAGGTGCGGTGGCTCACACTTGTAATCCCAGCACTTTGAGATGCTGAGGTGGGCGGGTCACTTGAGGTCAGGAGTTCGATACAGCCTAGGCAACATGGAAACCTTGTCTCTACCAAAAAATACAAAAATTAGCTGAGCATGGTGGTGCGTGCCTGTAGTCCCAGCTACTCAGGAGGCTGAGGTGGGAGAATTGCTTGAACCCGGGAGGGAGGTGGAGGCTGTAGTGAGCCAAGATGGTGCCACTGCACTCCAGCTCAGGCAACAGAGCAAGACTCTGTCAAAAAAAAAAAAAAAAAAAGAAAGGAAAGAAAGGAAGGGAAGGAAGGGAAGGAAGGAAGAGAGGGAGGGAAGGGAACAGAAGGAAGGGAAGAGAAGGAAGGGAAGGAAAGGAGGGAAGGGAGGGAAGGGAAGGAAGGGAAGAAGGGAAGGAAGGAAGGAAGGAAGGAAGGAAGGAAGGAAGGAAGGAAAAGAAGGAAAAGAAAGAAGGAAGGAGGGAAGGGAGGAAGGGAGGAAGGGAGGAAGGGAGGGAGGGAGGGCAGGCAAGTCAGGTTAAAGAAAAAAGACAAGCTATCTGGGCCAGGCACAGTGGTGCATGCCTGTAATCCCAGCACTTTGGGAGACTGAGGTCAGCGGATCACTTGAGCCCAGGAGTTTGAGACCAGCTTGGGCAACATAATGAGACCTTGTTTCTACAATAAATAAGCCAGGCATGGTGGTGCATGCCTATAGTCCCAGCTACCTGGGAGGGTGAGGTGGGAGGATCGCTGGAGCCTAGGAGGTTGAGGCTGTAGTGAGCTGTGATTGTGGCACTGCACTCAGCAAGACCCTATTTCCAAAAAAATAAAATAAAATAAAATAAAAATAAAAAAGGTGGGGGAGGGGAGGAAAGCGATCCAACCTGGAAAAGTAAAAAAAAGAAAGAAAGCAAAGTGAAAGCAAGAAGTAATGAGGTTTCTTCTAAAGTAGAAACAAGAATTCCTGGAAATTTTTGCACCAGAAATATTAAAACATTTTCATTAAAAAATTAGCATAAATCACTCAAAAGACTGGGTGTTGGGAGGTGGACAAGCAAGAAGGGGTAGAAGAGCAAGGCAAAAAAAAGTTAAAATTTCACAATTTTCTTTTACCTGTTTTCATGAATCCTGGATGCTCAGCAATGTTTGAACTATTTAATAGCTTCACGGCTTTTCGATAATTACCTCTTAAGTACTCAAAATTGCTTTTAAGAAAGAGAGAGGGTGCGGACTGTAGAGAAAATATAAAAGTTACTTATAATTTGTTTTCAGACGCCTAATGTAAGATCTTAATTATACTGTTGTACTGACGTGTTCAAAACCATAAATGAATCAATTAAGTCAGTCACAAAAAATTATATAGTCTCTAAATTTTTCATTGCTCTCACAATCAAAAAAATTGAAACTTGTCAGAGAGCACTTTGTAAAAATAATTACTAAGGGTCCACCTGAAAAAATAAATATAGGTATATGTATAAGAATACAGTCTGTAGATTATCAACTGATTGTGTTCATCTACTACACTACTAACTGAAAACCAATTTGACAACACAATCTATGTCCTTCATTTTAATAGTTATTAGAGAGACTGGTGATCTTTCTTACTTTTTAGGATACAAATGCACCTTTCATTAGAACCTACAGAGATATAAATAATCAAATACTTTTCCAAATAGGAAAAAAAAAGTGCCATTCTACAAATAGAAGAATTTTCAACAGAATGCCTTATTTGCAAGCACTAATCTTGCTGTTCCAAAGATCACGTTTTGAATGGTAGATCACCTTTCACTTCTCCTAAGAATCCTCCTGGTGGAGGACCCTAGATAGTACTACCTGTTTAGAGTACGAAAGCATGCAGAGAGCTCTGGAGACTCAACATCCATCCAGGAGGACATCTGGAATCCTGATTGAGTGATTGATTGATTGAGACGGAGTCTTGCTCTGTCACCCAGGCTGGAGTACAGTGGCATGATCTCGGATCACTGCAACCTCCGCCTCCTAGGTTCAAACAATTCTCCTGCCTCAGCCTCCTGAGTAGCTGGGATTACAGGCATGCGCCACCATGCCAGGCAAATTTTTGTTTTTGTTTTTGTTTTTAGACGGAGTCTCGCTCCGTTGCCCAGGCTAGAGTGCAGTGGCGCGATCTCGGCTCACTGCAACCTCCGCCTCCCGGGTTCAAGCAATTCTCCTGCCTCAGCCTCCTCAGTGGCTGGGATTACAGGCGCATGCCACCACACCTGGCTAATTTTTGTATTTTTAGTAGAGATGGGGTTTCACCATGTTGGTCAGGCTGGTCTTGAACTCCTGACTTTGGGATCCGCCTGCCTCAGCCTCCCAAAGTGTGGGGATTACAGGCGTGAGCCACCATGCCCGACCTAATTTTTTTATTTTTAGTAGAGATGGGGCTTCCCCATGTTGGCAAGGTTGGTCTCAAACTCCTGACCTCAGGTGATCTGCCTGTCTCAGCCTTCCAAAGTGCTGCAATTACAGGCATGAGCCATCACGCCTGGCCTATTTATTCACTTAATTTAGCAACAGGCTTTCCTTCTAAATCCTAGTTTATCCTTTGCTCTGCCTCCCACCCACCCCAAAGTTCTGGTCACTAAAGAAACAAGGGCTTTCAGTGCTTATTCTTAGTGGTAGCTATTCCTCCTGAAGTTTTCGCCGATTTAGGATGACTATTAATTTTCAATTGTCTTTCCTCTATGACTGTGGTCTCCTTTAAGGCAGGAATTATGTCTTTTTTTTTTTTTTTTTTTTTGAGAATGAGTCTTGTTCTGTCGCCCAGGCTGGAGTGCAGTGGCGCGGTCTCGGCTCACAGCAAGATCCGCCTCCCGGGTTCACACCATTCTCCTGCCTCAGCCTCCCGAGTAGCTGGGACTACAGGCGCCCGCCACCACGCCCGGCTCATTTTTTGTATTTTTAGTAGAGATGGGGTTTCACTGTGTTAACCAGGATGGTCTCGATCTCCTGACCTCGTGATCCGCCCGCCTCAGCCTCCCAAAGTGCTGGGATTACAGGCGTGAGCCACCGCGCCTGGCTAGGAATTATGTCTTTTATCATTAAAAAAAAAAAAAAAAAAAAAAGTTTGATAATGGGTGGCTGGCTAACTGGGCCTTTCCCTCTTAGGCTCAGGTCTAGGCCACAATTGTTCTCAAAAATCACTAGCATATTAACTAACTCAGTGACTAATCTGGATCCTGCCTGAGATTTTTAACCATATTTTCTCATGACTTTATACTTCTAAATTTATAGTTTTTCTAGAAGCATCAAGATTGTTCACAATTCTGTTTCTTTCCTACACCATCTTAAAAATTATCAATGAAAGATTAGGGTGGAGGGAGTGGAAGGAAGAAGTAATTCTATCTCAGTTAAATCGAAGGTACTGTCAAGCCAAAAGTCACTTGGAAGGGGCAGGTTTTGGCTATAATTTGACTGTTAGATTTTTAATAAATTTTTTTTTATTTAAAAAATGTTTTTTGACAGGGTCTCACCCTGTTGCCCAGGCTAGCGTGAAATGACACGATCTCAGCTCACTGCAACTTCTGCTTCCCAGGTTCAAGTGATCCTCCCACTTTAGCCTCCCTAGTGGCTGGGACTACAGGCACACGCCACCACACCCGGCTTATTTTTGTATTTTTAGTAGAGACAGGGTCTCATCATGTTGACCAGGCTGGTCTTGAACTCCTGACCTCAGGTGATCCGCCCACCTTGGCCTCCTAAAGTGCTGGGATTACAGGTGAGTCACCACCTGGCCATAAATGTTTTGAGTATAATACTAAAAAATTCTAAAATAACCTAAATGTCTAATATTAGCAAAATGTTTAAGTGAGTTGTGATAAACCAGTCACAGAAAAATAGGCAGTTATTTAAAATGGTGGTTTTGAAGGTTACATAAAATAGAAAAGTGCTTGTTGTAATTTTAAGTAAAAAAAAAAAAATTAAACTATAGACACAGTATTATTACTACTTCCCAACTTTAAAATAGCAAGGTTCATATCTGGCAGTATATGTAAAAGACTAAGATAAATTATTTAAACCTGACAATACCCATAGTCTAAATAAGAAAGACACAAATTGAAAAACAAAAGTCCAGAAGAAACTTACATTTCCAGCTGTATTCATGACTGACTTGATTTCCCTTTTACATGCTTTCAGAGACTTCATTTGGATATAAGCTCGTACTTTGTACTGTCAAAGGGAAAATGTTAGTATGTTAAAACTATGGTGGATTTACATACAGTTTTACTTTCTAGTTAAGAAAACCCAATCTATTTACAACATAGTTACACTAATTACTTGCTAAATCAAGTTTACAATTTTAGAAAATATGCTATTTTCACTGTACTCTTCGAATATACTTCAAAATACTAAAATCACGGTAGAATAAAAACTTAGCCAGATGTGGTGGCTCACGCCTGTAATCCCAGTACTTTGGAGGCCGAGGCAGGTGGATCACCTGAGGTCAGGAGTTTGAGACCAGCCTGGCCAACATGATGAAACCCTGTCTCTACTAAAAATACAAAAAATTATCCGGGTGTGGTGATGCGCACTAGTAATCCCAGCTACTCAGGAAGGCTGAGGCAGGAGAATCGCTTGAAACTGGGAGGCAGAGGTTGCAGCGAGCCGAGATCGCACCATTGCACTGCAGCTTGGGTGACAGAGTGAGGCTCCGTCTCAAAAAACAAACAAAAAACTTAAATACTCAAGTTCCGGGCAAAAATCCTATCAATCCTCTTCTGCACATGGCTAACAATGACTTTTTAAAATTCCAGTTGATTTTATCATGCAGTACATTCCCGTGCCATTTCTCTCAAACTTTATTTATAGAGCAATTTAAATAAATTATATTATCCTCTTAAGAAAAATGTATTTAGGATAAATGTGCTTCTAAACTACAATACTTCAAAAGACAAACAAATATATGCACCTTGAATTATTGACTGCTTCCAATGATCTATCTCATTGCTTCATTTGTCATAACTACAATTAAATATATGTGATGTATTGCCCCCCTTTAAAATTTATACTACCTGATGTATCTTTGATTTTGCAGCTTCTATTAGAGCTCCACTTTCAGCTTTATGATTAGATCCATCTTTGTTGTTGTTATTACCAGTCTGTAGGGTGATGAAACAAAGTTTATCAAAATTAAATATTTTTGACCATAATTTAAATCAGTGATTTCCAAGTGAGCTAATCTAAATTACCTAGAGAGCATTTTCAAAATGTAGAATTTGTGGGAAATGGTGGTTCATGCCTGTAATCCCAGAACTTTGGAAGGCAGAGGCGGGCGGATCGCTTGAGCCCAGGAGTTCGAGACCAGCTTGAGTAACATGGCAAAATCGCATCTCTACAAAAAATACAAAAATTAGCTGGGCATGGTGGCCATGTACCTGTAGTCCCAGCTACTCAGGAAGCTGAGGTGGGAAGACTGCCTGAGCCCAGGAGATCAAGGCTGCAGTGAGGCGTGATTGTGCTACTACTATACTCCAGCCTGAGGTGGCAGAGCAAGACCCTGTCTTTAAAAAATGCAGAATCCCAGGTCCCACTCCTAGAGACTGAGGTTCAGTAGTCTAGAGTGGGTGACAGGAAGCTCTACTCATGAGAAGCTCACAGTCGAACGTAATAATGAGCTGGTTTTATTTATTTACAATTTTAATTTTTCATAGAGACGGGGGTCTCCACTGTGGCCAGCCTGGGCTTGTTTTAAAAAACATGAATATTACTTTAAGCAAAACTCAGAATATCTTTCTAAAACCCAGAACAGATCTACCCACTTCTTAAAACTTTCTCTGTTATGAACACTGCCAATCATATCAAATTTGAACTTTCTAGTATTCAAAGTTCTTCAAGCTATCACTCACACTCATATTGCCAACATCATCTCCCACTGCTCTCCTCTGCATTTCTCTGGTACTGTTCATTTCATTACCAGAAAGGTCTCCAGCACACCATTAAGCTCATACCTTTTGTGATATTCTCTGCCAGGCTGGTTATCCTGCTCTACCCCTCCTTGTCTGACTTGTCAAACTATTAACCATCTTCCAAGGCCCAAAACAAACATCCAAATTCCTTTGAAACATTCCCTAACCTCTTTCACCTCTTTCCTCCTTGTCCATGACCAGATGTTGCCCAATTTATCTCTTCCTAGACATGAGATCCTTGAAAGCAAGGACTGCAACGTTTTTGTTTTTGTCACCTTAGTACCTAGCAGAGTACCTTAGAACCGGGCAGAGCACATAAGCATCTGCTAAATTAAATTATATTTAATCAAATTTTACAAGTACTGAATATAAATATTTTACTACACAATGTTTCGGTATAATGCTAAGGTTATTCAACTGAAATCCCTTATGAATACACACTTAAATTGAAAAAAGTAATGCCAGATGTTTATTTTCTTTTTAAACATCAAGAATGTACACAGGCAAAAAGGTATTGGCAACGTTTCCTGCAAATACTCCTTTTAAAACAAAGGGACAGAAAACGGAAGTAAGAAGGGTCATCCCTTGATAACCAGAAGCACAAATAAAAGAAAAACATGAGACCCAGGATATACTCATACTGGGCACCAAGTCTCTCACCAGAACATGGTGAAGCTTAAACATCATAAATGTATGCTTTTTTATTTTTGAGTTTGAGTCTTGCTCTGTCTCCCAGGCTGGAGTGCAGTGGCGTAATCTTGGCTCACTGCAATCTCCGCCTCCCAGTTTCAAGTGATTCTCGTGCCTCAACCTCCTGAGTAGTTGGAATTACAGTTGTGTGCCACCATGCCCAGCTATTTTTTGTATTTTTAGTAAAGACACGGTTTCACCATGTTGGCCAGGCTGGTCTCTAACTCCTGACCTCAGGTGATCCACCCGCCTTGGACTCTCAAAGTGCTGGGATTACAGGTGTGAGCTACCACGCCCAGCCATGTATTTTTTTTTTTTTTTTGAAGAACTTTAATGATGAAATTTTCCCTAATGAAAGCAATAGTGTTTATCCAGGTTATGGATTCTATTGTCTTAATTCCAATCTTTCAATTCTATAAAAATAATAGCTCATATATGAAAAGATGCTCAATGTACATCCTTAGTCATTAGGAAAATAAAAATCAAAACTGTAACAAGATACCACTTCACACCCCCTAAGATAGCTAATTTTTTTTTAAAGATAGACAATAACAAGTGTTGGTAACAATGTGGAGAAATTACAACCTCACAAGTGGCCGGTGGGAATTTAAAATAGTGCAGCCACTTTGTAAAACAGTCTTGTATAGGGTTAAATATAGAGTTAAGATACCATATAACCCAGTGATTCTATTCCTAAATATTATATCCAATGTAACTGAAAACATATATCCACACAAAAATTTGTACATGAATGGTCACAGAAGCACTATATATAATAACCAAAAAGTAGAAAAGAACCCAAATGTCCACCAACTGATAAAGAATTTTTTAAAATGTGGCATATTCATATAATGAATGGAATATTATTCAGCCACAAAAGGCATGAAGTACATGAAACAAAAATAAGTATATGCTAAAATATGGATGAAGCTTGAAAGCATTACACTAAGTAAAAAAAGCCAGTGACAAATAGCCGCATATTATGATTCCATTCATATGTAATGTCCAGACAGTAAATTCAGAGACAGTAATTAGATTAACGGCTGCTTGGGGCTGAGGAAAGGGGGAAATGGGGAGTGACTGCAAATGGTACAGGGTTTCTTTTTGGGGTGATAAAAATATTTTGAAATTAGATAGTAGTAATGGTTGTACAAATGTGAGTACACTCAAAACCACTAAACTCTACACTTTAAAATGGTAAAGCTTATAATATGAAAATTGTATCTTTAAGCTGTTAATAGTTCATAACCACAAACATTAATCATATTTTAATTGCTTTCTTTTTAATCCAGTAAACCAACAAGTAGAGAGAATTAATCACATTTTAGATTTTAGTCTGATCACCTCTAAAGACTCACCTCATTCTTTCCATTTTTGTTATTGTTACCCTGTGAAATCATTTTTTCTAGGACAGCAAGAAGATGCAAAGCTTTCTCAGCTTGGTAGGTTAATATATACAGGTCTACAAGCAAAAAACACACTGCTTGGGCAAATTTTTCTTCTGGGAGAAAAAAAACACAGAAAAGAATAGTCACAACCTAAAGTAAAGCACACATTTCAGACCACCCTCCAAAAAAGTATACAAAGCTTTAAATAGCAAAGCATAAGTCTTTACTCAAATGAATGCCTATCACCTAGAGCCACGAATGAAAGCAACTTGCAATGCCAACAATGTCATTTTACTAGGCACTGCAAGGCCTCTCATTTCAGAAATTCCAGTGATTAAATCTTCCTTAGGAAAATATCTACTAAACACTAGCACATGTAATGAGGAATATTACTTTAGGCGGAAAGAAACCTGAATTCCAATAGAGGTTGTGCATTCCTAACCTGAAATGTTGAAATCTGAAATTTGTAATCCTCCAAAATCCAAAACTTTTTTTGTTTCTGAGATGGTATCTCACTGTGTTACCCAGGCTGGAGTGCAGTGTTGCAATCTTGGCTTACTGCAACCTCTGCCTACTAGGCTCAAGAGATCCTTTCACCTTAGCCTCCTGAGTAGCTGGGACCACAAACATGTGTCACCATGCCTGGCTAATTTTTTCATAGAAACAGGGTTTCACTATGTTGCCCAGGCTGGTCTCAAGCTCCTGAGCTCAAGTGATCCACCCACTTTGGCCTCACAAAGGATAGGATTACAGGTGTGAGCCACTGTGTCCAGCCTCAAAATCCAAAACTTGTTGAGCACCAATGATGCTCAAATAAAATGCTCATGGTAGCATTTTGGACCTCAGGGTAGGAATACTGAACCAGTAAGTATAATGCAAATATTCCAAAGTTAAAAAAAATCCCAAATCTGAAACACTTCTTGTCCCAAGCATTTTGGATAAGGGATACTCAATCTGCACCTATTCAGCCACTAACTAGGTATGTGTGGTCTCTGTACATCATTTAACTTTTCAGACCTCAGCTGGCTGACCTGTCAAATGAGGAGAATATTTTACCTGCCTGAAGGCAGAAGGGTGGACCAGGGGATCTTGTGAGGTTCCTTCTAACTAAAAAAGTCTATGACTCCATGAAATACATTGCTTTTCTAGGTCATGGAGATGGAAAAAAAAAAAAAACAAACAAACACCTGATTACAGAAGCAAAAGCAGCAAGGTATGGGCTGGAGTATATCAGAAAATTGAGACTGCCAAGAGACAAGACCTTCAAAAGAAAAAGAACCCAATGAAGAGAGGAAAGTTAACCTGGTGTGACATAAAACTATCTTTCCTTTCAAAAAAGAAGATAAAAGGAAAAATAAGGTCTAGAAGAGAAAATTTCAAAAGCCTTTAAAGAGTGGAATTCATTTAAAAAACTGAAATTAACACAGCTGGTGTGCAAAGGTCATATATCTCCAAGGGAATCTCACTGCACCTAAGACAGTAAGCCCTGCCCTAGGCTTTACCTCTTCTGCCCGTGGCTAATTCTGACTTTATTTCCTATTATCCTCCTTACCTAGCTCCAGTCACAATGATCTTGCTGCTATTGCTCTCACCAAACACAGCCTCTCACCTCAAGTCTTCTCCATATCCCATTACCTCCAGTGGGAATGCTTTCCCTCTAAACAGTAGCAAGGATAATGTCTTTTCTTTATTCAGGTCTCGTTTCAAATACCATCTCATCCCAGGCCTTGCTTGATTACCTTACTTAAAACATCCCCAGTCAATCTCTACATTCTCACTCAATTTTAGCTTTACTTCATAGCATTCAGTATACAGCCAGCCCCCTGTATCTGACCTGCACCCACAGATTCAACCAACCTCAGATTGAAAATGTTAGAAGAAAAAAAAAAGTTGTTGCATCTGCACTGAATATGTACAGACGTTTTCCCCATCATTGTTCCCTAAACAATATGGTATAAAAACATTTTCATAGCATTTACAGTGTATTAGGTATTATAAGTAATTTAGCGATTATTTAAAATGTACAGGAGGACATACACAGAGACTGTATGTAAATACTACACCATTTTATATAAGGGATTTAAGTATCAGCAGATTTTGGTATCTGAAGAGGGGTGTCCTAGAACCAATCTCCCTTGAATACCAAGGGATGGCTGTTTTTTTATTATGTTGCTTTCTCTCCTATTAGAATAGAAGCTTAACGGGGGTAAAGAGTTTCTGTATTTCATTCATTGCATTATCTCCAGACCCAGAACAGTGTCTGGCCCACAGTATTGGACCATGTGCTCAATTAGCATATGTTGTATGAAGAATCTGAGTACTGGCTAGGCATGGTGGTTCACACCTGTAATCCCAGCACATTGGGAAGCCAAGGTGCTGGGCTTGAGCCCAGGAGTTCAAGACCAGCCTAGGCAACATAGTGAAACCCAGTCTCTGCAAAACAATACAAAAATTAGCTGGGTGTGGTGGCGCGTGACTGTAATCCCAGCTATTGAAGAGGCTGGGGTGGGAGGATCGCTTGGGCCTGGCAGGTGGAGGTTGCAGTGAGTGGAGTTCACGCCACTGCACTCCAGCCTGGGCAACAGAAAGAGACCCCATCTCAAAAAGAAAAAAAGAAGAAAGAAGCTGAGTAGTTATGATTCCAAGTTTGACACTGTAGAAAAGGCAAAACTGTAGAGACAGTAAAAAGATCAGTGGTTATAGGTAGAAAGGGAATGAACAGGCACAACACAGAATTCTTAG
This sequence comes from Homo sapiens, assembly GCF_000001405.40. Taxonomy (NCBI): domain Eukaryota; kingdom Metazoa; phylum Chordata; class Mammalia; order Primates; family Hominidae; genus Homo; species Homo sapiens. Next base: position 78,823 of record NW_025791770.1, on the reverse strand, counting down.
GGCAGTGAAAAATACTCTGTATGATACTATAATGAATATATTTGTCCAAACACATAGAACATACAACACCAAGAGTGAACCCTAACGTAAACTATGAACTTTGGATGATTATGATGTATCAATGTAGGTTTATCAATTATAACAAATGCACCACACTGTTGAGGGATTGTGGTAATGAGGGAGGCTATGGATGTGTTGGGGCAGAGGACACACAGGAAATCTCTGTACAAGAGGAAACTTGGTTTTGCTGTAAATCTAAACCTTCTCTAAAAAAACAGTCTTTAAAAAAAATCCAAGCAGTAAAAGTTTAAAAAAAAAAAAGCCATAAAAGAAAAATGAATGTGAATACTGACTAGTTGATTACTATTAATATATTCTGTTCAGCCATAGTGCAGATTAACAGGATTTCATGAATTCAGGAAATTCTCTTTTTTTTTTTTTTTTTTTTTTGAGAGCAAGTTTTGCTCTTGTTGCTCAGGCTGGAATGCTGTGGTGCAATCTTGGCTCACTGCAACCTCGGCCTCTCGGGTTCAAGTGATCCTCCTGTCTCAGCCTTCCTGAGTAGCTGGGATTACAGGCATGTGCCACCACACCTGGCTAATTTTGTATTTTTAGTAGAGACGGGGTTTCCCCATGTTGATCAGGCTGGTCTCCAACTCCTGACCTCAGATGATCTGCTCACCTCAACCTCCCAAAGTGCTGGGATTACAGGCGTGAGCCACTGCGCTGGGCATATTTATATTTTAATAGCTGCCTTTAAAGGCAGTTTCTCCATATTGAAATTCTAAGAAGCATCAATAACAGTAACTTTACAGAAAAATGTGTACAGTCCTAAAAGTGTAACTCTGATTTCTAGCTATACAGAAGGACCTGGTCACTAATTACATAATCCCTTACCACTGGTGTCTCTCCCGCCCAGTCTGTCCAGCTACCAAGCTCTCAGGATTGAGGGAAAGAAGAGAAGCACCTCAGAATGGGTCTCTGGAGCCATAGTAATCAGCTGTTCAACCAGCTGTCAGCAAAAGGGGACTCTCTACCTCTTCCCAAAGAACCACAGAGCGCTATCATACCCCACCACTTGTCCTGTGGTAACCACATGAGCAATCAGGCGTTCCTGATAAATTAGGAATTCTCATTTGTGTTTTGAATGTAAAAGAAAGCAATTATGGAAAAAAAAGACAAAAATGTAACTCACAAATGGAATTTGACTGCTTGTGGGCTAGAAACCAACAGCCTTCTCTAACAACCATTTCCTGGGTCTAGCTTTCTCCTTTGCTCTTCTTTTTTCCTTTGCCCTTACTTTTCTTGCTACTCCTACTTGAGGTTAGTAAGCTAATTAAGATAGCAAAAAACTAACTCTGTTCTATACTTCCTACTCCATAATTACCACCAAAAATTTCAGTAAGGCAAAGGGCAAAAATGAAATACCTCACTGTCCCCTAACATTCCAAAATGCTACTTCCTTAATGTACTAAAGTAAGAAAGGATCAGGTACACTAAAATAGTGTTGAAACAGCAAAAACCCCACAAACATCACTAAGTGTTTTCAGCACTTTCCAACAGCATTTTTAACAGTTATCTTCAAAATTTGGGAAGGGACACTCAAAGAAAACCTGGATTACATTTTTATCTTTTCTAACCATTAAGCAAAGCTGATACGGCTTTTCTTTGAATACTGGCATGGACTTCTCGGATTTAGGTTATCTAGGTAAAAGTACCAGAGAATTCTGCAAGTATAGGGAAGATAGGGAAATTTTTGACTTGACAGATAACATACCAAAAGGCTCTATGAACTGATAAAGTTTTTCACCAACTGATATGGCTTCTGTATACTGCCGCAGATGATAAAGAATGACTGCTTGATTATAGTACAACATGCTGTTTTCAACATCATCTAATCCATCCATTTCTTCAACAGCTGAGTGGACCTATAAAGCAATCAACAGAGGTTATATTTTAACATTAAGGAAATAAAAAGCAAAAGTGAAAGAATTCATATGAATAAAAAGGAACATAGGCCAACATTCTTATTCTGAATTTTTCCATACTTTCAACAGTATCTTTAGATTTTAATTACTCTCACATACTAAAAATTATTTTCATTCTTCTGTGCCACACATAATAAAATTTTAGGTAAAATGTTTTCATGAGACTTTATTAAGTACCCAGCACATGGCTAGACAATTATCTTCCTTGTCACTGTGAAGCTATCTTCCCTGTTTCAATTGGTAACACCACTTCTGAGTAGGATTCCCATCTCCTAGTCTCACAACCTACAAGAGGCTACACCAGGCGTGCAACAAACTCAAAATGACCTTTCCCATAAAAATGTCACGTAGTATTCATAGTTTGATTTCATTTTGTAAAAACTAAGGTAAAATTTAAACATTAATAATAGCTGGCCGGGCGTGGCAGCTCATGCCTGTAATCCCAGCACTTTGGGAGGCCGAGACAGGCAGATCACTTGAGGTCAGGAGTTTGAGACCAGCTTAGCCAACATGGTGAACCCCGTCTCTACTAAAAATACAAAATACAAAAAAAAAATTTAGCTGGGTGTGGTCGCACGTGCCTGTAGTCCCAGCTACTCGGGAGGCTGAGGGAGGAAACTTGCTTAAATCCAAAAGGCAGAGGCTGCAGTGAGCCAAGATCACATCACTGCACTCTAGCCTGAACAACACAGCGAGACTCTGTATCAAACAAAACAAAAATAGTTAACTATTTACCATGTGCCAGACTTGCTATGTTAAAACTTTTACAGGTTAATCCTCACCATACCTCAAGGTCATAGATAATTTTTTTTTTTTTGAGATGGAGTCACCCAGGCTGGAGTGCAGTGGCACGAACTCAGCTCAGTGTAACCTCCACCTCCAGGGTTCAAGTGATTCTCCTGCCTTAGCCTCCTGAGTAGCTCGGACTACAGGCATGCACCACAACACCTGGCTAATTTTGTATTTTTAGTAGAGATGGGGTTTCACCATGTTGGCCAGGCTGGTCTTGAACTCCTGACCTCAGGCGATCTGCCCACCTCGGCCTCCCAAAGTGCTTGGATTACAGGCATGAGCCACCGCACCTGGCCGAGGACATAGATAATTTCATTTCCACTTTATACATAAGGAAACCAGCACAGAAAACTTAATTATCTTGCCCAAGGCCATAGGGCTAGAAAGTATATTTTCAGGTTTCGTTCCCGTAAAAAAGAATAGATTTTTTTAAAGTACTCAATAATAAAAATATATTATTGCACACATGATGGTTAGAAAAGGCTTTTATGGGCTTCACTAAAGGCTAACATCTGTAACTGACACAAAAGAAAAAAAAAAAAGCATGACACTTTGCATTCTCAAACTGTATACCCCCTTATGTAAGCTGTAGCAATGGGCTTTTAAATTTTAATCAAGCTTTACAACCATTGCACAATTCCATGTAACACATGAAACTGGAAGTCTACTTGTATTAAAACTAACCTTTGCCATTATGAAGATTGCAATAAATTATTGTTCAATATTAAGTAATTAACTCTAAGACCAACACTTCCATAGAACTCTGATATACAGTACATGGATTTAACAGCCTTGGTTTGACTAATGGCAAGGAACCTGAAGGTTCACTACACACAATGAATTGTAAATTTTGTAACTGGACTTCAGCAGACGTCAACCACCCACGTGGTTAAGCTTGACATGGTTCAAATGTTAGCAAGTGGTCCTAGCTGACCAACATGTGCATCTCAATGAGTTTGGGAACTTTTTATAATCTTCACTTATCAAGTCACTATCTTAAAGAGATTAAAAACAGTATCTTCAAACAGTGAAAACTCAATTTCCAAAGGCAACTCTTTCTGTAGTTATGTAATGGAGAGAGACTGAGTTAAGAAGAGTTTAGCCAGAAAAGCTTTTAGATAAACTATGGCGTTTTGGATTCAGCAATGGTTGAATAATTATCACACAAATAACTTTGCCACATATTCTATGACTCACCAAAATAGTCTAGTAACTGCTCCAGCCAAAAGAAAAACTACTCATTAAGTGAAATTAGACGTTTGCTAATTAAAATGGAATAGGTTGAAAAGGTGTGTCACTGTGCCCGATGTGACTGCGAACAGAAGTATGATTTAAAGAAGTCAGTAACCACAAGTACAAACACTTCTAGGAAACTCAAGAGTTGGAAGGCCCTAACAAACCTTATAAACAATAAAAGCTAGTGAAAGAACTTCACAAAGTTTTTTTGGCCTAACTGGAAGTTTGCAGGAATTGCTTATTCAAAAAAAGTTTAAAGGCTGAACTTATTCTCAAAAACCAAACAAATTTGTCTTGGAAGAAACTGTCTATGGGGTCATAGGGTGCATGTACTAGATTATCAGTAAGCATCATCTTTCTTTTGATTCTGGAACACTAGATAAAATCATCAGTAATAATACTGGAGTAATGAGGAAACGTGAGGACATACAAATTTATGAAGACTGAGACAGGTAGGAGAACAGGCTCAAGAGTCAGAAGGCCTGGTTTAAATCTGTTCTTCCCCTTCCTAGTTGTGTAAATTTAAATTAGACTTCCTAAATTCTGGTTTTAAAACTGAGATAATAAGCACCTACTGCCTCAAGAGTTGAATGTGAGGATTATATGAGATAAGGCATAAAAGGCACTTAATACAGAATTTGGCACCCAGTATGCATTCAATAAATGGTAGCTATTATTCTCATTTTTGAATTTTAATGGGGTTTAAAAATTACTTTATGCCTATAAAGGATTACAGAGAGCCTGAAGGGACAACTTGCTTCTCTACCTGTGTCACACTTTAGGGTGATACTATAGAGTATCATGGTACTCATGATTACAGGAAAGGTCTCATGACTCCCTAACAGCATGAAGCAGTAACTAAAATTACAGGCTATAGAGTTAAATACAACTGAGTTCATGTAGCTCTTACTACTCAAAAACTTTGTGTTTTTGGACAATTTACACAGCTATCTGTGCCTTGGCTTTTCCACTTTTAAAATAAGAAAAATTATATAGCTATTTCATAGGGCTACTGAGAAGAACAAGCTGAGAAGTTGCATACAAGCGCTTGGCAGAGCCCTGTCACACAGTGAACACTTAACATATGCTAGCTGATCCTATCAGCACCATCACTGTTATCAGCCCTCTTGAACACCAAAAGTCTAGCCCCAGGATTCAAGAAACATTGCCATTATCACCAGACCAATCCCCAATTCAAGCCCCAAGCCAGATACAAAGCAGAATATCTTCTATTTAATCAATCATCTCCTGATCCAAATGCTAAAACGACTTGACATTAGGATTAATCATATTTTTTTCATTATAAACAAGATATATCTCCACAGCTAAGCTTCTTCATATAGTTCTTTCTCAAAACTCCAAAGCTCATTCAAATTTGGTATATTAGTCTATTCTGTTCAAGTTCATTAAAACCCCAATTAAAAAAAATGATCCCACAACATACCTTTTATCTCCTGGAATAATAATTTTACGGAAATAAAATTAATGCTAACAAATGTTTCTGACAAGAAATACCAGACAAATCACATTTATTTTCCTTAACTATTTGTGTTTCATAAATTAAAGAACAGAACAATATTTTTTATAGTTAAATTCATTTATGTATCACCTGATTCTTCAGCTGGTTAAGTGTTTGTCTCAAATTATCTGTTGTTGTTTGGTTACTTTTAAAAAACTCAGCTACTGCTGTATTCAAAATTATTTTATAATCATCTTTGTTTATATCTTGTAGACAGGCAAGGTGTTGTAGACAGGCATCATAATTTCCAGACTAAAAAAAAAAAACCACACACACACACACAAAATTACATACCAGCTTTAAATACAGTATATCATTCCAAATATATTTCATTCATCTTTATCTTAAAAGTTCTTAAAAAGAAAGATGTAGTTTCCCTACATATACTAATCAAAGTCACTAAAGCAACATTCATGTCAGTTAAACTGTGGATATTTACTTCCTAAGACTCAAAACCCTGACATTGACACATATAAGACACATATATTGATATGATAAATATACTGGCATATACATATAGTGCTAGCAGGGTATTAATGGCTGAGGCTAGTCAAGAAAGGTAATATAATCACTCCAAATTTTATTTTCTAGTAAATATATTTTAAATACCCAAGCATCAAGTTCTTCTGCTTACATGCACGTAACCTGATAACCAAATAAGGTTTTCTTTCATATTGTTTAATGCCAGAAAAAGTTAAAATTCTGCCAATAAAGTTTTGGGGTTCCATTTTAAAGTACCTTCAAGAAAATAATTTTTGAATCTGATATTTTCAGAAATAAATAAATAAAAGAATTGAACAGCTTAGTGAAATGAAAAGACTGACCCACATACTTACAAATCTAAATTTAAAAGACTTAAAAACAACAGTATATGAGTTAAAACATGTTTACAAAAACTTGGGAATGGCTCCAATTATTCCCATTCCTTTCACCATATTTAAACTCTAAAACATTTATTTTAAAAATTAAACCTACTTATCTCTAAATTAACTTTTGAATTATTACAGAGTAAAAATTGTAAATTTAAAAATTCACTATGAAAAGATTCATACTTGACAGAACCCTACAACTTGAGCAGACTAAGAGAAGCCATTTCTTACTGTGAAAGCTTGGAAAGCATTGGTGGATAACTCCTTCTCTTGATCAGTGATCCCAGAGGACTGACCTGTGCCTTCATGTTTCTCTGCTCCCTGATCTGCAAACACACAAATTTTACAGTTCTTTAGAAATAAAAGTTGTACAGTGGTCCCTCCTTATCCAGTTTCACTTTCTGCAGTTTCAGTTACCCAAGGTCAAGTATGAAAATATCAGATGGAAAATTCCAGAAATAAGCAGTTCTTAAGTTTTAAACAGCAATGTTCTGAGTAACATGATGAAATCTCTTGCCATCCTGCAGTGTCCCGCTCTGTCCCATCCAGGAAGTCAATCATTCCTTTGTCTAGCATTCCATGTTGTATAAGATACCTCCCCCTTGGACACACAGTAGCCATCTTGGTTATCAGATCAATAGGTCACAGGAAGAAAGGTGAGTAGGGTACAGTAAGATATTTTGAGAAAGAGAAACCACATTCAGATAACTGTTATTTTATTACTGTTGTTGTTAATCTCTTACTGTGCCTCATTTATAAACTTTATCATAGTTATGTACGTATTAAAAAAAGCAGTACATAGGTTCAGTACTATCTGTGGTTTCAAGTATCCACCGGAGGACCCTGAATGTATCTTCTGAGGAAAAGGTGGGGGACTACTGTATAGTGAATTTGTCCCTAGTTTTCATCTTGTGTTCTTCCTAATAAAGTGGCCAAAGTTAGGGCTCTCTCAACAATAACTGATTAATGTTGCCAGGCACGGTGGCTCACGCCTGTAATCCCAGCACTTTGGGAGGCCAAGGCGGGCACATCACAAGGTCAGGAGATCGAGACCATCCTGGCTAACACGGTGAAACCCCGTCACTACTAAAAATACAAAAAAAAAAAAAAAAAAATTAGCTTGGCGTGGTGGCGGGCGCCTGTAGTCCCAGCTACTTGGGAGACTGAGGCGGGAGAATGGCGTGAACCTGGGAGGTGGAGCTTGCAGTGAGCCAAGATAATGCCACTGCACTCCAGCCGGGGCGACAGAGTAGGACTCCGTCTCAAAAAAAAAAAAACAACAAAAAACAATGACTGATTAATGTTATAAGCTAATAAGAAGCTACTCCTCTGAAAGCTTGAAAAGGTTCCTATGGCCAAGTTGAAACACAATGAAAACCTGCCCACTTAAATAAAGACCACAAGCCCTGTAGATGAGGACATTCAAGCTGAGAATATTGTGCTCTTTAAAAAATATTAGATCTGCCACCCAGCAATATACAGTCCCACATATTCAAGCAACTATGGCAGGTGCTGGAGATATAAACACACCTACGATGGCTTTAAGAGATTTATAATTTAGTTGGAAAGTAGTAACAATCAGAAAACTACACTGATAAGGGCTTACAGCTAATTTCCAGGCAAGGAATATTTTCATAGGCTCAGAAATCCAAAATATTAACACATTTAAAAAGTTTCTTTAATATGTTAAGTGTCCATATAAATTCACAGTAAAGGTTAATAATCTGTTTAGCTGGGAAAACTACCTCCTACCTCTATAATTTGCTATTTTAAATATTAGATGTTTTGCTTTTTGTTTTAATTTGAAAATAGAATTCCAAAATAAAGGTAAAAATCTCAGCTGAACCAAACCTAAACTACTCAGAGCAAAAGTGTGTTAAGTACTCTAACAAATGCTTCAATACTTTTTATAGTTCTCTCAAGAGTCACTGTTGGCTGGGCGTGATGGCTCATGCCTATAATCCCAGCTACTTGGGAGGCTGAGGCACGAGAATTGCTTGAACCTGGGAGGCAGAGGTTGCAGTGAGCTGAGATCACGCCACTTCACTCCAGCCTGGGCGACAGAGTGAGACTGTCTTGAGAAAAAAAAAAAAAAAGGCCAGGTGTGGTGGCTCACGCCCGTAATCCCAGCATTTTGGGAGGCCAAGGCGGGTGGATCACGAGGTCAGGAGATCGAGGCCATACTGGCTAACATGGAGAAACCCCATCTCTACTAAAAATAAAAAATAAAAAAATTAGCTGGGCGTGGTGGCGGGCACCTGTAGTCCCAGCTACTCAGGAGGCTGAGGCAGGAGAATGGCGTGAACCCGGGAGGCAGAACTTGCAGTGAGCCGAGATTGCACCACTGCACTCTAGCCTGAGCAACAGAGTGAGACTCTGTCAAAAAACAAACAAACAAAAACAACTATCAGAGACTGGGCAATTTATAAAGAAATGAGGTTTAATTGGCTTATGGTTCCACAGGCTGTACAGAAAGCACATATAGGGAGTTCTCAGGAAACTTACAATCATGGCAGAAGGCAAAGAGGAAGCAAGCAGATCTTCACATGGTCAGCAGAAGAGAGAGCAAAGGGGGAGGTGCTACACACTTTTAAATAACGACATCTAGTGAGAACTCACTCACTATCACCAGTACAGCAAGGGGGAAATCCACCCCCATGATCCAGTCACCTCCCACCAGGTCCCTCCCCTAACATTGGGGATTTACAATTCAACATGAGATTTGGTTGGGGACACAGAGCTACACGATATCATTAGGTCATTGTTTTTTGGTTTTTTATTTTTTCAAAAGAGTCTAAGCCAATTAGAATTAATTAAATAGAATTAGAATGTCCTACATTCTGAATTTTTCTGGTTATTTCCTCAATATTACATGCAGTTTAACATTTCTGGCAAGAATACTATATATAGGTAATGTAAATATTAGTCATTTTTATTTTTATTTTTATTTTACTTATTTATTTAGATGGAGTCTTGCTCTGTCACCCAGGTTGGACTGCAGTGGCACAATCTTGGCTCAGCCTCCCAAGTAGCTGGGACTACAGGCACCTGCCGCCACACCTGGCTAATTTTTTTATTTTTAGTAGAGACGGGGTTTTGCCATGTTGGTCAGGCTGGTCTCAAACTTCTGACCTCCCAGGTGACTGCTGGCCTCAGCCTCCCAAAGTGCTAGGATTACAGGTGTGAGCCACTGCGCTTGGCTTAGTCATTTTTAATGTTAAGTTTTCTTTTCTGCAAAAATTTGCCATTTGTTTTTAAAAGATGCCTTTTATATTTTACTATCTCCCAAAGAATATTCTGTTTCTTGGTTCTACTCACCAGCAAAAGCTCCATGCACCACTAATGGAAATATCATTAAAAGGAAATGTGACCACTGTATAAATGTGATGTCATGGGCTGCAAACATAGGTAGGTGATGGCAATGTCACTGTGTATGACTTTAAAGAATTTCAAAGTCTCACAATATTTGAATTTCTTATTTATACAGGAATTTTTTTCATACAGAATTGTTGCTTCAGACTGAAACTCAAAGACCTCCAAAGCTTGAACCTATCCGCAAAATGGGGATAAGAAAACCCTTTTTCAAGTTATTGTAAGGCTTTAGTAAGAATATATGTGAAGCAATTGGCATGTACCTGGCAGAGTAAACCCCTGATATGTAGCACAATAGTGCAGATTCTATCATTTTCAACATACAGACGGGAGGCAGGTTGCACAGTGACGTACAGACAATTTTTAGAATTGAAATAAGACTAAAACTTTAATGTCACTTCTGAAATTAAACAGATGCTACAAAGTGGAACTGGGGCAAGTTTCAGCTTCCCTATTTACTAAAATGAGAGTCTGTATTAAATAGTTTTTAGCATCCCTTCCAACTCAGATTCAGTAACTCCAAACATGCTTCTATAAAGAAACTGAGGCCGGGCGCAGTGGCTCACGCCTGTAATCCCAGCACTTTGGGAGGCCGAGGCAGGCGGATCACCTGAGGTCAGGAGTTCAAGACCAGCCTGGACAACATGGTAAAACCCCATCTCTACTAAAAACACAAAAATTAGCCGGGCATGGTGGTGCATGCCTGCAGTCTCAGCTACTTGGGAGGCTGGAGCAGAAGAATCACTTGAACCTGGGAGGCAGAGGTTGCAGTGAGCCGAGATCATGCCACTGCACTCCAGCCTGGGTGACAGAGCAAGACTTCATCTCAAAAAAAAAAAAAAAAAAGAAACTGATATGTTTGTTCCTAAAGCAGCACTCATATCCAATTAAGGTTTCTATGGAAGACAAATACCCACATGAGAAATAGTAGACCACCTTGTCCCCAAGTTTACCCCTCAAGAGTGCCTACAACCAACTTTCCAGAAAGTTGTCAAGAATCACACTGGTTATGGGGTTCTTTTGCTTACTGGCTCCTTTCCATTCTTCCCTCTCCTTCTATAGATCTGCCAACATGGACTCAAGTTGGGGCTAGAGCTAGTGGAATGCTCCCCCAGTATGGTGCCCTAGAGTTGCATCTGTCATAGTAGCCTCCACTTTCGCACCTCATCCATCACAAGCCCCCTTCCAGGATACTGGGAAGTGTGACTCCCTCTATAATGGCTTCCAGGAGTTGCCTAGATAAACAAACTCCCTTATCTTCAAGAACCCTGCCACAGTCCTTCACAGTGTTCCTCAAACACCAGAAACTTGCTGAAAGAAGAGTAAATATGAATGGCTTAATAACGTGAAATGAAATTCAGCCTCATTATTTATTAAATAATTGTAAATTAAAACGATAATACTAAATGTCTAGAAATAAATATTCTTCAAGAGATTTGATAACTAAATCATGGTATAGGAATACAATGGCACATTAACAGTTATTAAGTCTATATAACTTGATGTGGAAAAATATTTACAACATGTTGTTAAATAAAAGAAACAGATTGCAAACTGCTTTGTACAACTGAATCCCATGTTTTATAAAAATATATACACAAATATGTACCTCTGAATAAGTATAAAGTCTACAAGGATACACAGCAAACTATTCACCAAACTGTATGTGCACTTATGATCTGGGCACTTTTTGATAACTGCCTAGACAACAGGAGCATCTCAAAGAACCAGTTGTTGGCCAGGTGTGGTGGCTCACACCTGTAGTTCCAGCATTTTGGGAGGCCAACGCGGGTGGATCACTTGAGCCCAGGAGTTCAAGACCAGTCTGGGCAGCATGGTGAAACCCCGTCTCTACAAAAAATACAAAAATTAGCTGGGCATGGTGGCATGCATCTGTAGTCCCAGCTACAAGCGAGGCGAAGGTGGGAGGATTGCTTGAACACAGGAGGTGGAGTGTGCAGTGAGCTGAGATTGTGCCAAAGCACTCCAGCCTGGGCAGCAGAGTAAGACCCCATCTTAATAAACTAAAAATAAAAGAACCAGTTGTCAACAGAACTAACTTTGGGAAGTCCTAGCCTGGCACATGTCAGCAGTCAGTGAAGATTCCCAACTTCCCTTTTCCAAGAAGGCAATATGACATAATTAAAAGAGCACAAGTCTTAGAATCAGTCACATCTTCAGTCCAGTCGTCCTTTGGCCTGTTTTTAATTAGAGATGCTAAATAAATATAGCTCCCTTCCCCACTTTCCTTTCACCAGAACTAAAAATTCTTGTACTTATATTTTTAAAAATATATTTATGTCTGTAATTTAAACATAAAAATTAACAGTAAAATTCAATTTCATGTGACTTGACTATGAAACAGCTCTTTAGATCACTACGAAACCCCCAGAAGACTGAACACCCTTTTGAGAGTCACCACTTATAACAACGTAATACTGTATAACTTGTACTTAAAAAAACTCATCTAAGAACTTATCTGCTGTATAAAAAAGGCATTCCAGTATTTGGGCTTATTAAAAAGTGTTACTTGTGATAATTAAAGTTAGCAGGTCAAGTAGTTATTTTATTTCCACTTTAGCATACGACAGGGAGGAGGAAAAGCTAAGAGTTAAGTGAATAAAGTTTGCCAGTTTCAAAGGACAATGTTAAACAGTTTTTTCTTTGGAAAGCCAATAACAATGAGTTTCACTGCAAGAACATACTGTTTATCCAATACATGTGTTTTGCAGAACTGTCAGGTGCACAAAAGAGGTAAGGACCAATTATTTTAAAACGTGTAAAAATGTGACACAGGACTTTAGGACCTCAGAAGGCAAGTTATAAGTTTAGATTGAAACAGGATCCTCAATCCACATATTGTCACCATAAAACTTTAACAAAGAATATAAATATCTTTCATGTTTCTTTTATTATTAAAGATTTTATAAAACCTAACATTTTAAAAAATGTGTCTTCTCTCATAAAGAAGCATAATTTAAACCAAATGCCAAAAATTCTTAGTTTGCTATTGAGTTTTCTCTAAAGCTTCTTCTAAAATATGCCCCTTGGCTGGGCAGTGGCTCACACCTGTAATCCCAGCAGTTTGGCAGGCCAAGGAAGGAGGACTGCTTGAGCCTAGGAGTTCCAGACCAGCCTGGGAAACAAAACAAGACCCTGTCTCTATTTTAAAAAATTGTTTTAATTAGCCAGGCATAGTGGCATGTGCCTGTAGTCCCAGCTACTTGGGGAGGTGAGGTGGGATAATCGTTGAAGCCTGGGAGGTTGAGGCTGCAGTGAGCCGTGACCATGCCACTGCACTCCAGCCTGGGTGACAGAGTGAAACCCTGTCTCAAAAATAATAATAATAAAAGATATGAATAAAATAAATAAGTAAAATATGCCCTAGATTAGATGACATTCTTTAATGGGACTTTTGGGACCAACTGTAAGAGCACCTTAGAAATACAGGGCAAAGGGGAAAACCCAACAACTCACCCAGGTGTTGAAAATTTTGAGCTTCTATTCTCCACTAAAAGTAGAGTAGTTCATGTGGCCACTGCTGTTAGCAACCCCAGAAAATGGAAGTATCAGGCTGGACATGGTGGCTCACGCCTATAATCTCAGCACTTTGGGAGGCCAAGGTGGGCAGATCACCTGAGGTCAGCAGTTCCAGACCAGCCTGGCCAACATGGTGAAACCCGTTTCTACTAAAAATACAAAAATTAGCTGGGCGTGGTGGCATATGCCTACAATCTCAGCTACTTGGGAGGCTGTGGCAGGAGAATCACTGGAACCCGGAAGGCAGAGGCTGCAGTGAGCCGAGATCACGCCACTGCACTCCAGTCTGGGTGACAGAGCGAGACTCCATCTCAAAAAAAAAAAAGAAAAGAAAAAGAAAATGTAAGTCTCCTAAAATTCTCCAGAAAAGGAGAGAAGCCAATTTAAGATAAATATATAAGCTGGGCTGGACACACTGGCTCACGCCTGTAATCCCAGCACTTCGGGAGGCTGAGGAGGGTGGATCTTGAGCTCAGGACAACATGGTGAAAACCCATCTCTACCAAAAACACAAAACTTAGCCAGGTGTGGTGGCACATGCCCGTAGTCCTGCTACTTGGGAGGCTGAGGAGGGAGGATCACTTGAACCCAGGAAGTGGAGGCTGCAGTGAGCTGAGATTGTGCCACTGCACTCCAGCTTGGGTGACAGTGAGACCTCATCTCAAAATAAATAAATAATAAATAAATAAATAGATAAGCTGGACTCTAAGGCTGACAAGAGCCTCTGAAATTCCCATTTCTACACACATTTCACAGAACTGAGCTCAATAAATAACCTTTTACATGTTAACGAACCATTATTTTACCTACCTTCTTTAACTTCAGGATGAAAATTTTCTGTTTTTAAAAAAACACACTTCACTACTCAGGAGGCTTAGGTGGGAAGATTGCTTGAGCCCAGTATATGACTACCAGCCTGAGCAATCAGTGAGACCCCATTTCTTCTTCTTCTTCTTTTTTTTTTTTGAGACGGAGTCTCACTCTGTTGCCCAGGCTGGAGTGCAGAGGCACAATCCCAGCTCACCGCAACCTCTGCTTCCCAGGTTCAAGTGATTCTCCTGCCTCAGCCTCCTGAGTAGCTGGGATTATAGGTGCCCGCCACCATGCTCAGCTAATTTTTGTATTTTTAGTAGAGGCAGGGTTTTACCATGTCAGCCAGGTTGGTCTTGAACTCCTGATCTCAAGTGATCCGCCTGCCTCGGCCTCCCAAAGTGCTGGGATTACCAGCATGAGTCACCACGCCCGGCCAAGACCCCATTTCAAATACACACACACACACACACACACACACACACACACACACACACACACACTCTCTTCAACAGGATTATTTTTATTTTCCTTGTGTATTTGTACATTTCTCGAGTTTTCTGCCAGAAATGGGTATTCATTTTTGTAATCAGTTTTTTTAATGTTTTAAAAACATTTATTATTTATAACTACTGACTTCTTACCAGACAGAGTCTGCACATAATCCCACAGCATTTCTTTATTTGCCCAAAAGTAGTCTCCGTTGCCAATTGAAAGAGTATACGACCGTTCACCCATAAGCTTGACTTTCCTTCTACTCTGGCCTAATGAACATGGCTGACCTTCTATGCGTACAGAGCTCTTTGACCCACAAACCTTGACAGTCTTTACACCAATAGACTTCATTTCTAAATAAACAATTGCCTTTAGGTTTGAACTAAGCAGAAAAGAAATGCACCACGTTTTCAAAACTGAAAATCATCAGTTAACTGAAAGCACAGACACATTCCAATACAGAATGTTAATCATTCAAATCTGATTGGTGGAGACTACAAGCTACACTCATCAAAATACAGCTCCACTGATATATCAAGAAAAGAAAACTTTTCCAAAGAAAAAAGGGATGTTAAAAGACCTAAGGAAATCAACAATCACAGTCACAAAATACCAATGATGCCCTTGTGAAGGAAAGTTTTAAATCTTAAGAAGGATGCCACTTCGAAGAAAAACAATTCAGGCCCACTAATGTCACTATACAGCTAGGTTAACATACCTCACATATGATTTCTATCATCTGAACAAGTATACTTGACTTACCAAAACCTCAAATGGTTTATTCACTAAACCATATTCCCTCCACTGGACAAGAGGAGCTGGAGAAATGGGAAAGCACACACTTCGCAGCCCAAAGAATAAGCCATTTGTAACAAGCAATGTTACAGAATTGAGCATCCTGCCCAGTAGTGTAGAAATAAAGGAACAGAAATTCAAATCAATAATATCAGCATGGCCAGCACGGTGGCTCAGGCTTGTAATCCCAGCACTTTGGGAGGCCAGGGCAGGAGGATCACCTGGGGTCAGGAGTTTGAGACCAGCCTGGCCAACATGGTGAAATCCCATCTCTACTAAAAATATAAAAGTTAGGCTGGGCGCGGTGACTCACACCTATAATCTCAGCTCTTTGGGAGGCCAAGGCAGGCAGATCACGAGGTGGGGAGTTTGAGAGCATTCCGACCAACATGGTGAAACCCCCATCTCTACTAAAAATACAAAAATTAGCTGGGCGTGGTGGTGCGCACCTATAATCCCAGCTACTCAGGAGGCTGAGGCGGGAGAATCACTTGAACCCAGGAAGCAGAGATTGCAGTGACCCGAGATCATGCCACTGCACTCCAGCCTAGGCAACAGAGCAAGACTGCCTCAAAAAACAAACAAACAAACAAAAAACTGAAAGAAGAAAAAACAATATCAGCATGCTTTAAGGAAGCTAGGCAAAGCAGAATATTGCCACTGCTGATGAGTATTTTGTTTTCACATCTAAGAGGAGGAGTTTTTATGCATAGAAAAGACTGAGATTTACTCTAGTTTTAAAATATTAATACTTAATTTATTAAAGTTACAAATTCAAAAAGCCTAGATTTTACTCAAATTTTTACACCGAACTTAGACAACTTATTCTACTTGGAGGTCTAATTTTAAAGGCCTGTGATGAATGTCTAAACTCATTTCAAAGTTCACCTTCAACATAACATCTTCAAACATAAAATGTTAACTACTTAAAAAATTTTACCAAGACTACACTTTCAGGGATCATTTCTACAGTTTGTTACTGGAGAAGTTTCTCTGAAAGTGTAGAGTACCAAACACTTTTTTTAAATTAAAAAAAAAAAAAATTTATCAAGTGAGAACTATTGCAACCCCCCCACCAAACCCCAACAATATATTCAATTTTAAGTATAATTGCTAGACTTAAAAAGACAAAATTTTTGTATTTTAACATGTGTCAAGAAAAAAAAATTTCCTGAGAATAACTTACATACCTAAAAAATTAAACTTATAGTGACTCTTAGGTACTCTCTAATGTCCACAAAATAAAATAACTGCAATAAGGTTTCAATTTAAATTCACAAGTATAAATCAATATTCAGTCAATTATACATTTTAAATTGAAATCATAAGACTAATATAAGTGCCGGGCATGGTGGCTCACACCTGTAATCCCAGCACTTTGGGAGGTCAAGGTGGGAGGATGGCTTGAGCTCAAGAGTTCAAGACTAGCCTGGGCAACATGACGAAACCTCATCTCTACAAAAAATACAAAAGTTAGCCAGGCGTGGTGGCGCATGCCTATAGTCCCAGCTACTTGGGAGGCTGAGGTGGGAGGATCGCTTGAGCCTGGGAAGTCAAGGATGCAGTGAGCAGTGTTCATGCCACTGCACTCCAGCCTGGGTGACAGAGTGAGACCCTGTCTGGAAAAAAAAAAAAAAAGACCAATATATTACTCTAAATTCTAATATTAAAAACACTTACTCACGCCTGTAATCCCAGCAATTTGGGCAGTCAAGGCAGGAGGCTTGCTTGAGTCCAGGAGTTTGAGACCAGCCCGGGATACATGGCAAAACCCTGTCTCTACAGAAAAACAGAAAAACTGGCCAGGTGTGGTGGCATGTACTTGTAGTCCCAGCTACTTGGGAGGTTGGGGTGGGAGGATCACTTGAATCCGGGAGGTCGAGGCTGCGGTGAGCCAAGATCATGCCCCTGTACTCCAGCCTGGGCAACAGAGTGAAAGCCTGCCTCAAAAAAATTAATTAAATTTAAAAAAGAAAAAAAACCACTTTAAATATCAAACATAGGTCACTACCACATCAACTCCTTGTTCTGAAAACTGGTAATTGAAAATAATGAATTAAGCTTTTAGCATTTAACATGGCTTTCTGGGAAGACTAACAGTCAATATGGGAAAGCTATTCTTTTTTGTTGTTGTTTCTGAGACAGGGTCTCACTTTGTAGCCCAGGCTAGAGTGCGGTGCTGTGATCACGGCTCACTGTAGCTTCGACTTCCTGGGCTCCAGTGACCTCCTACCTCAGCCTCCCAAGTAGCTGGGACTACAGGCACGCAGCAGCACACCAACTAAGTTTTTTCAATCTTTTCGTAGAGACAGGCTCTCATGTTGCCCAGGCTGCTCTTGAACTCCTGGGCTCAAGCGATCTGCCTACCTTGGCCTCCCAAAGTGCTGGGATTACAGGCATGAGTCACTGTACCCAGCCCAGGAGAGCTACTCTTTAAAGAAGAATATTCACTAACAAAGGTAGAAACTACAATAGAACTAGGTAAAAATCATTTTGTAACCCTCAATAATACAACTGATTGAGGAAAGAATCAACAACAGTGGATATTTACGAAATGCCAATTACTCCATAAATTACCTCTAACTGAAAATGGAAAAAGATGTTCCTGTCAGCACCTCAAATTGATCAAATTTAGCATCACTAATACTGGATAACCTGACATTATGTACTTTATACAGAAAATAAAGTATATAACATCACCTACAAAGTTTCTCAAAAATATGTTGAACCTATATCTAATCAAGCCTGTAGAAATAAGTTAGAGTTTAAGAAAATACAGGAGATAAAGCTGGGTGCAGTGGCTTACACCTGTAATCCCAGCACTTTGAGAGACCAAGCTGGGAGGATTCCTTCAGCCCAAGAGTTTGAGACCAGCCTGGGCAATATATTGGGACCCTGTGCCTACAAATAAATTTTTAAAATATAGCCATAGCTGGGACTACAGGCACATGCCACCACACCCAGCTAACTTTCTGTATTTTTTGTAGAGACAGGGTTTTACCATGGTGCCCAGGCTGGACTTGAACTCCTAGGTTCAAGCAATCCACCCACCTCGGCCTCCCAAAGTGCTAGGATTTATAGGTATGAACCACCATGCCTGGCGGGAAATTGGCTTTTTTTTTTTTTTTTTGGTGACAGGGTCTCACTCAGTCACCCAGGTTGGAGTGCAGTGGTGTTTATCTTGGCTCACTGCAACCTCTGCCTCCCAGGCTCAAATGATCCTCCCACCTCACCCTCCCTTGTAGGTGGGACTACAGGCATGCGCCACCACTAATTTTTTACATTTTTGGTAGAGACAGGGTTTCACCATGTTACCTACGCTGGTCTCTAACTCCTGAACTCAACTGATCCTCCCACCTCAGACTCCCAAAGTGCTGGGATTACAGGCGTGAGGCGCCATGCCTGGCTGGCAGGAAATTTTTAATATATTAAAACATGAATTGTCTAAACTATGACAATGGCATCATGGTTACATAGGTGAATGTCCCTATTTTTAAGAAACGCATGTTGAAATATTTAGAGATGAAGTGTTATGATGTTTATAACCTATTTTGAAATGATTCAACATTAAAAGTCATAGCTAGAGCCAGGTGTGTTGGCTCACATCGGCACTTTGGGAGGCCGAGGCGGGCAGATCACTTAAGCTCAGGAGTTCAAGACCAGCCGGGCCAACATGGTCAAACCACGTCTCTACTAAAAATACAAAAGTTAGCTGGGCATGGCCAGGCACAGTGGCTCACGTCTGTTAATCCCAGCACTTTGGGAGGTCGAGGTGGGTGGATCATGAGGTCAGAAGATCGAGACCATCCTGGCTAACACAGTGAAACCCCGTCTCTACTAAAAATACAAAAAATTAGCCAGGCATGGTGGCACACACCTGTAGTCCCAGCTACACAGGAGGCTGAGGCAGGAGAATCACTTGAACCCAGGAGACAGAGGTTGCACTGAGCCGAGATTGCACCACTGCACTCCAGCCTGGGCAACAGAGTGAGATTCCATCTCAAAAAAAAAAAAAAAAAAAAGCTGGCTGTGGTAGCGTGTGCCTGCAAGCCCAGCTACTCGGGAGGCTGAGGCAAGAGAATCGCTTGAACTCGGGAGATGGAGGTTGCAATGAGCAAAGATCGTACCACTGCAGTCCAGCCTGGGCAACAGAGTGAGACTCCATCTCAAAAAAAAAAAAAAAAGTCATAGCTAGTGATAGAGGAAGCAAATATGGTAAAATATAACAATTGCTGAATGAACTAGGGGGTAGATATATAGATATTCATTTTATTTTTTAAATTTTTTAGGTGTTTGAAATCATTCATAATAAAAAGTTGAAAAAATACCAAATAAGTCTGGGCGCGGTGGCTCATGCCTGTAATCCCAGCACTTTGGGAGGCCGAGGCGGGCGGATCATGAGGTCAGGAGTTAGAGACCAGCCTGGCCAACATGGTGAAACCCCTTCTCTACTAAAAATACAAAAAAACTAGCCGGGCATGGTGGCATGCACCTGTAGTCCTAGCCACTTGGGAGGCTGAGGCAGGAGAATGGTGTGAACCCGGGAGGCGGAGCTTGCAGTGAGCCAAGATCGCACCACTGCACTCCAGCCTGGGCAACAGAGCGAGACTCTGTCTCAAAAAAAAAAAAATTATCTGGATACAGTAGTACACACCCGTAGTCCTAACTACTCAAGAGGCTAAGGCAAGAGGATTGCTTAAGCCCAGGAGTTCATGGCTGCAGTGAGCTATGATGGTGCCACTGCACACCAACATGGGTGAAAGAGTGAGACCCTGTCTCAAAACAAAACAAAACAAAAAAACCAAAAAACTCAGAGCCTGAGATTATATCATTTAACCTGTTACCATACCTGTGAGGTAGATACTTTCATCGTTCTCATTCTACACGCAGGAAAGCTGAAGCTTAAAAAAAAGACTTCTTGAAATTTGCCCAATTTCCCACAAATACCAAGTAGTACAGCTAGGATGAACCTAAACTATCTGATTTCAAAGCCCCTACTCTTATCATTCCTTACCTGGATCAGTTAAATATAAATCAGATCACACCATCATGCCCTTATTGAAAACTTCCACTCTCTTCCCATTAGTTAAAATGAATTCAAACTCCCTCCATGGCCTGTAACGCCCAACATACACCAACTCCTGATACAACTGTGACTTTATCTCTTGCCATGCTGCCTTTGCTCCCTATGCTATAAATTATGTGTATTGGCTTTTTTGTTTTCTGTTTGAGACAGGGTCGCACTGTCACCCAGGCTACAGTACAGTGGCACAATTATAGCTCACTGCAACCTTCAACTCCTGGGCTCAAGCCATCCTCTCATCTCAGACTCTGGAGTAGCTAGGACTTCAGGGTCACGCCACCATGCCTAGCTAATTTTTTTTTATTTTTTACGGAGACAAGTCTGGCTATGTCGCCTAGGCTGGTCTTGAACTCCTGGCCTCAAGCGATTCTCCCACCTCAGCCTCCCACAGGTGTGAGCATCTATGCCCAGCCTTAAATTATGTGTTGAGTGTCTCTTGTCAGATATTGTTCTAGGGACTAGAGCTAGAACACAACTAACACAGACAAAAGTCTCTATCTTCGGGGAGCTTGTATTCAAGGGGTCTGCTTGATGTTCTTTAGACATTTTCCAAGCAAGGGTTCTGTACATTTGCATATTTGTTGCTCCTCTTACCTGGATCATTCTTCCCAACACAGCTGGCTCTTTATCCTTAGGGTTTCTGTCTAAATGTCAACTCTAAGAAAGCCCTTCTCTAATCTATCTGAAAAACAAGGCTTTCAGTCATCCTCTATTCTTTTTTTTCTTTTTCTTTTTTTTTTTTTTTGAGATGGTGTTTTGCTCTTGTTGCCCAGGCTGGAGGGCAATGGCACGATCTTGGCTCACTGCAACCTCTGCCACCTGGGTTCAAGTGATTCTCTTGCTTCAGCCTCCCGAGTAGCTGGGAATACAGGCGTCTGCCACCACGACCAGCTAATTTTTGTATTTTTAGTCAAGACAGGGTTTCAACATGTTGGCCAGCCTGGTCTCAAACTCCTGTCCTCAGGTGATCCACTCACCTCGGCCTCCCAAAGTCCTGGGATTACAGGTGGGAGCCACAGGCACCCGCCAGCAGGCCCTGCTAATTTTTTTGTATTTTTAGTAGAGACGGGGTATCACTGTGTTAGCCAGGATGGTCTCGATCTCTTGACCTCGTGATCTGCCACCTCGGCCTCCCAAAGTGCTGGGATTACAGGCGTGAGCCACCACGTCCGGCCTTTTATTTTATTTTTTTGAGAGAGGGTCTCATCCTGTTGCCTGGACAGTGGCGTGATCAAAGCTCACTGCAGCCTTGAACTCCTAGGTACAAGCAATCCTCCCACCTCAGCCTCCCTAGGAGCTGAGACTATAGGCACACACCATGATATCTGGCTTTTTATTTTTTAGAGTCAGGGTTTCACTTATGCTGCCCAGGCTGGTCTCAAACTCCTGGCCTCAGGCAATCCTCCCACTTCAGCCACCCAAAGTGCTAGGATTACAGGTGTGAGCAACTGCAGACAGCCTCTCTTACTCATTTTTTTCTTCTGAGTATTATTTTTTTTTTTGAGATGGAATCTCACTCTGTCACCCAGCCTGGAGTGCAGTGGTGCGATCTCGGGTTGCTGCAACCTCTGCCTCCCAGGTTCAAGCAATTCTCCTGCCTCAGCCTCCCAGCTAGCTGGGATTACAGGTGTGCGCCAGCATGCCTGGCTAATTTTTGTATTTTTAGTAGATGGGGTTTCACCATGTTGG
Organism: Homo sapiens; assembly: GCF_000001405.40. NCBI lineage: Eukaryota > Metazoa > Chordata > Mammalia > Primates > Hominidae > Homo > Homo sapiens. The sequence goes on along the minus strand of NW_025791770.1, from coordinate 56,635 downwards.
TCAGGCTGGTTTTGAACTCCTGACCTCAGGTGATCCACCCCCCTCAGCCTCCCAAAATGCTGGGATTACAGGTGTGAGCCACTGCACTTGGCCTTCTTCAGAGTATCTATCACAACTTGAAATCATCTTATTTTTCATTTTATTTACATGCTTATCTGTCCTTCATAGTAAATAAGCTCCAGAACAGAGACTTTGTTTTGTTCCTGCCCAGTTCCTAAAGTAGTACCTGGCAAAACAGGCCATTGGTGAATATTTACTGAATAAATTAATATCACAACATTAACTCATCTTAGGTGGTCTCTAGGCTTCCTGTCTTACTTCATTTAAATCCACCACCTACAACAGTCAGTGTGATCAGATCACTCACCTTAAGTCCTTTCATGACCCTTTTTTCTTACCTGATGAAGAACACACACACAAGACCCTCCGTGACAAATATCCTGACCTCGTGAGCTCAGAGAGGAAGCAGCATGTAAGATAGACTGAATGAATAGTGTTCACCAGACGGAGAAGAGAAAGGACACTACGGCTCAAAAGCTCAAAAAACACAATGCTTTGCAACAGTAATTTATGATGTGAAGAGCTGGGTGGGTTGATACAGAAATCCAGCTGGAAATAGATTTTGAAGATGCTCACAAACCACATTAGAGTGAGGACGGCAGGGCGCGGTGGCTCACGCCTGTAATCCCAGCACTTTGGGAGGGCGAGGCAGGCGGATCACAAGGTCAGGAAATGGAGACCATCCTGGCTAACATGGTGAAACCCTGTCTCTACTAAAAAATACAAAAAAATTAGCAGGGCGTGGTGGCGGGCGCCTGTAGTCCCAGCTACTCGGGTGGCTGAGGCAGGAGAATGGCGTGAACCCGGGAGGCGGAGCTTGCAATGAGCCGATATCGCACCACTGCACTCCAGCCTGGGTGACAGAGCGAGACTCCGTCTCAAAAAAAAAAAAAAAAACAAAAAAAAAAAACCGTGAGGACTTAAAAGGAGAAAGAAAATACAATAAAAATTAAATAAAAAGAATGATGACTTGATGCCCAAAGCATGTACAGTCTTAGAAACTTTATAGGAAGGGGAATGACAGGATTCAATGAATGTCTTAGGACATAAAAAAAGCGGGGGGCGACAGTGAGGAAAATGGATGGGATAGGAAGAGACAAGAGACAAACACCAGTGAGAAGACTACTCAATGCGACATAGATCATATTAAAAGATAAAGGCCAGAAACACAGCAGATGAGATGGAGATGAGCAGAGATTCAAAGGAGCTACACTAAACACTCATCTATTTTATTCAAATTTAACCTTATATCAAAGCAGGAAGTTTCCTTCAATATGGCCTATAAACTTAAACCAATGAAAAAAACAGTCCCCTAATCACTGTGGACCTTATTCTTCAACTACACACATTACACAGCTCTTACCAAACAGGAGTGCAGCTAGGATATGCCTGTCTCCTCCAACAGACTGAACAGCAGGTCTTCAAAGGCAGGGAGTGTGTCATATCCATTATTCAACACTCAATCTTTGCGAATGAATAAATGAACAAGTAGAAGGCTTTATGACTGAGGATTTGAAAACTGGATGGGCTTTAGGTCTAAAAGGGTGATTTCGGGCAAGCGCAATGGTATGAGCAAGTAGGAATGGTAAATGTGGGGAACACAGACACTATTCTAAAATAAGGAGGAAGATGTTGGTCCCCTGGTCCAGCCTTGGACAGGCCATGCCGTTTTCCTGTCTAATAGTCTCTCCCTCATCCACCTTTCCTCATTTCTTATGGCTCATTCCCTCACTTCTTACATATCTCTGCTCAAATATCATCTCACCAGAGGCCTTCCCTGAACAACCTATCCAAAATTTCACAGCACATTCCTTATACCCTCTCAAGGCCTTTGTTCTGTTGTTTTTCTTCTTAGATTATTGAAGAGATCCTCTAATGATTTTTATTCCTCTGTACCTAAAATAGAATTGGCTTAATTTCCAAGTGAAGTTCATTTGTCAGTTATTGTGACCAGAACCTACTAAAATCCACAGCACACTGAGTTTTTCTTTAATTTTAAATTAAATTCACTGTAAAAATTTTAAGTTCCATCACTTTTAAATCCTGTCACTTAAGTTCTTTCCAATAAAACCTGGATGCCACAAAGAATATGAATTTCTTGCGGGAAACATTCCGGACAAGGTCAGGAAATAATTTTATATTCCTTAATGTGGAAGATTCTAGGAATGGGAGCAATAATCCATAAAGAAAACCATTGAGATTAAGTAATTTCGAGGAACTAGAGCAATTAAGTACCAAATGCAAGATTTTAGGAGCACAGACTGTAGAGAGACAATAGGATTTTATGCCTTTTTAAATAAGTGGTTTACTTTGAGAGGCCAAGGCGGAAGGATCGCTTGGGCCCAGAAGTTCGAGATCAGCCTGGGCACCATAGCGAGACCCCCGCCCGTCTCTATCAAGAAAAAAAAAAGTGGTTTTTACAAAGTTAATTTCACAGGAGTCAATGACCAGAGGAAGCCACATGTGGTCAAAACAGCCCAGGTGAATCCCAGCCTCAGCCACGCGATATTATAGGCAGATGTGTGCTCCAGGGTGACTTTCTCTTGTCTGCTTTTCCCACGAAGAAGCGGAAAATTCTGCGAAGCGGCAAAATACATTTAAGCTTTTTGGGCCGGAGTTATTCTGAAGAGCAGGGCAAAGGCGGCCAGTGGCGACTTCAAATACTGCACTTGAGTAAAACAACTATTGGACCCGGGGCCCGAAGACTCATGTTAGCGACAGCCGAGACAGAGGATGGGGTAAAGAAATGCACGCCCAAATTCAAGTCGCCCTGGAGTCCCCACCCCGGGCCCCGCCGCCTCCGAGTTCAGGGTCCGCCCGGCCCCGCACGTCCCGCCGTCTCGTCGCTCGGGACATTGGCGCCCTACCTGCAGGCTTGTCTGCAGCCATCTTCCCGCTTCGACTCGGGTTCTTCCCTGCAGGTGGCGTGGCCCTGACTCCCGCCGCCGGGCTGGCCGCTGTCCTGGACCTCCGAGGACAACTCTGTGCCTACCCCGGCTCCGGGCCCCCAGGTTCCGGCTAGAGGAGTGGGCAGACGGCGGGCTGAGGAAGTGACGAGAGCTAGTTCCCGTCGTCTAGCAACAGCAACAGCTTCCCCACCAAGGGACCGCCACAGCCTCCCGCCATACACAGCTTCCGCCTCACGGCGTCCCGGTACCCACTACTTCCGGGGGCGGCAGCCTGCCGCGCCTGGAGCGCCGGCGTGGGAACTGCTACTGGCCCCGCCCCACGCCGACGTCCCCTCCGCGCCCCGCCTCCGGCCGGACGTACTCTGGCTGGAACCTCTGGATGTTCACAGGGCTGACGCGGTGGGACGTACGCGCGTCTGTCCTTTGCTTACTCTAATTAAAACACCGAGGTGTCAGAGCTTTTGTCCCTCAATGTTACATAATATTACAATAACCACATCTGACATTTATGTGCTAAGCACTGAGCCCTGCACTTGGTCTGTACTATCTCATTGATTTCTTGCAACCCCATGAGAGAGGCGCTGTTGAGGATTCCCGTTTAAAAAGAAACGCCTTTTATTTTAGAATAGTTGTAGTTGTGCAGAAAAGTTGCAAAGATGACACCTAGAGTTCCTGTCTCCTCACCTAGTTTCTCCTATTGTGAACATCTTAATTATTTTACTATGTTACGTTGATCACATCTAAGAAACCAGTTTGATTGGCGCACTATTACTCACTAAACTACACATTTTATTCACATTTACCAGCTTTCTTTCAATGTCCTTTTTTTGTTGTTGTTCCAGGATCCTGTCCAGGACACCATATTGCATTTATTCATTATGTCGTCTTAGGCTATTTTTGGCTGTGGCAGTTTCTCAGATTCTTCTTGTTTTTGATGACCTTGACAGTTTTGAAGAGTTACTCCTCAGATATTTGGTGGAATGTGCCTCAATTTGGGTTTGGCCAATATTTTTCTCATGGTTAGACTGGGGTTTTGGGTGTTTAGGAGGAAGACCACAAGGTGACTGGCTGTTCTCATCACATAGAATCAAGGGTACATGCTGTCAAAATGACATCACTGATCATGTTAACCTTGATTACCTCTCTAAGGTAGTGCTTGCCAGTTTTCTCTACTGTGCAATTACTCCTCCTACCCTTCCACACTACTTTGGAACCAAGTCAATAAATGCAACCCACACTCAAGGTGGGAAGGCGGGGTATTTAAGCTCTACCTCCTGCAGTGGGGAGTATGTACATAAATTATCTTCCCCAAGGGAAGTTTGCCTCTTCTCCCTCACTTAGCTATTTATATCAGTATGGACTCATGGATGTTTATCTTATAATGGTTACATTCCAATACTACATTATTTTGTTGCTAAAATTGTCCCAGCTTTGTTAATTGGGAGATTTTTCAGGTTTGTACCTGTTTTTTTCTTTTTTTTTAACTTTTGTTTTAAACTTTCTTTTAAAAAAGTATTTGTTTTTGGCCGGGCGTGGTGGCTCACACCTGCAATCCCAGCACTTTGGGAGGCCAAGGCAAGTGGATCACTTGAGGTCAGGAGTTTGTGACCAGCCTGGCCAACATGGTGAAACCCCGTCTCTACTAAAAATACAAAAATTAGCTGGGCGTGGTGGTGTGCACCTGTAATCCCAGCTACTTGGGAGGCTCAGGCAGGAGAATCCCTTGAATCCGGGAGGCGGAGATTGCAGTGAGCCAAGATTGCCCCACTGCACTCCAGCCTGGGCAACAGAGTGAGACTCTGTCTCAAAAAAAAAAAAAAGTATTTGTTTTTTCTTAAACTTTTTAATTCAGGCTAACATACACAAAGAAAAGTGCATGAATCATAAGTACAGTGTATTGACTTTTCATCAACTCAACACATACATATAACTAGCACCCAGAGAAAGGGCAGAGCTTTACCCATATCTGGGAGTTCCCCTCATGCCTCTTCCCATCTCTCCACAAAGATAATCATTATGCTGACATTTAACACTATGGATTAGCTTCACCTGCTTTTAAACTTAATGTATATACATTATACAATATATTTTTTAGGGTCTAGCTTCTTTTGCTCGATAGTATGAGATTCATTGACATTGTTGAATGAAGTTGTATTTGTTTCTCATTGTTATATATTATAATGTTACATTATGTGAATATTCCTTAATTTATGTATTCATTTTATTGTTGGGCATTTGGATATTTTATCTATTTTGAATAGGGCCAATATGATTACTCTAGTATGACTTTTGATGAATATGTGCCCACCATAAAAAGGCATACCTGGCTGGGCAAAGGCATACCTGGCCGGGCACGGTGGCTAATGCCTGTAATCCCAGCACTTTGGGAGGCCGAGGCAGGCAGATTACCTGAGATCAGGAGTTTGAGATCAGCCTGGCCAACATGGTGAAACCCCGTCTCTACTAAAAAAAAATACAAAAATTAGCCGGGCGTTGTGGCGGGTGCCTGTAATCCCAGCTACTTGGCAGGCTGAGGCAGGAGAATTGTTTGAACCCGGGAGGCAGAGGTTGCAGTGAGCCGAGGTCGTGCCATTGCACTGCAGCCTGGCCAACAAGAGCAAAAGTCTATCTCAAAAATAAATAAATAAATAAATAAAATAAAGAATAAAAAATAATAAAAAGGCACACCTGAAGTGTAGTAGGGAGCCTCTTAATGAAAAGGAATTAGGAGGAATCTCTTATAGAATTTGGGCTTATTCTAGAGGGATTGGGAAAGTAGGAGGCCAAATTTGAATTGGATGCTGTCAGGAAACAAGCAATTCAGTCTTGGTTTTATCTAAACAGAAGGAGGAACAAAGCAAGCTAGAGCTGTCATTGGTTAAAAAAAAAGCGGGATCATTTACATTAGAAGAAGGGGGTGTTTTCCCATTTGTGTGGTTGTTGAGGGCCTTGTTTCTGTCTTGTCCAAAACACGATCATGGTGAAACTGTCTATGAACATTGTTCATATTCTGTGAGTGCTGTTTATGTCCAGTTGGGAACATTCTACTAACAGAACTGTTTTTTTTTTTTTAATTTTCTTAGTCCCCTTTTCACTTTCTCACATGTGGTCACATCTATGTTGGTTCTTGTCCCCCATTTCATAGATAGGGAAACTGAGGCACAGATGTTAATCCACTTTCCCAAGCCACAAGACTGGTAAATGGCTATTATCTTAACCACTACATTCTAGATTCTAGGATTTGCTATTATATTGAAGATATTTGGGCTCTCTTCCCTCTACTTTCCGTATCAGCAGCTCTCCCTTTTTTCACAATCAGGCTGACATCAATGATGGATAACTAATTCAGGAGTGGGGAGGTGGAAAAGCTCAGTAGGATTTTGCTCCGTCATAAACTACGGTGAGTCACTTTACCTCCAGCTAATAATGATACCACTATCCATTCACAGTACTTTAGACTGTATGTGGTTTGTTTGTTTGTGTCTGTGTTTTGAGACAGGTTTCACTCTGTTACCCAGGCTGCAGTGCAGTGGTATAATCATGGCTCACTCCAGCCTCTAACTCCCAGTTTCAGGTGATTCTCCCACCTTAGCCTCCCAAGTAGCTGGGACTACAGGTGCACGCCACCACACCTGACTAATTTTTTATATTTTTGTTATTTTTATTTTTATTATTATTTATTTATTTATTTATTTATTTTGAGATGGAATTTCTCTCTTGTCAACCAGGCTAGAGTGCAGTGATGCGATCTTGGCTCACTGCAACCTCCACCTCCCGGGTTCAAGCAATCTTCCTGCCTCAGCCTCCCAAGTAGCTGGGATTACAGGCGCAAGCCACCGTGCTTGGCTAATTTTTCTTTTTTTAGTTCACCACATTGGCCAGGCTGGTCTCGAACTCCTGACATCAGGTGAACCACCCGCCTCAGCCTCTCAAAGCGCTGGGATTACAGGCGTGAGCCACCTCGCCTGGCCTAATTTTTTGTATTTTTGGTAGAGACCGGGTTTTGCCATTTTTCCCAGGCTGTTCTCAAACTCCTGGACTCAAGGGATACACCCACCTCGGCCTCCCAAAATGTTGGGATTATAGGTGTTAGCCACAGTGCCTGGCCTATATGTGATTCTTACTGCTTGTGGAAGACTGCCTCCAGAGAATCATACAATATGTGACCTTTTACATCTAGCTTCTTGGTTGACAACTCTTACCATCCCAATACGCACATGCTGCTCCTCCCATCCATCAGGAGGTGGAGTCGAACCCAATGTATAGCATGGTGACTATAGTTAATAATAATGTATTGTAAGGTTGGGTGTGGTGATTCACACCTGTAATCTCAGCACTTTGGGAAGCTGATGCAGGTGGATCACTTGAGCCTAGGTGTTTGAGACCAGCCTGGGAAACATAGCGAAACCCTGTCTCTACAAAAAATACAAAAATTTGCCAGGTGTGGTGGCAGGCACCTGTCGTCCCAGCTACTCAGGAGGCTGAGGTGGGAGGATTGCTTGAGCCTAGGAGTTGGAGGTTGCACTCCAGCCTGGACAACAAAGCAATATCCTGTCTCAATAATAATAATAATCATGTATTGTATATGTGGAGTCTTCAAAAAGTTCATGGAAAATATGTATTATGAAAAAACTATGCATGAATTTCAAACTCTTTTTGCACCAAAATAAATTCATACTAACTTATTATAACATGTCAAAATAGGATCCAGTTTGAGGCACTAAGAAAGATAAGACATCAGTTTGAAAAGAGCCCCTTTCAGAGCAATATGAATTCTGCTAAAATTGAAGCAAGAACAAACACCACATTTCTGGTAAAGCTTGGATGGAAGAATGGTGAAATAATTTATCCTTTATAAAAGGTTTATAAAGAGAATGCCCCCCGCAAATCAGTAGTTTACAAATGCATAACTCGTTTTAAGAAGGGATGAGATGGCCAGGTGCAGTGGCTCATGCCTGTAATTCCAACACTTTGGGAGGCCGAGGTGGGTGGATCACTTGAGGTCAGGAGTTCAAGACCAGCCTGGCTAAAATGATGAAACCTTGACTCTACTGAAAAAATACAAAAATTAGCCAGGCGTGGTGGGGCGTGCCTGTAGTCTTAGCTACTCAGGAGGCTGAGGCAGGGGGATTACTTGAACCCAGGAGGTGAAGCCGCAGTGAGCCAAGATCGTGCCACTGAACTCCAGCCTGGGTGACACAGTGAGATTCCATCTCAAAAAAAAAAAAAAAAAAAAAAGAAGGGATGAGACAATGTTGAAGACAAAGTGCAAAGTGGCAGATCATCCACATCAATTTTCAAGGAAAAAAATCTATCTTGGTTTGTGCCCTAATTGAGTAAGACAGACGATTAACAGCAGAAAAAATAGCCAATACCATAGACATCTCAATTGGTTCAGCTTACACAAGTCTGACTAAAAAATTAAAGTTGAGCAAAATTTCCATTAAATAGTTACTCAAACAGTTGCACCCTGATCAACTGTAGACAAGCAAAGGTTTCAATGGAAATTTTAAACAAATGGGATCAAAATTCTTAAGCATTTCTTCTAGGAATTGTAACAGAAGATGAAACATGGCTTTACCAGTACAATTTTGTAGACAAAGCATAATCAAAGCAATGACTACCAAGAGGTTGGAGGGGTCCAGTCAAAGCAAAAGCACACCAATCAAGATCAAAGATCGTGGCAACAGTTACTGGGGATGTTCAACTCATTTTGCTTGTTGACTTTCTGGAGGGCCAAAGAATAATAACATCTGCTTATTATGAGAGTGTTTTAAGAAAGTTAGCCAAAGTTTTAGGAAAAAAAGAAAAGAATTCCGGGTGCGGTGGCTCACGCCTGTAATCCCACCACTTTGGGAGGCTGAGGTGGGCAGATCACGAGGTCAAGAGAGCAAGACCATCCTGGCCAACATGGTGAAACTCTGTCTCTACTAAAAAATACAAAAATTAGCTGGGTGTGGTGGCATGTGCCTGTAGTCCCAGCTACTTGGGAGGTTGAGGCAGGAGAATCACTTGAACTAGGGCGGCAGAGATTGCAGTGAGCCAAGATCACACCACTGCACTCCAGCCTGGCGACAGAGTGAGACTCTGTCCCAAAACAAAACAAAACAAAAAACAAAAAAACTGAAAAGAAAAGAAACAAAACCACACAGGAAAGCTTTACTAGAGAGACTTTCTCCACCACAACAATGCTCCTGTTCATTCCTCTCATCAAACCAGGGCAATTTTTTGAGAGTTTCAGTGGGAAATCATTAGGCATCCACCTTACAGTCATGATTTGGCTTCTTCTGACTTTTTTTTTTCTAACCTTAAGGCTAAGGCAGGCAGATCACTAAAGAACTGAGGGGCCTGGGGATTTAACCATGTCAATGCATGTCTTTTTTTCATTGTTAGCTGAATAAAATGGGTGCCCTTTAAGATTTTTTTTTTTTTAATGGAGTCTCCCTCTGTTGCCCAGGCTGGAGTGCAGGGGCATGATCTCAGCTCACTGCAACCTCCACTTTCCAGGTTCAAGCCATTCTCATGCCTCAGCCTCCTGAGTAGCTGAGATTGCAGGCGTGCGCCACCACACTGGGCTAATTTTTGTATTTTTAGTAGAGAGAGGGTTTCACCAAGTTGCCCAAGCTAGTCTCAAACTCCTTACCTCAAGTGATCTGGTATCATCATTTATAAGTGTCTTGAACTCAATGAAGTTTATGTTAAGAAATGAAGTTTATCTTTTTAATTCTATTTTTCCATGAACTTTTTTTTTTTTTTTGAGACAAAGTTTCACTATTGTCACCCAGGCCGGAGTGGACTGGCTCAATCTCGGCTCACTGCAACCTACGCCTCCTGGGTTCAAGTGATTCTCCTGCCTCAGCCTCCCAAGTAGCTGGGATTACAGGCGCCCACCACCAAGTCCAGCTAATTTTTTGTATTTTTAGTACAGACGGGGTTTCACTATGTTGGCCACGTTGGTCTCAAACTCTTGACCTCAGGTGATCCACCCGCCTTGGCCTCCCAAAGTGCTGGGATTACAGGCGTGAGCCACTGCGCCTGGCCCAAACATCAATTTTCTAAGTGACCCATTTAGGCTCACTGCAACCTCTGCCTCCTGGGTTCAAGTGATTCTCCTGCCTCAGCCTCCCAAGTAGCTGGGACTACAGGCGCCCGCCACCACGGCCGGCTTATTTTTTGTATTTTTAGTGGAGACGGGGTTTCACTATGTTGGCCAGGATGGTCTCAATCTCTTGACCTCGTGATCTGCCTGCCTCGGCCTCCCAAAGTGCTGGGATTACAGGCGTGAGCCACCGCGCCTGGCCCATGTTATTCTTTTAAACTGCTGAGTTTGAAGATGCTTTGTTGTGCAGCAACAGGTAACTGAAACATCTACTAATTCATTTCCCCATCTAGTTCAACCAACCAAGGTCTGTGCATTCTACTTCTTAAATAGGCTGGATCTTCCCATTCTCACTGCTACTCCATTCCTAAGCCTAAATCCCAACTGAGACTAGCGCCACTTCAACCTTTTCATCTGGTCTGTTTTCCTCCAGAATCCTTCCATTTAGCCAAAGATTTTTAGAAATATGAATTGGATTATATCCACACCCATTTAAGACAATTCAATGCTCTTAGTACCAAGTCCAAACTCCTTAAAAGGCCTTTTTTTTTTTTGAGATGGAGTTTTGCTCTTGCCCAGGGTGGAGTGCAATGGCGAGATCTTAGCTCACTGTAACTTCCAACTCCCGGTTCAAGTGATTCTCCTGCCTCAGCCTCTGGAGTAGCTGGGATTACGGGTGCCCGCCACCACATCTGGCTATTTTTTTGTACTTTTAATAGAGACAGGGTTTCCCCATGGTGCTCAGGCTGGTCTCGAACTCCTAATATCAGGTGATCCACCCGGCTTGGGCTCCCAAATTGCTGGGATTATAGGTGTGAACCACTGTGCCCGACCTACAAGGACTTTTAAGGGCCTTCACAATCTGGCTGTGACCTCTGGCTTCATGTCTCCATACTCCCCACTTTGGCCATATTACTGGGGTTCCTCAGAGGCACTATATTGTTTTTTTGCATTTGCCATGGCATTTGTCTATAATCCCCTTTAGCCTCCACTCCACATGCTCTTTTTTTTTTTTTTTTTAAGACTGAGTCTCTCTGTCACGCAGGCTAGAGTGCAGTGGCACAATTTCAGCTCACTGCAACCTCTGCCTCCTGGGTTCAAGCAATCCTCTTGCCTCAGCCTCCTGAGTAGCTGGGACTACAGGCATGCAGCATCATGCCTGGCTAATTTTTGTATTTTTAATGGAGATGGGGTCTCACCATGTGCCCAGGCTGGTCTCGAATTTCTGACCTCAGGTGATCCACCTGCCTTGGCCTCCCAAAGTGCTGAGATTACAGGCGTGAGCCACTGTGCCTGGCCACACACTCTTGTGTAGCCAATGCCATCACCTTCCAAGGAAGGACGAGTGTCATTTTCCCAAGAAGACTTTTTTGACTGCCAAAGACTGTACTACTAGCACTTTGGGAGGCCAAGGCAGGCGGATCACGAGGTCAAGAGATTGAGACCATCCTGGCCAACATGGTGAAACCCCGTCTCTACTAAAAATACAAAAATTAGCTAGGCGTGGTGGCGTGCACCTGTAGTCCCAACTACTCGGGAGGCCGAGGCAGGAGAATCGCTTGAACCTGGGAGGCAGAGGTTGCAGTGAGCCAAGATCGTGCCAGTGCACTCCAGCCTGGCGACAGAGCGAGACTCCATCTCAAAAAAAAAAAAAAAGACTGTACTAACATCTTTCAAATCTTCTATTACACTTCGGGGACAATCTCTTGGCATGAATCCCCTTGCCACCACCCTAACTGTAATCTCCAAATTCTGCCTTTAAATATTATCAATATTGTATTTCCATTGATTTGTATATGCGTCCGATGCGTAGTAAGCACTATGATATCTGTAACCACACAACTTTAAAATATAATTCCTCACTATATCGGGGTGTTAAACAGTCTTTACTTTTGTATGGCCTTTGATGGTTTCATACAGAGTTTGTACAATTATTTCTCTTTTTATCCTTAACATCCCTGTGATAAGGATATTCATACCCATTTTATAGATAAGGAAAGTGCGGCTTTTTTTGATTTCTGAAAAGTAAATCAGTAGATCAACTTGCTCAGCTAGTAAGTATTAGAACTAGAACTTGAAAAGAGTTCTTGGACTCTAGATGTGACTCTTTCTAGGTCCCTGAGGGTTAAATCAAGGTGTTATTATTCCCATAATCAAGATTTAGATGGAAACTACAAATGGTTTTGCAACTGATTCATCACAGGAACACTCTGTTACCAAGAAGTACTACAAAGGTGCAAAAGCATAAATTTCTGCCCCTTTTTCCAAAGCAGTAACATACCCAGGGACATCAAGCCCCTGGCCCAACTGTGCTTCTCTTTCACTGGCTGTTCAAATCAAGCTTCCAAGGGAAAGCTATTTGCTAACTTAAAGTGTGGTAGTAACCGTTGGACCCAAGTCTGGTAAATTTTGTTTGACCTGCCTTGGCCTCCCAAAGCCCTGGGATTATACTTATTTGTCAATGAAGTCATGTACTTGGGTAGTACACATGCACTGCAAATATTTATGTTGTCTAACTGAACCAGGGTCCCTTCACCTGGCACAGTAAGGCCAAATACCCACACCAAGGTTTGTGGTGGGAGAAAGGAGTGTTTATCTGTAGGGCACCAAGCAAGGAGAATTGGGCAGCTCATGCTTAAGATCCAACCTTCTTGATGGCTTGCAAGTAAGGGTTTTTAAAGGTAGGTGGGGGCAGGTGTGGTGGCTCACACCTATAATCTCAACACTTTGGGAGGCTGAGGTGTGAGGATCACCTGAGCCCAGGAGGTCAAGGCTGCAGTGAGCAGTATCCTTGCCATTTCATTCCAGTCTGGGTAACAGATCGAGAACCTGTCTCAAAAAAAAAAAAAAAAAAAGTTCAGCCATAATTTATAAGGTTATAACTCATGAAAGGGATTTCCTTTGCCCTTGGCTCTACATTTTGTCCTTGTTGTGCTCTGCTCTGCTCTGTATCACAGGGCTCACTCCTCTAGGCTGCTTCCCAGGCTCCCATGTCAGCTGGCTTCAGTGAAATTCAGTCAACAGAAGGCATCAGTGAGAGATTATGGGGCAAGAGGAAGGGCAAGGTGTTTCTCCCTTTCCATGTCTGCCTCAGAAGTCTTTCTGGCAAAGGCTTTATCCCCAAACAGTCCCATGATGGTTCTGGCTTTGTTCAGTGACGCCAGCCCTTGGATGTCAGAAACATCTCTTCCATCCTTCCCTTTCTCCTGTAGCTGAGGGTGGTGGTGGTATTCTTCTGTTGCTAAGGCCTGGGTTGCTTTACTCCTTTGCTTGGTTTCTCAGCTCTTCCATCCAATTCCTACTATTTGATTCCTCCTTTTTTAATTTATTTTTAATTTTTTAATTTTTTTTTTTGAGATGGAGTCTCACTCTGTCACCCAGGCTGGAGTGCAGTGGTGCAACCTCTGCTCACTGCAACCTCTGCCTCCTGGGTTCAAGCGATTCTCTGCCTCAGCCTCCTGAGTAGCTAAGGTTACAGGCACCCACCACCACACCCGGCTAATTTTTGTATTTTTAGTAGAGACGGGGTTTCACCATCTTGGCCAGGCTGGTCTTGAACTCCTGACCTTGTGATTCACCTGCCTTGGCCTCCCAAAGTGCTGGGATTACAGGCGTGAGCCACTGCATCCGGCTCAATTCCTTCTTTTTTTTTTTTTAATTAAAAAAAAAAGTATTGAAGTGTTTTTTAAATGCTTACAGTGGTTTCTGTTTTCCTGGCTAGATCCTCACTGATATAACTCTTTGGCAAAAGACTTAGAAAAAACAAATTAACAGATAAGTCTCCTCCTCTTTCATCCCAAGGCTTCCTGACAGAGCTTGCTTATTTCTTGTAGAGATGTCTTACAATGTTTGGTGGCATTTGGTGGTTTTATCATTTTTCTTTTCTTTTCTTTTGTTGCCTCGCCTTCCCCGCCCCCTCCCCCTCTTTTTTTTTTTTTTGAAACAGGGTCTCGGTCTGTCACTCAGACTGAAGTGCAGTGGCTCCATCTCGGCTCATTGCAGGCTTGACTTCCCAGGCTCAAGTGATCCTCCCACTTCAGCCTCACACCTGACTTTTTTTTTTTTTTTTTCATTTTTGGTAGAGGTGGGGTTTCACTATGTTGCCCAGGCTGATCTCAAACTCCTGAGCTCAAGCTATCAGCCTGCCTTTGGCCTCCCAAAGTACTGGGATTACAGGTGTGAGTCACAGCACCCTATATTTTGTATCTCTATACAGATACAAAATATTGTTGATAGGCTGGGAATGGTGGCTCAAGCCTGTAATCCCAGCACTTTTTTTTTTTTTTTTTTTTTTTTTTTTTTTTTTTTTTTTTTTTTTTTGAGACGGAGTCTCGCTCTGTCGCCCAGGCTGGAGTGCAGTGGCGGGATCTCGGCTCACTGCAAGCTCCGCCTCCCGGGTTCACGCCATTCTCCTGCCTCAGCCTCCCAAGTAGCTGGGACTACAGGCGCCCGCCACTACGCCCGGCTAATTTTTTGTATTTTTAGTAGAGACGGGGTTTCACCGTTTTAGCCGGGATGGTCTCGATCTCATGACCTCGTGATCCGCCCGCCTCGGCCCCCCAAAGTGCTGGGATTACAGGCGTGAGCCACCGCGCCCGGCCAATCCCAGCACTTTGGAAGGCCGAGGCGGGCGGATCACGAGGTCAGAAGTTCGAGACCAGCCTGGCCAACATGGTGAAACCCCGTCTCTACTAAAAATACAAAAATTAGCCGGGCGTGGTGGCGGGCGCCTGTAATCCCAGCTACTCTGGAGGTTGAGGCAGGAGAATTGCTTGAACCCGGGAGGTGGAGGCTGCAGGGAGCTGAGATCATGCCACTGCACTCCAGCCTGGGCGACAGAGTGAGACTCCGTCTCAAAAAAAAAAAAAAAAGGCAGGGCGCGGTGGCTCACACCTGTAATCCCAGCAGTTTTGGAGGCTGAGGCTGGCAGATCACCTGAGGTCGGGAGTTCGAGACCAGCCTGGCCAGGATGGTGAAACCCCATCTCTACAAAAATACAAAAATTAGCAGGATGTGGTGGCAGGTGCCTGTGATCCTAGCTACTCGGGAAGCTGAGGCAGGAGAATCGCTTGAACTCGGGAGGCAGAGGTTGCAGTGAGCTGAGATCGCGCCATTGCACTCCATCCTGGGTACCTGAGCGAGACTCCGTCTCAAAAAATATATATATTGTTAATAGAAGTATTAATAGTATAATGGGATTTTCACTATTGTATCTGTATTTTGTAATTCTGTGTCAAATTACCAATGAAGAGTGTTTTTCAATGATCTATTGGTGCCATCTCCTGTGGACATTTTAAATTTACTTGTAAAAAAATATATATTTTAGATATACTTTTATTATTCTTTGAAACATAAATCCAATAAATTATTTCAACTATAAGTATGGGGAATTTGAGGAATAATGTTTTTATCATCATCATCATTATGAGATTTTTCAAAACACTGAAAAGTACAGAATATAATATGACAAGTCTATTTACCACCCAGATTGAACAAAGCTCAATGCTTGCCACATTTACTCGGGATATTTTATTGACAAATATGCAGGTTAGTCCAGGTGCGGTGGCTCACACCTATTACAGGTGTGACTTATCAGTCTGTAACTCCTTTTTTTTTTTTTTTTTTTTTGAGACAGGATCTCTCTCTGCCACTTAGAGCGCAGTGGCGTGGTCATGGCTCACTGCAGCCTCGATCTCCCAGGCCCAAGCATCCTCCCACCTCAGCCTCCTGAGTAGCTGGGATTACATGCATGTGCCACCATGTCCAGCTTATTTTTAAATTTTTTGTGCAGACGAGGTTTTGCCATGCTTCCCAGGCTGGTCTTGAATTCCTAACCTCAGGTGATCCGCCCACTTCAGCTTCCCAAAGTGCTGGGATTAGGGGCGTGAGCCACTTCTCCCAATCCCTTTACTTTTTTTTTTTTTTGAGACGGAATCTTGCTCTGTCGCCTAGGCTGGAGTGCAGTGGCCCAATCTCGGCTCACTGCAACCTTCTTCTCACAGGTTCAAGCGATTCTCCTGCCTCAGCCTCCCAAGTAGCTGGGATTACAGGCGTGTGCCACCATGCACAGCTAATTTTTTTTTTTTTTGTATTTTTAGTGGAGATGGGGTTTCACCATGTTGGCCAGGCTGGTCTCAAACTTCTGACCTCAAATGATCCATCCACCTCGAACTCCCAAAGTGCTGGGATTACAGGCAAGCGCCACAGGGCCCAGTCTCCTTTACTTCTTCTTCTTGGCTTTTTATTTATTTTTATTTTTATTTTTTTATTTTTGACACAGAGTCTCACACTGTTGCCTGCCCAGGCTGGAGTGCAGTGGCGTGAACTTGGCTCATTGCAACCTTGGCCTGCCAGGCTCAACCGATTCTCCTGCCTCAGTATCCTGAGTAGCTGGGATTACAGGTGCACGCCACTACCGCCCAGCTAATTTTTGTATTTTTAGTAGAGGCGGTATTTCCCCATGTTGGCCAGGCTTGTCTTGAACTCCTGATCTCAAATGAGCCACCCTCCTTGGCCTCCCAAAGTGCTGGTGTTACAGGCGTGAGCCACCACACCTGGCCCCTTTACTTCTTTAATCATGGTTTCCTTTAGTTTGTTCCAACATATCTATAACAAGTATTATACTTTGAAGGATTTGTTTGTTAAATCTGAAGTCTGCTTGCTCTCACATGCAGTATCTGTTGCCTGTATTTTTTTGTTTGTTGTTTGTTTTCTAGAGTGAATCACACTTTCTTGTTTCTTTGTATGTTCTATAATTGTTTTTGTCAGTAACATTTTAGTAATACTGAGATGTTAAGCCAGCTGGGCTTCCGGGTTGAGTGGGGACTTGGAGAACTTTTCTGTCTAGCTAAAGGATTGTAAATGCACCAATCAGCACTCTGGGTCTAGCTAAAGGTTTGTAAATGCACCAATCAGCACTCTGTCAAAGCGGACCAATCAGCACTCTGTAAAATGGACCAATCAGCTCTCTGTAAAGTGGACCAATCAGCAGGATGTGGGTGGGGCCAAATAAGGGAATAAAAGCAGGCCACCTGCACAGGGGCTGCAACCCCCTGGGGTCACTGTGGATGGTTTGTTTTTCTGCTTTTCCTAATAAATCTTGCTGCTGTTTGCTCTTAGGGTCCGCACTACCTTTATGAGCTGTAGCACTCAGCATGAAGGTCTGCAGCTTTACTGTTGAAGCTAGCGAGACCACAAACCCAGTGGGAGAAACCAACCATTCTGGACCTGCCACCTTTGAGAGCTGTAACAGGGTGAAGGTCTGCAGTTTCACTCCTTAAGTCAGTGAGACCATGAACTCACCTGGAGGAAGGAACGACTCCCGACGTGCCACCTTTAAAGAGCTGTAATACTCACAGCGAAGGTCTGCAGCTTCACTCCTGAAGTTAGCGAGACCACGAACCCACCAGAAGGAGGAAACTCCCGACACATCCGAACATCTGAAGGAACAAGCTCTGAACACACTGTCTTTAAGAACTGTAACACTCACCGAGAGGGTCCGCAGCTTCATTTTTGAAGTCAGCGAGACCAAGAACCCACCGGCAGGAACCATTTCCGGACACAATACATTGTAGTAACTCTGTATACTGTCCCCTTCCTCTGTTTATTTGGTGGCTGGCTAGATTATTTTAGTATAGTCTGTTCTCCCTGCTTCCCCTCACTATGTCAAGCTCCTCACTGTGTCCAGCTCCTCAGGGGAAAAGACTGCTGCTCCTGAAGGGAAAAAGCTGAGTGTCCACTGTCACGCCAGGTTGACAGCGGTTTTAGCTAATTTCTTAGTTCCATTCTCTTATTTTGGGAGTTCAGATATGTTCTCTTACTAAAACATAAGACAATACTTTTAAAAACTGAAAAAATATGAAATAACTATTGGCTTTAATATTGACATTCTGTATTCAATATTTTTACACCAAATTCTCTACTGACATTTGTAGATGCACACCTTTTTTTTTAGGACGGATTCTCGCTCTGTCGCCCAGGCTGGAGTGCAGTGGCACAATCTTGGCTCACTGCAACCTCCGCTTCCCGGGTTCAAGCGATTCTCCTGCCTCAGCCTCCCGAGTAGCTGGGCTTATGGGCGCCTGCCACCATGCCCAAATAATTTTTGTATTTTTTTGGTAGAGACGGGGCGTCACTATGTTGTTGGCCAGGCTGGTCTCAAAACTCCTGACCACGTGATCTGCCCGCCTCAGCCTTCCAAAGTGCTGAGATTACAAGCGTCAGCCACTGCCCCTGGCCACCTTAAAAAAAAAAGAATTATTTTTGGCTGTATGTGGTGATTCATGCCTGTAATCCCAGCACTTTGGAAGGCCGAGGCAGGTGGATCACTGGAGGTCAGGAGTTGGAGACCAGCCTGGCCAACATGGTGAAACCCCATCTCTACTTAAAATACGAAAAAAAAAAAAAAATTAGCTGGGCTTGGTGGTGTGTGCCTGTAGTCTCAGCTACACAGGAAGCTGAGGTGGGAGAGTTGCTTGAATCCAGGTGGTGGAGGTTACAGTGAGCCGAGATTATGCCACTGCACTCCAGCCTAGGCGACAGAGTGACCCTGTCTCAGAAAAACAAAACCAAAAAACCTTTTATTTTTATCTAATTTCAGACTTAGAAAAAAGTTCCGAGAATTCCCATATACCTTTCAATCAGCTTCATCTAATGCTACCTTCTTATATAACCATAGTACAGTCATTAAAACCAGGAAATTAATCTTGGTATAACACAGGCATACATTGTTTTATTGTACTTTGCTTTATTGTGCTTTGCAAATAGTTTTTTTTTTTTTTAAATAAGTTGAAAGTTTGTGGCATCCCTGCATCACACAAGTCTATCAGCACCATTTTTCCAATAGCATGTACTCACTTTTTGTCACGGTGTCACGTTTTGGTAATTCTCACAATACTTCAAACCTTAGCATTATTGTTATATCTGTTATGGTGATCTGTATTTAGTGATGTTTGATGTTACTATGTAATTGTTTTGGGGTGCCATGGACTGTGCCCACATAGGACAGCAAAGTTATTGATCAATACGTGTGTTCTGACTGCGTCATGGATTGGCCATTCCCCTATATCAGGGTTCCCCAACACCTGGGTCACAGACTAGTACCAGTCCATGGCCTGTTAGGAACCGGGCTGCACAGCAGGAGGTAAGAGGCAGGTGAGCCAGCAAAGCTTCATCTGTATCGTATTTATAGCCACTCCCCATTGCTCACATTACTTCCCGAGCTCCGCCTCCTGTCAGATCAGCAGCGGCATTAGATTTTCGTAGGTGTGTGAACCCTGTTGTGAACTGCACATGTGAGGGATCTAGGTTGTGTGCTCCTTACGAGAATCTAATGCCTGATGATCTGTCACTGTCTTTCATCACTCCCAGATGGGACTACCTAGCTGCAGGAAAGCAAGTTCAGGGCTCCCACTATGGTATGTTATGGTGAGTTGTAAAAATATTTCATTACGTATTACAATGTAATAATAGAAATAATGTGCACAATAAATGTAATGTGCTTGAATCATCCCGGAACTACTTCCCCATCCCCCAGTCCATGGAAAAATTATCTCCATGAAACTGGTCCCTGGTGCCAAAAAGGTGGGGACTGCTGCTCTCTCTCCCTCTTTTTGGACCTTCCTATCCCCTGAGACACAGCAATATTGAAATTAGGCCAATTAATAACCCTGCAATGGCCTCTGAGTGCTCAAGTGAAAGGAAGAGTCCCACATCTCTCACTTTAAACCAAAAGCTAGAACTTTCATACAATTTTGAACACAAGTAGTGAGAATGATTAAGCTTAGTGAGGAAGGCTTGTTGAAGGCCAAGACAGCCTGAAAGCCAGGCGTCTTGCTCCCAGCAGTTAGCCAAGTTGTGATTGCAAAAGAAAAGTTCTTGAAAGAAATTAAAAGTAGTACTCCAGGCCAAGCATGGTGGCACATACCTGTAATCTCAGTGCTTTGGGAGGCCAAGGCAGGAGGATAACTTAGCCCAGGAGTTCAAGACTAGCTTGGGCACATAATGAGATCTTATCTCTACAAAAAATAGAAAATAAAAATTAGCCAGATGTGGTGGCATGAGCCTGTAGTCCCAGGTACTTAGGATTGAGTACAGCCTGTAGTCCTGTACTCAGATACAGGCATGAGCCTGTAGTCCCAGGTACTGAGGCAGGAGGATCGCTTGAGCCCAGAAGTTTGAGGTTGCAGTTAGCTATGATCACACCACTGCACATCAGCCCGGGCAACAGAATGAGATTCTGTCTCAAAAAATAATAGCAAATAAATAAATAAAAGTGCTACTTCAGTGAACACACAAATGCTAAAAAAGCAAAATAGCTTTATTGCTGATACGTAGGAAGTTTGAGTGGTCTGGGTAGATCAAACCGGTCACAATATTCCCTTAAGCCAAAGCCTAATCAAGAGCAAGGCTCTAACTGTCTTCAATTCTATGAAGACTAAGAAAGGTGAGGAAGCTTCAGGAAAGAGTTTGAAGCTAGCACTGGTGGATTCATGAGGTAAAGGAAAGAAGTCATCTCCATAACATAAAAGTGCAAGGTGAAGCAGCATGTACTTTTGTAGAAGCTGCAGCAAGTTACCCAGATCTAAGATCATTGGTGAAGATGGCTACACTAAACAACAAATATCCAATGTAGATGAAGCAGTTTTATATTGGAACAAGATGCCATCTAGGACTTTTATAGCTAGAGAGGAGAAGTCAATGTCTGGCTTCGAAGCTTCAAAGGACAGGTTGACTCTCTTGTTAGGGGTTGATGCAGCTGGTGACCTTAAGTTGAAGCCAATGGTCATTTACCATTCTGAAAATCCTAAGCCCCTTAAGAATTGTGTTAAATCTACTGTGTCTGTACTTTACAAATGGAACAACAAAGCCTAGATGACAGCATATCTGTTTACACATTTGGTTTACTGAATATTTTAAGCCCACTGTTGAGAACTGCTGCTCAGACAAAAGATTGTTTTCAAAATATTAGTGCTCATTGACAATGCACCTTGTCACCCAAGAGCTCGGATAGACATGTACAAGGAGATGAATGTTGTTTTCATACCTGCTAACACAACATTCAGACAGCCCATGGATCAGGGAGTAATTTCAACTTTCAAGTCTTATTATTTAAAGAATACATTTTGTAAGGCTATAGCTGCCATAAATAGTGATTCCCCTGATGGATTCGGGGAAAGTAAATTGAAACCCTTTGGAAAAGATTCACCATTCTAGATGCCATTAAAGAACATTCATGATTCATGGAAGGAGGTCAGAATATCAGGATTCATAGGAGTTTGGGAGAAGTTGATTCCAACCCTCATGGAAGACATTGAGGAGTTCAAGACTTCAGTGAGAAGTCACTGCAGATGTGGTAGAAAATAGCAAGATAACTAGAATTAGAAGTAAAGCCTGAACATGTGACTGAATTGCTGCAACCTCATGATAAAACTTGAATAGATAGGAGATGTTTCTTACGGAAGAGTAAAGAAAGAGGTTTCTTGGCCAGGCGTGGTGGCTCACACCTGTAACACCAGCACTTTGGGAGGCCAAGGTGGGCAGGTCACTTGATGTCAGTAGTTCGAGACCAGCCTGGCCAAAATGGCGAAAACCTATCTCTACTAAAAATACAAAAATTAGCCCAGCGTGGTGGTGGGCGCCTGTAATCCCAGCTACTCAGGAGGCTGAGGCAGGAGAATCACCTGAACCCAGGAGGTGGGGGTTGCAGTGAGCTGAGATTGCGCCACTGCACTCCAGCCTGGGTGACAGAGCAAAACTCGGTCTTGAGAAAGGAAAAAAAAAAACGTGGTTTCTTGAGACAAAGTCTACTCCTGGTGAAGATGCTGTGAACATTGTTTGTTTTGTTTTGAGATGGAGTCTTGCTCTGTTGACCAAGCTGGAGTGCAGTGGTGTGATCTCAACTCACTGCAACCTCCACCTCCCAGGTTCAAGCGATTCTCTTGCCTCAGCCTCCTGAGTAGCTGGGATTACAGGCACATGCCACCATGCCCGGCTAATTTTTGTATTTTTTGTAGAGACAGGGTTTCACAGTGTTGCCCAGGCTGGTCTTGAACTCCTGAGCTCAAGCAATCTGATTGCCTCAGCTTCTGCAAAGTGCTGGGATTACAGATATGAGCCACTGTAACCCGGCCAGTGATCACTGTTGAAATGACAACAAATAATTTAGAATATTACATACATTTAGTTAATAAAGAAGTGGCATATTTGAAAGAAGTTCTACTGTGGGGTGAAATGCTATCAAACAGCATCGCATGCTGCAGAGAAATCTTTCATGAAAGGAAGAGCCCATTGGTGTGACAAGCTTCATTGTTGTCTTACCTTAAAAATTGCCACAGGCATTCCAACCCTCAGTAACAACCACCCTGATCAGTAAGCAGCCATCCACATGGAGGCAAGACCCTCTAACAGCAAAAAAATTACAAATGTGTTGAAGGCTCAAATGATTATTAGCATTTTTTAGCAATAAAGTATTTTTATTTTTCTTGAGACAAGGTTTCGCTGGTCACCCAGGCTGGAGTGCAGTGGCATGCTCACTCCTGCACTCTTAACAGACTTAAGCTATAGTATAAACATAATTTTTATATGCACTGGGGGACCAAAAAATTTATGTGGTTTGGTTTATTGCAATACTTTATTGCAGTGATCTGGAACCAAACCTGCAATATCTCCAAGGTGTGCCTGTACTATTATTTAAAGCGTAGAACTTATCCAAATTTCAGCAGTGTTTCCAATGATGCCCTTTTTCTGTTCCAGGATTTCACATTCACATAGCATTTAGTTATTATTTCTCTTTAGTCTTTTTGTTTTGTTTTGTTTTGTTTTGTTTTGTTTGAGACAGTGCCTTACTCTGTAGCCTAAGCTGGAGTGTACTGGCATGATCGTGACTTACTGCTGCCTCTAACCCCAGACTCAAGGGATCCTCTCACCTTAGCCTCCTGAAGAAAAAAAAGAGGTGAGTGTGGTGGTGTGTACTTATAGTCCTCCCAAGTAGCTAGGACTGTACACACACATCGCCACACTCACCTCATTTTTTTGTTTTTTTGTAAAGACGAGGTCTCACTTTGTTGCCCAGCCTTCTCCTAGTCTTTTGTTGCTGTTATTTTAGAGTTAGGGTCTTGCTCTGTCACCCAGACTAGAGTACAGTCACACAATCATAGCTTACTACAGCCTTGACTTCCTGGGCTCAAGTGATTCTCCTACCTCCTCCTCTCTAGTAGCTAGGATTATAGGCATATGCCACCATGTCAAGCTAATTTTTTCAAACCTTTTTTTTTGAGAGACAGAGCCTTGCCATACCGCCCAGGCTCTGAGTCTCTTCTAATGTCCTCAGTCTTTCTTTATCTTCCAATGATCTTGACAGTTTTTGAAGACTACTGGTCAGTTTGGAGAAATTTGGAGAACGCCCCTCAATTTGGGTTTGTTTGATGTTTTCTCATGGTTAGAATAAGGTTATGCATTTTCGGAAAGGATATTACAGAAATACAGCCATGCATTGCTTAAGGACAGGGATACCTACTGAGAAATGTGTCATTAGGTGATTTCATCATTGTGTGAACATCACAGAGTGTATTTACACAAACCTGGATAGTATATCCTACTACACACCTAGGCTATAGTGTAGCCAATTGCTCCCAGGCTACAAACCTGAACAACATGTTACTTTACTGAATACTGTAGGCAATTGTAACACAATGGTAAATATTTGTGTACCTAAACATAGAAAGGACACAGTAAATGATAGTATAAAAGATAAAAAATGGTACACCCTTATAGGGCACTTGCCATGAATGGAGTTTGCAGGGCTTGAAGTTACTCCGAGTGAGTCAGTGAGTGAGTGGTGAGTTAATGTGAAAGCCCACGACATTGCTGTACACTTCTGTAGACTTTATAAGCACTGTACACTTAAACTACACTACCTTTATAGAAAGAAAATTTTTCTCTTTATTATTTATATATTTATTTATTTGGAGACAGAGTTTTGCTCTTGTTGCCCAGGCTGGAATGCAGTGGCACGATCTCAGCTCACTGCAACCTTCGCCTCCCAGGTTCAAGTGATTCTCCTGCCTCAGGATCCCGAGTAGCTGGGATTACAGGCACATGCCACCACGCCCGGCTAATTTTTGTATTTTTAGTAGAGATGGGGTTTCACCGTGTTGGCCAGGCTGGTCTCAAACTCCTGACCTCAGGTGATCCACCCGCCTTGGCTTCCCAAAGTGAAACGATTACAGGCGTGAGCCAACACACCCGGCATTATTTACTAATTTTTTTTTTTTTTTTTTTTGAGACGGAGTCTCGCTCTGTCGCCCAGGCTGGAGTGCAGTGGCGCAATCTCGGCTCACTGCAAGCTCCGCCTCCTGGGTTCACACCATTCTCCTGCCTCAGCCTCCTGAGTAGCTGGGACTACAGGCGCCCACCACCATGCCCGGCTAATTTTTTGTATTTTTAGTAGAGACAGGGTTTCACCTTGTTAGCCAGGATGGTCTCGATCTCCTGACCTCGTAATCCACCCGCCTCGGCCTCCCAAAGTGCTGGGATTATAGGCGTGAGCCACCGCGCCTGGGCTATTTATTAATTTTTTAATTAAAAAAAAAGAGACAGGGTCTCACTATGTTGCCCAGGCCAGTCTCGAACTCCTGGGCTCAAGCGATCTTCCCACCTTGGCCTCCCAAAATGCTGGGATTACAGGTGTGAGCCACTGCACCTGGCCAGAAATTTATCTTCAATGATAAATTAACCTTAGTTAACCCTATAATAACAATGCCTGGCTGGGTGCAGTGGCTCACGCCTATAATCCTAGCACTTTGGGAGGGCAAGGCAGGTGGATCACCTGAGGTCAGGAGTTCGAGACCAGTCTGGCCAACATGGCAAAACCTTGTCTCTACTAAAAATACAAAAATTAGCTAGGCATGATGGCGATGCCTGTAGTCCCAGCTACTTGGGAGGCTGAGGCAGGAGAGTTGCTTGAACCTGGGGGGTGGAGGTTGCAGTGAGCTGAGATCGTGCCACTTCACTCCAGCCTGGGCAAAAGAGCGAGACTGTCTCAAAACAAACAAACAAACAAACAAAAACAGTGCCTGCCTTTGGAATACCTGCTGAGGAACCTGCCTCAGGCTGTTTTACAGTTAACTTTTTTTGTAATAAGTAGAAGGAGTACACTCTAAAATAATGAAAAAAGTACAGCATAGTAAATACATAAACTAGTAACATAATTTTTAAATATCATTACCAAGTATTATGTGCTGTACATAATTGTATGTGTTATACTTTATTTCCGCACAAGAAAGAAATGAACTTTTGTTTTTTTTTTGGAGGTGGAGTTTTGCTCGTCACCCAAGCTGGAGTACAATGGCGCAAACTTACTGCAACCTCTGCCTCCTGGGTTCAAGCAATTCTCCTGCCTCAGCCTCCAAAGTAGCTGGGATTACAGGCATGCACCACCACTCCTGGCTAATTTTTGTTTTATTAGCAGTGACGGAGTTTCACCATGTTGGCGAGGCTGGTCTCGAACTCCTGGCCTCAGGTGATCCACCCACCTTGGCCTCCCAAAATGGTGGGATTACAGGCGTGAGCCACCGGGCCCGGCCAGAGCCCTCTATTGACATGTGTCTGCACAGTTATCATGCAAAGGAAGACAAGTTACATGTAAAAAGATGGTGGTTGTAATATGCTTTGAAATAGCAAAAAATTGGAAAATATCTCACAAGATCATTGTGGAAGATTGGCTAAATAAATGAAGACAACTCCATACCACGGAATACTAACTACCATTAAGGAAAAGGTAGAGAAAACAATTTAAAAGGGGAAAATATATATGAAAAACAATGGTTTTCAAAACATTGACTATCAGCTTATAAAGGACAGTGATCCTTGTGGACGTGCATTTTACATATGTATTGAATATCTTTGTGCCTTTGCTTGTACATGCTTAACTTGAAAACATACATTTACCATTGACCACTAGGTGGTATCATAACACAAATTATTCTACAGCCAGGGTAGGCATTTATTTTATTTTATTTTATTTTTATTTTTTTATTTTTTATTGATCATTCTTGGGTGTTTCTCGCAGAGGGGGATTTGGCAGGGTCATAGGACAATAGTGGAGGGAAGGTCAGCAGATAAACAAGTGAACAAAGGTCTCTGGTTTTCCTAGGCAGAGGACCCTGCGGCCTTGCGCAATGTTTGTGTCCCTGGGTCCTTGAGATTAGGGAGTGGTGATGACTCTTAAGGAGCATCCTGCCTTCAAGCATCTGTTTAACAAAGCACATCTTGCACCGCCCTTAATCCATTTAACCCTGAGTGGACACAGCACATGTTTCAGAGAGCACAGGGTTGGGGGTAAGGTCACAGATCAACAGGATAAGAATTTTTCTTAGTACAGAACAAAATGAAAAGTCTCCCATGTCTACTTCTTTCTACACAGACACGGCAACCATCCGATTTCTCAATCTTTTCCCCACCTTTCCCCCCTTTGTATTCCACAAAACCGCCATTGTCATCATGGCCCGTTCTCAATGAGCTGTTGGGTACACCTCCCAGACGGGGTGGTGGCCGGGCAGAGGGGCTCCTCACTTCCCAGTAGGGGCGGCCGGGCAGAGGCGCCCCTCACCTCCCGGATGGGGCGGCTGGCCTGGCGGGGGCTGACCCCCACCTCCCTCCCGGATGGGGTGGCTGCCGGGCGGAGAGGCTCCTCACTTCTCAGACGGGGCGGCCGGGCAGAGACGCTCCTCACCTCCCAGACGGGGTCACGGCCGGGTAGAGGCGCTCCTCACATCCCAGACGGGGCGGCGGGGCAGAGGCGCTCCCCACATCTCAGACGATGGGAGGCCGGGCAGAGACGCTCCTCACTTCCTAGATGGGATGGCGGCCGGGAAGAGGCGCTCCTCACTTCCTAGATGGGATGGCGGCCGGGCAGAGACGCTCCTCACTTTCCAGACTGGGCAGCCAGGCAGAGGGGCTCCTCACGTCCCAGACGATAGGCGGCCAGGCAGAGACGCTCCTCACTTCCCAAAAGGGGTGGCGGCCAGGCAGAGGCTGCAATCTTGGCACTTTGGGAGGCCAAGGCAGGCAGCTGGGAGGTGGAGGTTGTAGCGAGCCGAGATCACGCCACTGCACTCCAGCCTGGGCACCATTGAGCACTGAGTGAACCAGACTCCGTCTGCCATCCCGGCACCTCGGGAGGCTGAGGCTGGCGGATCACTCGCGGTTAGGAGCTGGAGACCAGCCCGGCCAACACAGCGAAACCCCGTCTCCACCAAAAAAATACGAAAACCAGTCAGGCATGGCGGCACGCGCCTGCAATCGCAGGCACTCGGCAGGCTGAGGCAGGAGAATCAGGCAGGGAGGTTGCAGTGAGCCGAGATGGCAGCAGTACAGTCCAGCTTCGGCTCGGCATCAGAGGGAGACCATGGAAAGAGAGGGAGAGGGAGACTGTGGGGAGAGGCGAGAGGGGAGAGGGAAGAGGGAAGAGGGAAGAGGGAGAGGGAGAGCCAGGGAAGGCATTTTTAAACAGGTTTCTTTTTTTGAGTGTCTGATAATGTCTCTCAAAACTGTCAGGTTTAAACCTTGTAGGTCCAATTCCAACATGAATGTAAATAACTTAGCTGAACTACATACATAAGTAACCACATAGTGAGACTGACTGGGGTCTGTGTTCCTCCATTCAACCTGTATTTGTTGTGTCTGTGATGGATTAGCCACTATCTTTCTGATATATTTCAGAGAAGAAATATCTCTTCTCTCACTTACTTCTGTCTGGACTACCAGATATCCCTATGCATACCATCTCTTGTTTCTCTTCCTCAGTCCAGCTGGTTCAGTCTGAGAATTTTACCGACTGTGGGTACACCTTCCACCTTTGCTCTTTCATTTATCAATAAAACCAAAGAAAGAACAATAGTCCTTTTCCTTAGGGTGGTACAAGGAGGCCAAGGCCTCACTATTTATAGCAAATAATGCAAATGGAAATAAACCTAGGTATCTTCTCCTGCAGGTAACTTTGTTTTGGATCTTTGCTACTGTTTAACTTCCTTTGGTGACTAGCCATATTTCATTAACCTTGCAAGCAGTTGAACCTTGCTCAATTGCAGGAAATGCTGGGAAATCCCACTCAGCTGTCCCTACATCTTGTCCCAAAGCACTTGTAGACTGGCAAGGCTTGTTACCTGACTTCCTGTCATGGTAATTTGCTTTATTTCATGTCCCTTATATTTTATTTCTTTTTTTTTTTTTTTTTTTTTTTTGAGACAGAGCCTCACTCTGTTGCCCAGGCTGGAGTGCAATGGCATGCTCACAGCTCACTGCAGCCTCAACCCTCTAGGCTCAAGCCATCCTCCCACTTCAGCTTCCCTAGTAGTTAGGATTACAGGAATGCACCTCCATGTCCAGCTAATTTTTGTTTGTTTGTTTTTGTAGAGACAGGGTTTCACCATGTTCCATGTTGCCCAGGCTGGTCTCGAACTCCTGGACTCAAGCAATCTGCCTGCTTTGGCCTCCCAAAGTGCTGGGATTACAGGTATGAGCCACCATGCCGGGCCATATTTCATTTTTAATTGACTGATAATAACTGTATATATTTATGGGGTAAACTGTGATGTTATGAAACATGAATACATTGTAGAATGATTAAATCAGGCTAATTAACATATCCGTCACCTCACATACTTATTTCTTTGTGATAAGAACACTGAAAATCTCCTCACTGAGCAATTTTGAAAGACATAATCCACTATTATTAACTATAGTCACCATGCTGTGGGGTAGCTCACTAGAACTTACTCTTCTTGCCAGACTGAACCTTTGTGCCCTTCAATTAACAGTTGTTTCCCTCTCCACTCCCTCCCCTCAGCCCCTGGTAATCACCATTCGACTCTCTACTTCTATTAGCTCCACATACAAGTGAGATCATGGGTTATTTGTTTTTCTGTTCCTGGCTTAGTGCACTTAGCATAATGTCCTCCAGCTTCATCCAAGTTGCCACAAATGACAAAATTTTCTTTTCTTTTTTTGGGGGCTGAATAGTATTTTATTGTGTATATATCTCACATTTTTACTTATTTATTTATTTACCTATTTATTTGTTTTTTGAGATGGAGTTTGCTCTTGTTGCCCAGGCTGGAGTGCAATGGCATGATCTTGGCTCACTGCAACCCCCGCCTCCCAGGTACAAGCAATTCTCCTGTCTTAGCCTTCCAAGTAGCTTGGATTACAGGCATGTGCCACCACGCCCATCTAATTTTTTTGTATTTAGTAGAGACGGGGTTTCACCACGTTAGTCAGGCTGGTCACGAACTTCTGACCTCAGGTGATCCACCCCCATCGGCCTCCCAAAGTGCTGGGATTACAGGTGTGTGCCACCGCTCCTGGCCTATTTTTTTATTTTTATTTTTATTTTATTTTACTTTAAGTTCTGGGATACATGTGCAGAATGTGCAGTTTTGTTACATAGGTATACATGTGCCATGGTGGTTCGCTGCACCTATCAACTCATCATCTAGGTTTTAAGCCCAGCATGCATTAGTTATTTGTCCTAATGCTCTCCCTCCCCTTGCCCCCGATCCCGCGGTGTGTGATGTTCCGCTCCCTGTGTCTATGTGTTCTCATTGTTCAACTCCCACTTATGAGTGTCAACATGCGGTGTTTGGTTTTCTGTTTCTGTGTTAGTTTGCTGATGTATGATGGTTTCCAGCTTCATCCATATCCCTGCAAAGGACATGAACTCATTATTTTTTATGGCTGCAATATATCTCATGTTTTCTGTATCCATTTATCCCTTGATGAAAACCATGATAAGATATCAACCCACATCTGTGAGAATGGCTATTATCAAAAAGACAAAAGAGGGCAAGGCGTAGTAGCTCAGGCCTGTAATCCCAGCACTTTGGTAGGCTGAGGTGGGAGGATCGCTTGAGCCCAGGAATTCAAGATCAGACTAGGCAACAGAGTGAGACTCCATCTCTATAAAAATTTAAAAATTAGCCAGGTGCAGTGGCATGTGCCTGTAGTCCCAGCTACTCAGAAGGCTGAGGCAGGAGGATCCCTTGAGGTCAGGAGGTACGGTTGCAGTGAGATGATTGCGTCACCACACTCCAGCCTGAGTGGAAGAAGGAGACCCTACCTAAAAAAGAAAAAAAAAAAGAACAATAACAAGTGGTGGAGTAAAAGGTAACCCTTGTATATTATTGGTGAGAATGTAAATTAGTACAGCAACTATGGAAATCAGTATGGAGGTTCCTCAAAAAACTAAAAATGGGATTATCATATGATCCAGAAATCTCACTACTGGGTATATATCCAAAGGAATTGGCCTGGCACGGTGGCTCACGCCTGCAATCCCAGCACTTTGGGAGGCTGAGGCAGGCAGATCACTTGAGGTTGGGAGTGCAAGACCAGCCTGGCCAACATGGTGAAAACCCGTCTCAACTAAAAATACAAAAATTAGCCAGGTGTATGGCAGGCACCTGTAATCCCAGCTACTTGGGAGGCTGAGGCAGGAGAACCACTTGAACCTGGGAGGTGGAGGTTGTGGTGAGCTGAGATCACACCACTCCACTCCAACCTGGGCAACAGAGTGAGATTCCATCTCAAAAAAATAAAAATAAAAATAAAACAAAAGAATTGAAATCTGTACATTGCTGGACGCAGTGGCTCACGCCTGCAAATCCCAGCACTTTGGGAGGCCAAGGTGGGTGGATTGCTTCAGCCCAGGGGTTTGAGACCAGTCTGGGCAACATGGTGAAACCCTATCTACAAAATAAATACAAAAATTAGCTGGGTGTGGTGGTGTGTACTTGTAATCCGAGCTGCTCGGGAGGCTGAGAAGGGAGAATCACTTGAGCCTGGGAGGTGGAGGTTGCAATGAGCCATGATCATACCATTGTACTCCAGCCTGGGTGACAGAGTGAGACTCTGTCTCAAAAAATAAACAAAAGAATAAATAAATAAAAATAAAAGAAATCTGAACATTGAAGAGATATTTGCACTTCCATGTGCATTGCAGCATTATTCACATTTGCCAAGATACAGAAATGACGTCTACCATTCTTGATTGGAAACACCTATCAGCCTGAAGTATGTGTCAAGGTCTCTGTACCTTACACCTGTCTTCTATGAAGGGTTTAGCCCCTGGCAAAGTATTATAAAGTAGGGGGGATTTTCAAACTAGAGGTTAGGGAGAGGGGGATTGACAGTCTTGTTAGCTTTAGTGAGAGATAGCAGAACCCTGGTAACTGATGTGGGAGTTCCCTGCTGGTTTGTATTCCATTTAACTCTTTTTTTTTTTTTTTTTTTGAGATGGAGTCTCGCTCTGTCACCCAGGCTGGAGTGCGGTGGTGCGATCTCGGCCCACTGCAAGCTCCGCCTCCTGGGTTCACATCATTCTCCTGCCTCAGCCTACAGGCACCTGCCACCGCGCCCGACTAATTTTTTGTGTATTTTTTAGTAGAGACGGGGTTTCACCGTGTTAGCCAGGACGGTCTTGATCTCCTGACCTCATGATCTGCCCGCCTCGGCCTCCCAAAGTGGTGGGATTAAAGGCATGAGCCACCGCACCCAGCCTATTTAACTCTTTTGAGAGAAAACAGAAGGTGAGAAACCAACAAGGTGCACAAAGATACTTAGTGTTAATCTACTTTTGGTTTGTGAGATTATCAACAAATCTTGGCCGGGCGCAGTGGCTCACACCTGTAATCCCAGCACTTTGGGAAGCTGAGGCAGATGGATCACTTCAGGTCAGGAGTTCAAGACCAGCCTGGCCAACATGATGAAACCCTGTCTCTACTAAAAATAGAAAAATTAGCTGGGTGTGGTGGTGTGTGCCTGTAATCCCAGCTACTTGGAGGCTGAGGCACGAGAATCGCTTGAACCAGGGAGGAGGAGGTTGCAGTGAGCCGAGATTGCGCCACTGCACTCCAGCCTGGAGGACAAAAGCAAGACTCCATCTCAAAACAAAACAAAACAAATCTTGTTCTCTGATCATAAACCTCAGATTTATCTGTAGATAGTACTTTGTATACACACTGCAGAAACTATATAAGCCTCTGACTTTATTCAGAATTTGGCAAATAAAAGACAGTGGTTGAAGTTAGCTATGTGGAGCAGTCACCAAACAAGACTGTCACCCTGACTCCAG
This sequence comes from Homo sapiens, assembly GCF_000001405.40. NCBI lineage: Eukaryota > Metazoa > Chordata > Mammalia > Primates > Hominidae > Homo > Homo sapiens. The sequence goes on along the minus strand of NW_025791770.1, from coordinate 24,438 downwards.
GTCAGAAGGAGGCTGGCTAATGGATAAAATTAGAAAATGAAAAGCAATAGGTCAATAGAAAGAGTCACGGCCCACAGAGAGATACATTTTAACAGGCGGTAATAAAATTGAATTCCTTCTCTCTGTGGAATAAGCCAATTTTACGTCGGTTTGTAAATTCATTTCAGCATTACTGACTGCTTATGTATCTTGTTCTCTGATCATAAACCTCAGATTCATCTGTAGATAGTAATTTGTATACACACTGCAGAAATTCAGTGTGTTTCTACAGTATGTTTTTCCAGCTGAGGTGAGGCGTGAGGATGGTTTGAGGCCAGGAGTTCAAGGTCAGCCAGGGCAACATAGTCAGACCCTGTCCCTACAAAAAATTTAAAAATTAGCCTGGCATGGTGGTACATTCCTGTAGTCCCAGTACTTCAAAGGCTGAGACGGGAGGATCACTTGAACCCAGGGAGTTGAGGCTGCAGTGAGCTGTGATGGTGCCCCAGTGCACTCCAGCCTGGGTAACAGAGTGAGACCCTGTCTTGAAAACAAAAAGCAAAAAACAAAAAACAAAAACCCAGCAAAACTTTCCAAGTTAGGATGAGAAGGGGAAACAGTTATGGATCAGTTCCTGCCCCTGTTAATCAGAAGTTGCTCCATGTAAGTGCTGAATTGGTTTAGAGAGGGTCAGGGCAGGAGATGAAAAACTTGGTGAGATATTGGTTGAAGCCTGTAAGTGGTCACTGTAGCAGTGGCTTAAACAAAAAGAGTCCAAGACAGTAGTGTGGGAGTGTGTGAGTAAATGCTTAACGACCAGCTTCCAAAAATTGGGAGGAAGCCCTGATCTGTAGCATTTGCCAATTTCCTTCACATGCATATTCCCACTGTGGTCGATTTCAAGCTGCCAATGTGATGTCACTGAATAGAAGGGGTAAGATGTGCACAATGGGCTCTTATAAGCTGGTGGAAGCCAGCTCCAGCTCACCTCTGGAAGAGGATTTGAAGTGGTGCCCAAGACTTTTCCAATATCCTGTAATACACTATCATTCAGGATTCTATGGTTGTAATGCAAATTGGAATTTATTGACTCACATGATTGAAAGGTGCAGGGGTGGAGCTGACTAGACTCAGTTGCTCAGATAATGTAGTTGAGAATTCCTCTTCATTGTTTACCTTTGCCTTTTTCCCTGTTGGCTTCATTCTCAGGCAATCTCTTTCCGCATAGTGGCAACATGAACCCCCACAAACCTCAAGTTCACATGCTAGCAGAAGGCATCTTCAGCAGAGAACTGCTCTTTCTCATTAGTTCCAGGACTCAAAGCAGACAGCCTAGAGTTTCTCTAGATTTGACTATATATTGATTACATACATATACATATACACATACATGCATATTTGAACCCTTCTATCTGTATAGATATAATGTTGTGCATTCTATATGCTTTTCTCCACAGGTCTTTTTTGTGTGTTACAATTTATCTGGCTGGGCACGGTGGCTCAAGCCTATAATCCTAGCACTTTGGGAGACTGAGGTGGGTGGATCACCTGAGGTCAGGAGTTTGAGACCAGCCTGCCCAACGTGGTAAAACCCTATCTCTACAAAAAATACAAAAATTAGCCAGGCGTGGTGGCAGGTGCCTATAATCCCAGCTACTGGGAAGGCTGAGGCAGGAGAAACGCTTGAACTCGTGGGGGCGGAGGTTGCAGTTAGCCGAGATCGCACTGTTTCACTCCAGCCTGGGCAAAAGAGTAAAACTCCACCTCAAAAAAACAAAACAAAACAGTTTATCTTAGGCATCATTTCATAGCCCTTATAAAAATCTTCAACTCTTCCTTATTCCTTTTTATAGCTGCATAGCATTCTATTGTGTAGATGTATCATGTCTTATGTTATAGCCATTGTATGGTTTTCACAATCTTTTGTGCTGCAATGAGTAGCTATGTGCATATACCTTTTCATATTTTCATCAGGGTATTCTAAGATAGAGTCTGAGAGATAAGATTCCTGGGTTAAAAAAATGAATTCATATGTAACTGTGCTAGATATAGACAGATTCCTCCATATAGGCTTTACTAGTTTGCATTTCCCCAGCAATGTTTGAGTGTCTGTTTCTGCACAAACTTGCCAAGAGAGTTTGTTGTCGAACTTTTACATTTTGTCAGTGTGGGAGATGAGAAATTGTCAGAATCAGTTTAACTTTCTGTTACTATGAACAAGGTTGTGCATGTTTTCATATGGTTAAAGGACATTGCATTTGTTTTTCTTGTGAAGTGTCTTTTAAAATCTCTAGTCCATTTTTCTATGAGGTTGTTGGTCTTTTTCTTCTCTCTACATTTCCCAGATCTGCCCATTGAAAAGGTCTAGAAACAGTGATAAACCAAAGAGAAATGAGCACCCTAAGCACCCAGAGGATGGTTTTCAAAGACCATTTCACACCGGGAAAATCAAGACTCTTTGGGGAAAATGGCTGCTTCCAAGTCTGGGATAGAAAATGAAATATGCAAGATAAGCCTGGAGCATCTCGTCAAAGCAGCTTTCAAGGAAGCTATCAAAGAGGTTGGTGTCAAAAGTATTCAGAAATCAACTTAAAGAGGTTGCACCGGTCAAATGTGAGATAATCTGAGTGTTAAAAAATGCAGTGGATGGTTCCATCCTGGCTAACACGGTGAAACCCCATCTCTATTTTAAAAAAATACAAAAAATTAGCTGGGTGTGGTGACGGGCGCCTGTAGTCCCAGCTGTTCGGGAGGCTGAGGCAGGAGAATGGCATGAACCCGGGAGGCGGACCTTGCAGTGAGCTGAGAAAGCGCCACTGCACTCCAGCCTGGGCGACAGAGCGAGACTCTGTCTCAAAAAAAAAAAAAAAGAAAAGAAAAGAAAAAAAATGCAATGGATTGAAACACATAAAATAAATGTAAATTCATGAGTTTATAGTGCTGCTGAAACAAATTATTTAGTCACTGTTGCAGGATGGTAGAAAATAACTCATTTGGAAAGCTTGAAAATAAAAGTAGAGAATCAGGTATGTATGCTGCCTTTCCAATGCCACTATTTGGTACAGTACCTCTATGTCACCAAATAGTAGATGAGGGGAAGTGGAAGTGTTCTTTATAGAAGTAGTCCAGCTGATACACAAAGAAGAAATGAAAAAATTAGAATATAACTACATGTAAATCTCTAATGGAGTAATTGATCTATTATTGGTCATCAATAGCTGATCATGAGAGATAAAGTTGTTATGTGCCTCCTAATTGAAGAACACAATATGAAGCAGTCTTGCAAAAAATCAATCAATCAAGCAAGCAAATAGACAAAACAAAACAAAATAAAACCAAACAAAAAGAAAGTTGATTAAGCCTCTAGATCTAACTACAGAAAATTCGGAAGGCAGAAGAACACGTTAAATAAACCAGAAGGAATGCAATCAGCAAAATTGAGTCAGCACTTTCTAATAGAATTTTCTACAATGATGAAAGTATACAATATTTGCACTGTCCAGTAGCCATTAGTCAATACATTGTATGGACGTATCTGTAAGCCAGGTGTGAGCTTTTTGGCAAAGCTGGTCATAGGAGAGTCTACACAAGACCATGGATGTGGATTGATGGAGGGGCAGCAATGCAGCAAGAGTAGGTGTCAAAGGAGGAGCAGATATTGAACAAGTCAGAGCCATGTGCCTATCTGACTTACTTATGCGTTCTAGGCATGCTTCATTCCGTATCATATATACCACCACCGCCTGATGATGGATTGCTGCACATGCATCACCTCATGGCTTGGCAGGTGTATTAGTCTGTTCTCACACTGCTATAAAGACATACCTGAGGCCAAGTATGGTGGCTCATGCCTGTAATCCCAGCACTTTGGGAGGCTGAGGCAGGTGAATCACTTAAGGTCAGGAGTTCAAGACCAGCCTGGGCAACATGGTGAAACCCCATCTCTACTAAAAATACAAAAATTAGCCAGGCATGGTGGCAGGTGCCTGTAGTCCCAGCTACTCGGGAGGCCGAAGCAGGAGAATTGCTTGAACCTGGTAAGTGGAGGTTGCAGTGAGCTGAGATTGCACCACAGCACTCCAGCCTCGGCGACAGAGCAAAACTCTGTCTCAAAGAAAAGATGGCTGGGTGTGGTGGCTCACGCCTGAAATCCCAACACTTTGGGAGGCCAAGGCGGGTGGATCACCTGAGGCCAGGAGTTCAAGACCAGCCTGGCCAACATGGTGAAACCCCTTCTCAACTAAAAATACAAAAAAATTAGCTGGGCGTTGTGGTGGGTGCCTGTAATCTCAGCTACTTCGGGAGGCTGAGGCAGGAGAATTGCTTGAACCCAGGAGGCAGAGGTTGCAGTAAGCTGAGATTGTGCCATTGTACTCCAGCCTGGGTGACAAGAGAGAAACTCTGTCTCAAAAAAAAAAAAAAAAAGGACATACCTGAGTATCTGAGACTGGGTAATTTATAAAGAAAAGAAGTTTAATCATTTAATCGACTCACAGTTCTGTAGGCTGTACAGGCTTCTGCTTTTGGAGAGGCCTCAGGAAACCTACAATCACGGCAGAAGGCAAAGGGGAAGCAGGCACATGTTCGCATGGCTGGCAGGAGAGAGAGAGAGAAAAGGGGGAGGTGCTATACACTTCTTTTTTTTTTTTGAGATGGAGTCTTGCTTTGTCACCCAGGCTGCAGTGCAGTGGTGCAATCTCAGCTCACTGCAACCTCCGCCTCCCAGGTTCAAGTAATTCTCCTGTCTCAGCTTCCCGAGTAGCTGGGACTATAGGTGTGGGCCACCATGCCCGGCTAATTTTTGTATTCTTAGTAGAGACGGGGTTTCACCGTATTGGTCAGGCTGGTCTCGAACTCCTGACCTCAGGTGATCCACCTGCCTCGGCCCCCCCAAAGTGCCAGGATTACAGGCATGAGCCACCATGCCCAGCCAAAATCAACTCAAAATTACTTAAAGACTTTTTTTTTTTTTTTTTGAGATAAAGTTTCGCTCTTGTTGCCAGGCTGGAGTGCAGTGGCACGATTTGAGCTCACTGCAACCTCCCCTTCCTGGGTTCAAGCGATTCTCCTGCCTCAGCCTCCTGAGTAGTTGGTATTACAGACATGCACCACCACGCCTGGCTAATTTTATACTTTTAGTAGAGACAGGGTTTCGCCATGTTGGGCAGGCTGGTCTTGAACTCCTGACCTCAGGTGATCCACCAGCCTCGGCCTCCCAAAATGCTGGGATTACAGACATGAGCCACCGCGCCCAGCCACTACTGTAGGCTTTATAAACACTATATACTTAGGCTATGCTAAATGTATAAAAAATATTTTTTCTTCAATAATATTTTTACCTTATAAAGTTTAAGAAATCTTTTTGACTCTTGTAATAACACTTAGCTTAAAATACAAACACATAGTGCAGCTGTACAAAAATATTATTTCTTTATATCCTTATCGTATAAGTTTTTTTCTATTTTAAAATTTTTGGGCCGAGCACAGTGGGCAGTGGTGTGTGCCTGTAATCTCAGCACTTTGGGAGGCCAAGCTGGGTGGATCTCTTGAGCTCAGGAGTTTGAGACCAGCCTGGGCAACATGGTGAAACCTCATCTCTATGAAAAATATAAACATTAGCTGGGCATGATGGTGTGTGTCTGTAGTCCCTGCTACTCAGGAGGTTGAGGTGAAATGATAGCTTGAGCCCAGGAGGTTGAGGCTGCAGTGAGCTGTGATTGCGCCACTGAACTCCAGCCTAGGCGACAGAATGAGGCTGTATCCAAAAAAAAAAAAAAAGAAAAAGTATTTTGTTTTTTATTTTTTAAATTTTTTTGTTAAAAGCTAAGACAGAAACACAAGGCTGGGCACAGTGACTCATGCCTGTAATCCCAGCACTTTGGGAGGCTGAGGATCACTTGAGCTCAGGAGATCCACCCACCTCCGCCCCTACAAAGTGCCGGGATTACAGGCATGAGCCACCATGCTCAGTCAAAATCAACTCAAAATTACTTAAAGACTTTTTTTTTTTTTTTTTTTTGAGGTGAAGTTTCGCTCTTGTTGCCCAGGCTGGAGTTTAGTGGCACGATCTCAGCTCATTGCAACCTCCCCTTCCTGGGTTCAAGCGATTCTCCCGCCTCAGCCTCCTGAGTAGTTGGGATTACAGACATGCACCACCACACCTGGGCAAAATGGTGAAACCCCATCCCTACTACAAATACAAAAAATTAGCTGGGCATGGTGGTGCATGCCTGTGGTCCTAGCTACTCAGGAGGCTGAGGTGGGAGGATCGCTTGAGCCTGGAAGGTAGAGGTTGCAGTGAGCTGAGATTGTGCTACTGCACTCCAGCCTGGGCAACAGAGCCAGACCCCACCTCAAAAAAAATTAAAAAAAAAAAAAAAAGAAAACCAAAAACTAAGACACAAACACCAATATTCTCCTAGGTCTACATAGGGTCAGGGTCATCAATGTCATTATTTTCTCCCTCAATATTTTCTCCCACTGGAAGTTCTCCAGAGGCAATAACGTGCATAGAGCTGTCATCTCCTATGATAACAATGCCTTCTTCTGGAATTCCTCCTGGAGGACCTGCCTCAGGTTGTTTTACAGTTAACTCCTTTTTCTTTTTTAATGAGTACAAAGAGTAGACACCATGATTAAAAATATAGTATAGTAAATACATAAACCTGTAGCAAGTCATTTATTATCATTATGAAGTATTATGTGCTTACCTAATTGTAAGTGCTACACTTTTACACAACTGGCAGTGCAGGTTTCTTTACATCGGCATCACCATAAATTCACAAGTAATGTATTGTGCTACAATGTTATAACAGCTACAATGTCACTAGGTGATAGGAATTCATTTTTAGATTTTTTAAAATTTTTACTTTGGTAGAGATGGGGTCTTACTGTGTTGTCCAGGCTGTTCTTTTTTTTTTTTTTTTTTTTTTTTTGAGACGGAGTCTCGCTCTGTCGCCCAGGCTGGAGTGCAGTGGCGGGATCTCGGTTCACTGCAAGCTCCGCCTCCCGGGTTCACGCCATTCTCCTGCCTCAGCCTCCCAAGTAGCTGGGACTACAGGCGCCCGCCACTATGCCCGGCTAATTTTTTTTTTGTATTTTTAGTAGAGACGGGGTTTCACCGTTTTAGCCGGGATGGTCTCGATCTCCTGACCTCGTGATCCGCCCGCCTCGGCCTCCCAAAGTGCTGGGATTACAGGCGTGAGCCACCGCGCCCGGCCCCAGGCTGTTCTTAAACTCCTGGCCTCAAGTGATGCTCCTGTCTTGGCCTCCCAAAGTGCTGGGATTACAGGCATGAGCCACTATGCTGAACCTTGCAATAGGAATTTTTAAGCTCCATTATAATCTTATGGGACCATTGTTGTACATGTGGTTCATGACTGATTGAAACATCATGATAAAGCACATGGCTATGCTTGACTTCCCATAGTCAAACATGTCTCTAGCAGGGCTTAGTAGTAAATCAGAAACTGCTTCTCAAAAGGAGAATAATTAACAGCAAAAGAGGGCATGACTTTGCTCCAGAATTGTACATATGTGTGCTAAGATTCTCCTCCTGGGGCTCACCAGTGGCTTTGTCTAGTACCTTAAAATTTTTTTTTTTTTTTTGGCTGGGCGCAGTGGCTCACGCCTGTAATCCCAGCACTGTGGGAGGCCGAGGCGGGCGGATCAAGAGATCAGGAGATCAAGACCATCCTGGCTAACACTGTGAAACCCTGTCTCTACTAAAAATACAAAAAATTAACCGGGCCAGGTGGCGGGCACCTGTAGTCCCAGCTACTGGGGAGGCTGAGGCAGGAAAATGGCGTGAACCCAGGAGGCGGAGCTTGCAGTGAGCCAAGATCATGCCACTGCACTCCAGCTTGGGCGATAGAGCGAGACTCCGTCTCAAAAAATAAATAAATAAATACAAAATAAATTTCCTTTTTTTTTAACCAAAGAACATTCAAAGTGTTATGTGTCCAAAGGCCCAAGTGGCACAGTGGCTTGTACCACAGCCGGGATTTGCTGCAGAGTTTTTTATTGCTTTGGGACATCACTCAAAATTGGTTCCTTTATGCTAAGTGGGTTGGAGCAGCACACCCAAATATAGTATGTTTGCTTTCAAAATCCCAAGAAGCTAAAACTGTAAAATCCTTAGAAGAAAATAGGCATAAAACTTTGTGACCTCAGATCATGCAATAGTTTCTTATCTATAATACTTAAAGTACAGCCAGCAACCAAAGAAAAAATAGATAAAATGGACTTTATCAAAATTAAAAACTATTGAACATCAAAGGACACTCTCAAAAAAAATGAAAAGACCACCTACAGAATGGGAGAAAATATTTGGAATATCATATATCTGATAGGGTCTAGTATCTAGAATATACTTAAAAACTCTTACAACTCTGCAATAAAAAGATAGCCCAATTTAAAAATTGACAAAGGATCTAAACAGACATTTCCCTAAAGACATACAAATGGCCAAAAAGCACATGAAAAGATCTTTAACACCATTAATTGTTAGAGAAATGCAAATCAAAATCACAATGAGATACTGCTTCATACTCACTAGAATGGCTATAATAAAAAAGATGGACAATAACAAGTGTTGGCAAAGATGTGGAGAAATTGGAACCCTTACATATTTCCTGGTCGAAATGTAAAATAGTACAACCACTTTTGCTAGCAGCTTGGAAGTTCATCAAAAACTTAAACATAGAGTTACCATGTGACCTAGCAATTCTACACCTAGGTATATACCCAGGAGCATTGAAAACATATGTTTGAGGCTGGGTGTGGTGACTCACACCTGTAATCCCAGCACTTTGGGATGCTGAGGCAGGTGGATCACTTGAGGCCAGGAGTTCAAGATTAGCCTGGCCAACATGGTGAAACCATCTCTACTAAAAATGCAAAAAATTAGCCGGGCATGGTGGTGCATGCCTGTAATCCCAGCTACTTGGGAGGCTGAGGCAGGAGAATCACTTGAACCTGGGAGGTAGAGGTTGCAGTGAGCCAAGACTGCACTACTGCGCTTCAACCTGGGTGACAGAGTGAGGCTGTCTCAAAAAAAAAAACAGAAAAAAAAGTCCCCCAAGTACTTATACATAAATATTCATAGCAGCATTATTCATAATAGCCAAAAGGTGAAAACAACCCAAATGTTCATCAGCTAATGACAGATAGATACACAAAATGTGGTCTATCCATACAATGTAATGATATTCAGCCATAAAAAGAAATGAAGTACTGATACACATGACAACATGGATTAGCCTTTAAAACATCTTAAGTGAAAGAAGCCAGCCTCCAAAGCCACATATTGTGATTCTGTTTATAAGAAACGTCCAGAATAGGCAAATCCATAGACATGGAAAGATCAGTGATGGCCAGGGGCTGGAGGGAGGACTGTTAATAGGAATGGGCTTTTTTGGGGGTGATGAAAATGTTCTGGAATTCAATAGTGGTGATGACTGCACAACTCTGTAAACATACTGAAACCCATTAAATTGTATTTTGTTCTTCTTTAATCTGAAAATAGTTCTTCAGTTTTTCTTTGTTGTACATGATGACACTGACACCTTCGAAGAACACAGGCTGGTTTTGTACAATGTTCCTTGATTTTAATTTATCTGAAATTTCTTCATGATTAGATTCAGGTTATGCATTTTTGAGCAGAAATGATGTGCCATTCTTAGTGTATCATTTTAGTGTATCATTTCTGGAGACACATCATATCAGTTTTCCTGATGTCAGTTTGTCCCAATATTGATGATGTTAACTTGGATTATTTGATGAAGCTTGTCCAGGTCTTGCCACTGTCATGTTACTATTTTTCTTTTGACAATTAACATGTAATTTGTGGGAGGATACTTTGATACTATGAAAATGACTTATTCTTCATCAAACTTTCACGCATTCATGATTTTCTCAATCCTCTATGGTTTAAAATGACTTGTTTCTACTCAGACTAGAGACTGTTTAAATGTATTTGTGTTTTACTCCTAAATTAACACCGCTAGCTTTACATAAGAATGTTTTTCAAGAAAATTCCTGATACTCTGAATATCCTAATCAAAAGGGAAGCATCCAGGCTAAGAAAAAGTTTGCTACAGATAATTAAAAAACAGTAGGGGCCGGGTACGGTGGCTCATGCCTGTAATCTCAACATTTTGGGAGGCCAAGGTGGGTGGATGATCTGAGGTTGGGAGTTCAAGACCAGCTGGCCAAAACGGCAAAACGCTGTCTCTACTAAAAGTACAAAAATTAGCCAGGCATGGTGGCAGGCACCTGTAATCTCAGCTACTCAGGAGGCTGAGGCAGGAGAATTGCTTGAACCTGGGAGGTGGAGGTTGCAGTGAGCTGAGATCCCGCCACTGCACTCCAGCCTGGGCGACAGAGCAAGACTCTACCTTAAAACAAACAAACCAGTAGGGTGCTTTCTCTTTTCTGTTCTCGTTTGTTTTCAAATGTAAACTCTATGTCTAGACATGGAAATGAACACACCATTGTTCAGTATAATTATATCCATTGTTTATGGGGCTGAATCAGTCTGGTGGGGGAGGATTGACTAATGAGGAGGTTACCAGAATTTTCTCCTACCCACTCAAACACAGATGGGAACAAACACAGGTTTGGAGATGTAAAATAATGTTTTCAATGCTTTTATTAAGATTATCATTTGATTATTTTTTTATTGTAGTCCGGGTGATGGTGCGTGCAGATTTATAGAAAAGCTAGTGGTTTAGGAGACATTCTGGAAATAAAATACTACAGAAGGAAGCAATTGGGCTCCTTTGATGATATTTTAGCAGCATTGCTTCCTGGCTACATGTGACCCTAATTTAAGCATTGTAAGCCTCAGTTTCCTTATCTGAAACATGGCAGGGGGGTAACAGCAGTACTCAACTCATTGTTTAGCAGATTAAATGAGACATGTCAAACACTTGTTGTGGAATTGGCACCTAGTAAGTACTCTGTAGTGTTTGTTACTATTGTCCTTATCATTGAGCAGTCTTTTTTTTTTTTTTTTTTTTTTGAGACAGGGTCTCACTCTCACCCAGGTTGGAGTGCAGTGTCTTGATCTCGGCTCACTGTAACGTCTGCCCCCTGTGCTCAAGCGATCCTCCCATCTCAGCCTCCTGAGTAGCTGGGACAACAGGTGTACACCACCATGCCTGACTATTTTCTTTATTATTATACTTTAAGTTCTAGGGTACATGTGCACAATGTGCAGGTTTGTTACATATGTATACATGTGCCATGTTGGTGTGCTGCACCCATTAACTCGTCATTTACATTAGGTATATCTCCTAATGCTATATCTCCCCCCTCCCCCCACCCCACGACAGGCCCTGGTGTGTGATGTTCCCCACCCTGTGTCCATTGTTCAATTCCCACCTATGAGTGAGAACATGTGGTGTTTGGTTTTCTGTCCTTGTAATAGTTTGCTCAGAATGATGGTTTCCAGCTTCATCTATGTCCCAACAAAGGACATGAACTCATCCTTTTTTATGCATGCCTGACTATTTTTTCATATTTTTAGTAGAGATGCTGTCTCACTATGATGCCCAGGCTGTTCTTGATCTCCTGAGGTCAAGCGATCCGCCCACCTCGGCCTCTGAAATTGCTGGGATGATAGGCATGAGCCACCATGCCCAGCATACATTGAGCAGTTTTAACTGGGCTGGGGTTATTGCAGTGACAATGTTTTTAGAAGGAGGATTATTGACATTGCCAGGCTGAGTGCACAAGCTTAAAATCTTACCACTGCCTATTAATTCTACCAATGTAGCCTCATTCGTTTTGGGCCATGAAAGAATTTGTAGCTCCAGATGTTACCAATTAAAAAGCAAAAGGCCTGAGGACATGATCACCCTCCTGAGCTGCTTTAGAGAGCTGGGTCCTGGAAGGGACAGGAGCAGAGGCAGGAGAACACCAGCTCTAGAAGAATAGTTAAGGGAGTGGCCATAGCACCCAACCCCTGGGCTTAAATCTCACCTCCAGGAACAAGTGGTGTGACCTTTCATTATTTGTATCACTCTGATACTTTAGTATCTCCATTTGTAAAAAGAGGACCATTATTAATTACTAGTTTTTTTTTTTTGAGACAGAGTCTCGCTCTGTCACCAGGCTGAGTGCAGTGGTATGATCTTGGCTCACTGCAGGCTCCGCCTCCTGGGTTCAAGTGATTCTCCTGCCTCAGCCTCTCGAGTAGCTGGGACTACAGGTGTGCGCAACCATGCCCAGCTAATTTTTGTATTTTTAGTAGAGATGGAGTTTCACCATGTTGGCCAGGATGATCTCGATCTCCTGACCTTGTGATCCGCCCGCCTTGGCCTCCCAAAGTGCTGGGATTACAGGCATGAGCCACTGTGCCCAGCCAATTACTCCTTATTAACAAGAGAAAAGCAATCAGAAGTTTAATAGCAGTATATATCCTGTACATATGAGAGATACCCAGAGAAATAAGTAAATCTCCTAGAGTAGATCTCAAAAAGTTGTCTTAGAGGTCAGGCTTAAACACCATGTTTCCTGAAACAAAGGAAGAAGGGTATGCGGAAAGCCTGGTTAGGGAGAGATGATCAAGAAAAGCATCTTAATAAGGGCAATTTTTTTTTATTATACTTTAAGTTTTAGGGTACATGTGCACAACATGCAGGTTTGTTACATATGTATACATGTGCCATGTTAGTGTGCTGCACCCATTAACTCGTCATTTACATTAGGTATATCTCCTAATGCTATCCCCCTCCCCTCCCCCCATCCCACAACAGGCCCCAGAGTGTGATGTTCCCCTTCCTGTGTCCATGTGTTCTCATTGTTCAATTCCCACCTATGAGTGAGAACATGCGGTGTTTGGCTTTTGTCCTTGCGATAGTTTGCTGAGAATGATGGTTTCCAGCTTCATCCATGTCCCTACAAAGGACATGAACTCATCATTTTTTATGGCTGCATATATTCCATGGTGTATATGTGCCACATTTTCTTAATCCAGTCTATCATTGTTGGACATTTGCCTTGGTTCCAAGTCTTTGCTATTGTGAATAGTGTTGCAATAAACATACGTGTGCATGTGTCTTTATAGCAGCATGATTTATAATCCTTTGGGTATATACCCAGTAATGGGATTGCTGGGTCAAATGGTATTTCTAGTTCTAGATAATAAGGGCAAGTTTTGTTATGACTTTTTCTTTTCTTTTTAAGACAGGCTCTCACTCTGTTGCCCATGCTGGAGTGAAGTGGCTCTATTTCAGCTCACTGCAGCCTTTACCTCCTAGGCTCAGGTGATCCTCCCGCCTCAGCCATCCAACTATCTGGGACTACAAGCATGCACCACCATGCCCAGCTAATTTTTGCAGAAATGGGGTTTTGCCATGTTGCCCAGGCAGGTAGCAAATTCCTGGGCTCAAGCCATTTGCCCATCTCAGCCTCCCAAAGTGCTGGGATAACAGACGTGAGCCACCACATCCTGCCTGTTAGGACATTTTAAGGCAATTATTTCTCCATCGATAAGAGTCTCTAGTGATTTAGTTATCCTTCTCTTTCTGGTGCAGAGAGAAAGACACCTTTAAAAATGGAGATTTCCTTCATAAATGTCAGTTTGTCTTACAAAAGGGTAACTTTTCTGAGCTTCTCCTGTGTCTGCAGTTTCTCAAAAATAATCCTTATGCCAAAGGGGCACATCCGGGATAGCATATTCTGGTCTTCTACCATCATATTTTAGGGTGGCATGTCCTAGGCCCCATCAATAGTATTTTCTATGTGTTGCACTGTGGGGAATTTAACAAAGGCAATGGGTTCTGGCATTGTTAACCCCTCAATAACTAGATGCATACCAGTTTTTCTTCCTACCCAAAGAGGACAGCTGGAGTTGATCACATATGTGGACAACACGGAACGGGATTTTTACCAAGGGCTTACTTACTCAGTGCCAGGCACTGTTCTAAATACTTAACATACATTAATTCATTGAATTTTTTTTTTCTAGCAGACAGGTGTCTCCCCATCCGGAATGCAGTGGCATGATCATAGTTCACTGCAGCCTCTAACTCCTGGGCTCAAGCAATCCTCCTGCCTCAGCCTCCAGAGTCACTAGGATTACAGGTGTAAGCCACCCTGTCCAGCTTAACTCATTGAATCTTAACCATAAGCCTATGACATTTAATTTAATATAATTTAATTATATTTAAATTTAATATAACATAGGTTATATATAACCTATGTTATAATATAATTTAATATAATATAGGTTATATTATATTTAATATAATTTAATATTATATTATATTAAATATAATATAATTTAACTTAATATTATATTAATATAATATAATTTAATATTATATTATATTAATATAATATAATTTAATATTATATTATATTAATATAATTTAATTTAATTTAATATAACATAGGTTATATTAAATTTCTGTTTTACAGATAAGAAATCTCAGGCACAGAGAGGACACGGTAAGAGGTGGAGCCAATTCAAACTCAGGCAAGTTTATACTTTTAATAAATAGGCTGCCTTTTAACATCTAGAAATATATGGGTGCAGCACACCAACATGACACATGTATACATATGTAACAAACCTGCACGTTGTGCACATGTACCCTAGAACTTGAAGTATAATAATAATAATAAAACATCTAGAAAACAGGAGTAGAACCTAAGAAGAGTCAGATCCTCCTAGCTGGTCATTAGGCACTTATGTCTTGACTTACGGAAGCAGAGTGTTGGCATCCTGGGAAGTCACTGACCTCTTTATAGAGCTCGTCCAAGCTAGAGCCTCTGTGCAGACAGAACACATTGCTGCCCTCTACGTGAAGACCTGTATACACTGGGGCAGGAGCAGAGGAGCCCATGGTGCTAAAAAATAGAAGAAAATGGTAAGTAAAAGTTTTAAAAATCAACAGCTCTGAGTGGATTCTCATAGATGAAAACAAGCTCATCCTAATTTGTTAAATTTGGCGACCTGAGGCACTTGCTGCTCAGCTCCTCCACATTGTGTTCCCGCCTTTTGACCATCTCTTCCAGTAGTTGCTGCAGAAACTGGCTGTGAACAAGTGTAAACTAACAATATCTTGCCTCAGCTGCCCTGTGTATCTCTTGCTTTCTGCCCCTGGGGCTTCCGAAAGCCATGCTGCTGAATGGGATGGCTGCAAGAATCTGTTCAGCCATGCGGTTGCATTGGCGAACCTGGAAGTTCGAGAGTTAACACCTTATGGTGTAACTGTTGACCAAGGGGAGATAGGAGCTGATAGATAAATAATCCCTCTTCTGTTTTCAGGCACAAAACTGAGGCTTATCCTACACAGCTCCTTAGAGTCCCCAGTGGAATTGAGCTCCAGGTGCCTACAGCAGTGACCTTGCAACACAACCTTGCACTGGCATTTCTTCCTTGTTTCTCTCTTGTCCCCAGATCTCTTCCCAAAACAAACTGCTGAACACATATCCTTGTCTCAGTTTCTGCTTTTGTGAGTGGAGCTTGGGGTAAGACATCCATTGTTGACATTAGAAAATGCAAGGACTTCATGTTGTCACGTCTTCCAGTTTTTCAGGAGAAAATAAACATTTAAATTTTTGTGTGAAATCTCTTGATTTTAAATAGATGTCCCAAATACATATAACATTGTCCAGATCAAATATTCAGCAGACTAAATATGAAAGCAACCCAAATACAGTGGTTTGTAGTTTGTAAATTTTTTTTTTTTTTTTTTTTTTTTTGGTGACAGAGTCTCATTCTGTCACCCAGGCTGGAGTGCAGTGGCATGATCTCAGCTCATGCAACCTCTGCCTCCAGAAGTGATTCTGCTGCCTCAACCTCCTCAGTAGCTAGGATTACAGATGCATGCAGCCATGCCTGGCTAAATTTTGCATTTTTAGTAGAGACAAAGTTTCGCCATGTTGGCCAAAGCTGGTCTCGAACCCCTGACTTCAAGTGATCTGTCTGCCTTGGCCTCCCAAAGTGCTGGAATTACAGGCGTGAGCCACTGTGCCCAGCCTTTAAAATTCTTTATACCTAGAAATTGAGGATACAGTAATGGAAGGTCTTTTTGTTAATTAAGCTTTAAAATTATAACTGTTTGCTCAGGTGCCGTGGCTCATGCCTGTAATCCCAGCACTTTGGGAGGCTGAGGCAGGCAGATTGCTTGAGCTCAGGAGTTTGAGACTAGCCTGGAAAACACGATGAAACCTCACCTCTACCAAAAATACAAAAATCAGCCAGTCTCATAACCTGATCTCAAAATAAATAAATAGATTAAAATTTTAAAAATATATAACTGTTTTATAGGTATTTACATTTTATCAAGTATTTTTATATACATTACCTCATGCAATAAATTAGAGAATCCTTGTTTACAGATCAAATAGTTGGGCTGAAATACCAAGGTATGAAAGGACAGGAAAAGTGAGAAAGAAATGGACCTCGTGGCCTCCCCAACATTCTGGGCCATTTGGGAGGGGTAGGACTTCTGGCAGACCACTAAACCTCCACCCTTCTGTAGCTGTAAAATCTCATCCTGTTTGATTGATTTGCAATATCACCACATCCCTTCTTAAAGTATTGGTTTGCTTTTTAATACTATGCAGCCATAAAAAATGATGAGTTCATGTCCTTTGTAGGGACATGGATGAAATTGGAAATCATCATTCTCAGTAAACTATCGCAAGGACAAAAAACCAAACACCACATGTTCTCACTCATAGATGGGAATTGAACAATGAGAACACATGGACACAGGAAAGGAAACATCACACTCTGGGGACTGTTGTGGGGTGGGGGGAGGGGGGAGGGATAGCATTAGGAGATATACCTAATGCTAAATGACGAGTTAATGGGTGCAGCACACCAGCATGGCACATGTATACATATGTAACAAACCTGCACGTTGTGCACATGTACCCTAAAACTTAAAGTATATATATAAAAAAAAAGTATTGGTTTGCTTTTTGCCTTTCCTTTTTGTAAATTTTGAAGAAATGATTTGTGGTTTGGGGATCACTCTGAGCATCACTGTGATTTGGATGCTTCTGATTATTCTTTAATGATGTGGCAATTATATGGTTCATCTGTCACTGTGTAACAAATTTCCCAAGATATAGCGGATTAAAACAACATGTGTAAACCCTCATGATTCTGTGGATTGACTGGGCTCAGCTGGTAGGTCTCCTGCTCCTGTGATATCAACTGGGGCTGTAGTTGCCCTGGGGCTTAATTGGGCTGGAAAGCCTAGCTGGCTGTCATGGCTCACAGCTCCAGGCTGGAGCTCAGCTGGGCCGCTCTGATGAAACGTCTACGCATGGCCTCTCCATGTGTCTTGGGCTTCTCACAGCATGTTTCTGGGTTCTGAGGGAGTTTCCCAAGAGTGAGGATTCCAAGAGGGAGGAAGCAGAAGCCCAGAACTTTTGCTGGCCCAGAATTAGTACACAGTCACTTTAGCCACAGTTCTATTGGTAAAGCAGTCACAGAGCCCAGATTTAAGGGAAGAGAAATAGAGTGCACCAAGGAGTTTGTGTCCATCTTCAATTTCCTTCTGGAATTAAACCATTTCCTTCACAAAAAAATATTCTCAATTCATCTATCTGATCGGTGCAATTCTTACGTTTCTCTTTTGTTGAATCTCAGATGTAGAGGGCTGAGTTAGTGATGTCATTGTTCATGACATCATTATCACAGTCCACACAAGACCTCTTGCGTTTTATTTCTTGATCCTCTTGTTACTCCTGTTTCCCTTTCCATCCTCTTCCCACTGCTGACAAACACTCCAAGGCATTTAAAATCCACATTTTGTTTACAGAGCTTCCTTCTAAATGTGTACTGCTGATTTGTATGCATGTATTTTAAATTAACATAAATGGTATTCTGATAAGTACATCAGCACTGTTTTAAAGATTTGTTCGTGTTGCTATATATTTATTTAATCCCTTTTTTCTAACAGCTGCATGGTGTTCCACTGTATTTTGCCTATTGACTCCTCCAGTGTGACCTCTCAGACTGCATCCAGTTTCCCATCAATACAAACTAGACTATGATAATACTCTTTCGTCTTCATATGGGCCAGTATCAAAATTCCTTTGGGATATTTAACCAGGGATAAATTCTGTGGCACAGGGTAAGTTTATTCCTTTTTTTAAAAAAAGAGGTCTTGAAAAATCCCCAGTGCCAGCTAGCAGTTGCATTATCCATCTTTCTAATTTTTGCCAGAGGTGTAAAATGAAATCTCAATGGTCTTTCATTCTTATTTCTCTGATTCCTAATGAGCTTGAGTATCCCAGCATATGCCTGTTATAGACTGGTTTTGTCGTTTATTAATTACTCATTTACTGG
This sequence comes from Homo sapiens, assembly GCF_000001405.40. NCBI lineage: Eukaryota > Metazoa > Chordata > Mammalia > Primates > Hominidae > Homo > Homo sapiens. Next base: position 6,137 of record NW_025791770.1, on the reverse strand, counting down.
GGTTCCTGTCTTTTTCTTGTTGATGTATGAATCTCTTATATAGTCTAGATATTAGCCACTTATCAGTTTTAGACATTAAGACTGTCTCCTCCTATCTTGTTACTTGTTTGTTAACTCTTCCACAGTGGTCTTCACTGAATACGAAGAGTTGATCAAATTTATCACATTTTTGTCTTATGGCTTACGCTTTTGAGTTTCATTGAAGAATTCCTTCTCAACATAAAGTCTCCCACATTTTCTTATTTAACTTTATATATTTATCTTCAAATTTAGGTCTTTAATCCATTGGCAATCACCTTTGTATGTGATATTAAGTAGGAATCCAGCTTTATTTTTCCCCAAAATGTGGGCCACTTTTTCTAGCAAATTTTACTAAACAACCACCTCTTCCCTCCTTGCTTTGTGGTGCCAGAAAGTGCCATATTTGTCATGACTTGGCAGAGCCTTCTTGAGAATACAGACAAGCCAGAAGAAAGCACAACTGAGCAATACAGAGTGAGGCAGAGATGCTATAGTTTGTAGTCTAGATATGTCCAAAGCCAGAAATCCACCTCTTCATTTTTGCTGGGTTTTTGTCCTTTGAAACTAAAATGACCATTACAACAATGATGTCCTAATCTTGCTTCTATCTAGAAGAGCTAATTTCATATCCTGCTGAGATTCAAATGACAATGATAATTCCAGTCAACATAATTTATTCTTACTTGTATCAGTTAATTGAATTTGTGATATGTTTGGTTGAATTATTTTGTTTCTTTTTAACTTGAGACAGAGAAACATGCAGTTTATTATTATTTTTTTGAGACAGAGTCTGGCTCTGTCGCCCAGGCTGGAGTGCAGTGGTGCGATCTCAGCTCACTGTAACCTCTGCCTCCCAGGATCAAGCGATTCTCCTGCCTCAGCCTCCCGAATAGCTGGTATTACACGCGCCCACCACCACGCCTGGCTAATTTTTGTATTTTTAGTTGAGACGAGGTTTCACCATGTTGGCCAGGCTGGTCTCGAACTCTTGACCTCAAATGATCTGCCCGCCTCGGCCTCCCAAAGTGCTGGGATTACAGGCATGAGTCACTGCACCCAGCCAAGGCAGAAAAATAATACAGTTGAAATGTGTTTTTTTTCTGAGATAACTGGGAAACATTTTGAGAAACTAGCAGATTTTGAGAAACTGACAGTTTTTCCCTACTAAAAGTTCACAGGAAAAACATAGGGAAAAAATATGTATATATTTTAGAGACAGAATCTTGCCCTGTTGCCCAGGCTGAGTGCAGTGGTGTAATCATATCTCACTGCAGCTTCAAACCCTGGGCTCAGGCAATCCTCCTGACTCAGCCTCCCAAGTAGCTGGGACCACAAATGGGTGCCACCACATGCAGCTAATCTTTTTATTTTTTAGAGATGGGGTCTTGCTATGTTGCCCGGGTTTGTCTTAAACTCCTGGCCTTAAGCAATCCTCCCACCTTGGCCTCCTAAAGCATTTGAATTATAGGCATAAGCCACTGTGTCCAGCTAGGGAAAAAAATATTTTGAGCCTGGGGTAGGCAAAGATTTCTTAGATACAAAACCAAAAGCATAATCCATAACAAAATTAGTAAATTAGAGTTCTTCAAAGTCAAACCTTTTTCTCTTTGAAAGATATTGTTAAGAGATGGAAAAGGCAAATTATAGCCTGGCAGAAAATATTTATAAGACACTTATCTGGTAAAGAACTTGTGTCCAGAATATACAAAGAATTTTCAAAACTCAATAATAAAACAACTTATCCAATTTTAAAAATGGTAAGAGATTTGAATGCTCTTTACTAAAGATGTATAAATGGCAAATAAGCACATGAAAATATGTCCAACAACATTAGTCATTAAAGAAATTAAAACCACAGTGTGATATTACTACACATTCATTAGAAGGGCTAAAAAGATTGACAATACCAAGTGCTAGTGATGATGTGGAGTAACTAGAAGTCTTATATACAACTAGTGTGAATATAAAATGACCAAGCACTTAATTTTTTTTTTGAGACAGGGTCTCACTTTGTTGCCCAGGCTGGCCTTGAACACATGGGCTCAAGGGATCTTCCCACCTCAACCTCCTGAGTAGCTTGGACTACAGGAGTGCACTACTGTGCCCAGCTCCAAATGATCAAACACTTTGGAAAACTGCTTAGCGTAAGTTCTCCAAAAGACATTGTATTTGTTTCCTAAGGCTGCTGTGAAAAAGCACAAATTAGAAATGTATTGACAGAACAGAAATCTGTTCTCTCACAGTTCTAGAGGCTAGAGGTCCCAAATCAACCCTGTTGGTAGGATTGGGTCTTCTGAGGGCTCTGAGGGAGAGTCTGTTCCATGCCTTTATCCTGGCTTCCAGAGGTGGCTGGCAAATTTTGTCTTTCCTTGGTTTACAGCATCACTCCAATCTCTCCCTTTGTTTTCTCATGGAGTTCTCCCTGTGTGTCTCTATGTTGGTTTCTTTCCTCCTCTTCTATAAGGATATCAGTCGTACTGGATTAGAGTCCCCCAAATTGGATATGACCTCATCTAACTTTGCAGATATCTGCAAAGATATTTCCAAATAAGGTCACATTCACATGGACCAGAGGTTTAGGACTTCATATATCTTTTTGGAAGACACAGTTTGACCTATAATATACATGTACTTGAATATTCATAAAAGCACAATTTGTAATAGCCTAAATGGGAAACGATCTCACTACTCATCAACAGTTGAATAGGTAAATAAATCATGATATATTCATGTGATGAATACCATAATACAATAAAAATTAACTACCTACAACTATGGACAATATGGATGAATCTCACAAATAAAATGCTGGATAAAATAAATAAAACAGCATATACTGGCTGGGCATGGTGGCTCACCCCTATAATCCCAGCACTTTGGGAGGCCGAGGTGAGTGAATCACTTGAGGTCAAGAGTTCGAGACCAGCCTGGCCAACATGGTGAAACCCCGTCTTTACTAAAAATACAAAAATTAGCCCGATGTGGTGGTGCATACCTGTAATCCCAGCTACTAAGGAGGCTGAGGCAGGAAAATCACTTGAACCTGGGAGGCCCAGGTTGCAGTGAGCCAAGATCGTGCCACTGTACTCCAGCCTGGGTGACAAGAGTGAGACTCTGTCTCGAAAAAAAAAAGAAAACAATTATTTTTCACAGAATTTTTTTGGTGTTGTTAAGATACAGGATCTCACTATGCTGCTCAGGCTGGCCTTGAACTCCTGGGCTCAAGCGATCCTCCCATCTCAGCCTCCTAAGTAGCTAGGACTACAGGCTTGCAGCACTACACCCAGCTAAGAATTCTTAATTTGCCTCCTTAAGAGATGTACATCAATAAATATGATTTCTTCAAATGTAGCAACTCTGAAATATTCACTTAGAGTCCCTCAGAGATCAAAAGAGTTTCAGACTACCTAATTTTTTTAGGTTCTTAGTTTTATATATACACAGAAATGCACAGACAGGGTGACAAATATGTGATATATTGTGTAATGTATTTTATATTTTTACATTTACTAAATCTAATAATTTTAACATAAAAGAATTCCAAACAATGTCAATGATGTCAAAAGTCCTAATACAGGTCCTTCTCACTGTGAAGGCACTATTCTAGATGGTGGGGATACTTCAGAGAACAGAATAGACAAAATCCTTGCTTTCAAAGAGCTTGCCTTTCTAGCTGCCAGGAGATAGGCAGTAAACAATAAATATAAGAGCTATGCTAATTCTGTGGTATGATAGAGGGGATAAGTCACCATGGGAAAAAAAGAGTAAAGCAAGGAAAAAGTGTTCAGGGGAGGAGGGGAGGGACTATGTTTTAATGGGGTGGGCAGGGTAGACCTCCTTAAGAAGGTGACAGTTGAGCAAAAATTGAAGAAGAAAAGGGAATGAGCCATATGAATATCTGGTGGCAGGGGAGAATCACTTCAAATAGATGGATGTTCCAAAGGCCCTTAAGATGTAGCCATACTGGCAAGTTTGAGGCAAAACAAGGACAAATTCCATTTGTATAAATGGAGAGAAATATGTGTGAAGGAGAGTAGTAAATGAATCAGACAGGTAAAGGGCATTCAGATTATACAGAGCATCTTAGGCACTATAAGAACTTTAGCTTCCTCTCTGACAGAAATGGAAAGCCACTGCAGGGATTTGAGCAGAAGAGTGATATGCTCTGATCTCCATTTTATTTTTGTGAGACAGGGTGTCATTCTGTCACCCATGCTAGAGTGCAGTGGCACAACACAATCATGGCTCACTGCAGCCTCAAACTCCTGGGCTCAAGCGATCCTCTTACCTTAGCCTCCCTAGTAGCTGGGACTATAGCCATGCACCGTATCACCAGGCTAATTTTTAAAATTTCTGTAGATACAGGGTCTTGTTATGTTGCCCGGGCTGGTCTCAAACTTCTGGCCTCAAGTGATCCTCCTGTCTCAGCCTCCCAGAGTGTTGGGATTACAGGTGTGAGCCATCACCCCATCCTGACTTCCATTTTAACATAATTTTTCTGGCTGCTATGTTGAGAACAGATTTTCAGAGGCAAGTATAAAAGTAGTGAGACAAGAAAGGAGGCTAATTAAATAATTCACGTGGGAGGTAACAGGAGTTTGGATCCAGATGATAGCAGAAGTGATAAGAAATGGTTATACCTGGATATATTCTGAATGTAGGGCCAGGAGAATTTGCTGACAGACTAAGATGGGTGAGCGGGAGGTATAAGAGAAAAAGAAGAGTCATGGAAGATGCCAACCCAAGAACCAAGATGTAAAAGAGGGCAGACGGAGTAAGTCTGAGGTAGAATATTAGGAGCTCAGTTTGAACTTGTTAAGATTGGGATGCCCTTTTTTTTTTCTCGCGTCCTGGCCATCTTAGCGGCTGCTCTTGGTGGAGGGCCATCTCGCACCTAAGGCAGGAACATGGTGGCCGCAAAGAAGATGAAAAAGTCACTGGAGTCGATCAACTCTAGGCTCCAACTCATTATGAAAAGTGGAAAGTACGTGCTGGGGTACAAGCAGACTCTGAAGCCAAGGCAAAGCTAAATTGGTCATTCTTGCTAACAACTGCTCAGCTTTGAGGAAATCCGAAATAGAGTACTATGCAATGTTGGCCAAAACTGGTGTCCATCACTACAGTGGCAATAATATTGAACTGGGCACAGCATGTGGAAAATACTACAGAGTGTGCACACTGGCTATCATTGATCCAGGTGACTCTGACATCGTTAGAAGCACGCCAGAACAAACTGGTGAAAAGTAAACGATGCAAAATTTTCCTTTAATAAAATTTGCCTGAGCTTGTTTAAAAAAAAAAAAAAGATTGAGATGCCCCATTTGTCTTAAATAAAGATATTCAGTAGACCATTAAGTTCACAGTTCTGGAATTCAGGGAAGAGGATGTCTGTACTAGAGATACTTTTGAGAGTCATCATCATATAGTAATATCGAAAACTATAAGATTTGGATGAGTTTGCCATGAGAATGAGGGTAGAAAAGAGGAGAGGTCGTCCAAGGTCTGAGCCCTAAACTCCTCTAACATTAAGAGGCTGTGGGGATTAGAAAGAAACAGCAAAGGACCAGGAACAGAACCACAGGAGGCAGAAAGAAAATCGGGGAATTGTGGTGTCATAGAAGCCAAGTGAGGCCAGTGTTTCCAGGAAGTGGGAGTGATCAGCTGGGTCCAGTGTTGCCAATAGGTCAAGAAAGATGAAGACTGAAAGCTGACCTTTGGAATTGACAAGTGAAGGTCATTGTTGACCTTGACAAAGGCAGTTTCTGGGAAGTGGTATGGACAAAAATCTGACTAACATAGGTTTAAGAAACAATGAGTTAGGCCAAGAAAAAAAGAGAGAACACAAATTACTGATATCAGAAATTACAGAGGTGACATCACTACAGATATGATGGGCAATAGAAGGATAATAAAAGAATACTATCAACATCTTTATGCCCACAGATTTGATAGCCTAGATGAAATGGATCAATTCCTTGAAAGACACAAACTGCCAAAACACACAAGAAGCAATAGACAATCTGAATAGGCCTGTATCTATTAAAGACATTGAGTGAATAATTAATAACTTTTCAAAACAGAAAGCACCAGACCTAGCCCTAGATGGATTCACTGGT